>NC_000020.11:44193506-44496537 GCF_000001405.40 Homo sapiens | reverse complement strand
ACAGGCGGGAGCCACTGCACCTGGCTGTTTTTACACATTCAGGCTAAAGTGAGTATTCACATAATGAGTTGTGCATTTGATCTGTGCAGATTGATAACAGATAGTAGGCTTATGCTTATTAATGGAAGCTGCTGTTCATCTCTTTACTCCTGTTGTGTTGGTCTGTCCGTCCTGTTACCTAGGCACCCAACTCAGTGATGTCCTAATTACTGCTGGATGACTCAAGCCACACCATGCCTATGTTCTCAGGTGAAGAAGAATAATAGAAACCACATAGATGGGTAGGTGTACCAAGCATTAAACAGACAGTATCCACATGCCTGTAAGGTGGTGATTATTTCCCTCCCTCCTTCCTTTTACGTATCAGTTTGAGGCTTAGAGAAGTTCGTGACTTGCCTATGGTTACTCAGTAAGAGGTGAAACAGAGAAACCCAGGGCTTGGCTTAAGAGTTCTTTTTTCAATTAGACCTCAGTGTCTCTTGGGCCATAAGAATATAAGAGACAGGATTTATTAGAGACATGTAGGGGAGTCATCTGGCTCACTAATGACTCATCACCAACTCACCAGATCTACCATGGGAACCTAGTTTTTGTCTACTCTCAGGCACAGAGTGTTTGCTCCTCTACCCATCACTGACAAAGACAAGTTAGTAGTCACCTGAAGGCAAGTGACTCATGTCTTTTACTAGGTCAGCTATCCCTAGTGGCTGGCACCTACTCAGGAAAAAGCATGAATATTAGGTTAAAAACGTTTTCCCCAGAAGAGTGGTACCCTAAAGGGTCTTATTACTTACCCTTTAAATGCGATAATGTGAAACTTTATTGCCATTGAGTGTATGGGTACCAAACCAGTACTGTGTAAGGAGGGGGCAGGGGGCATCAAGAAAATACTGACTCATGGAAAAGGGCCTCATAAGACTGCTGTGAGAGAAAAGGATTTTAACAGTTAGCTTCATTTTTCTATATGTGAGAAACAGACTGAACTTAAGTTCCACAATTTCCTCAGGAAAGGCTGACCTGAAGGGGTGGTTATGCTGCAATATAAGTACTTAACCTGTTGCATCATCAAAAGTGTACCTCCTGTGTTAGAGTATTTCTCAACTGACTCATCAAGTCACCAGATCTACCATGGGGACCTAGTTTTTGTCTACTCTGGGGCACAGAGTACCAAATAAACAGGGGACATAGAAACAGCTTAGCAGGCCTGGGACCATAGTTGGGCAAGCCGTGCTCCAGTTACCCCTCAAGGAGTCTGGGCTTACTTCTGGAATAAAATGTTGTTACAACTTGGGTTTCAGAGAGGTTAACAACCACTGCTTGTATTTTCAAGAAGCCAGTTAAAAAGTCAATTTCTGGTTCTTTCTTACTCTATGAAAGAGTCCTGCCTTCTCTCTCTCTTCTATCTGGGGACTCGTTATTTGTCTCCAGCCATCAGGAGAAAACAGTGGGCTTGTCATACTTCCTGGGTTTGAATCCCATCCTTAGTATTTGGCTAGTTGTGTGTCACTGGGCAAGCTACATTTTGCCAACAGGAACAGTAATGCAGCTTCATTAAGGGTAGCTGAAGGTTAAAATACATTATTTATGAGTGTCCTTAACACATGTGTGCCCAGCCCACATGCGCACATTGAGGAAATCGCTGGCTATCACTGGAAAGACTCAAGGCCAGTCCAAGAAGTATAGCTGGGCCTCAAGAATGTAAAAATTTGCATATCACCTCTACTGCTCTGTGTAGCTAGCTGCATTCTCCTCTCCATACTGCAGCAGTCTAATTGTGTATGATCTTCAGAGGCAGCCAGCGCATCTACAGAATGCACTGTCCTATCACAGTGCCCCTCCCTCCCTCACCTGCAGAGGAGGTGGTCTACCCGGGCTGTGAATAATGAACCTTGGAACCTTTATCCAAACTGTCATCATCACAAAAGAACCCCATGCACATTTTTCAGAGATTTTTATTGTTTCAGACTGAGTCATGCATACTAAAATTATTACATATTTTCACCACTTTGACTTAGAAAATGCACTAGAAAAATAAACTTTGGTCAAAACAAACACTGAAGTACATGAATCCACCATGTATCCCTATACTCAAAGCCAAACTGAATTTCAGTTTGAAGCAAGGAATGTGACCAGTGGCTGAAACAGTGCCCCAAGCTGGTCAGAGAATTAGCTCACCTCCCACTCCATCAGAGGCTCTTGGTCAGAGAGGTTTCAAGTATTTCACTTGTAACAGGTTCCTACCTGATATGCCAAGAAGCCGAGGCATAGCTACAAGAATCCACAGCAGCAGCATCTCACTGCCTCACTAAACCTGCTGCCCAGTGAGATGAAAAGAAAAACAGCCCCATGAAACAGGAATTTCATCACTATCATCTCCATCCACAAATCACATTGATCCTTCGCATGAAGCAAGCTCCTGTTGACTGTGATGTTTGTTACTAGCATTTTAAGCAAACCATTTCTCTAAGTCAGGAGAGCAGAAGAATGAATTTATTTATTTGACACAGAATATTGCTTTGTCACCCAGGCGGGAGTGCAGTGGCATAGTCTTGGCTTACTGCAACCGCTGCCTCCCAGGTTCAAGCGATTCTCCTGCCTCAGCCTCCCAAGTAGTTGGGATTACAGGCACGCACCACCACACCCAGCTAATTTTTGTACTTTTTAGTAGAGATGGGGTTTCACCATGTTGGCCAGGCTGGTCTCAAACTCCTGACCTCAAATGATCCGCCCCCCCTTCAGCCTCCCAAAGTTCTAGGATTACAGGGCATGAACTACTGCACCTGGCCAAGAGCAGAAGAATTTAGATTTACAAAATTAACAGATCCCAATACAGAGAGGTGTTACCAGAACTGACATCTTTCCTGAACAGTAGGCATGTTTCTGTTCGGTATAGCCACACCTCTCATGGCCACAGGAGATACAGTGTATAGTATATAGTATATAATTGGTTTAGCTAACATTTTACTCCCTAAATTAAAGGAGGCTTCAAAGGAAAACCTTAATTAAATGTTGGCAACTTTAAAATGGTAAAACTTTTTAAAAGTATTATAATCGCCACAGCAATACTCTAGCTTTTGCTACCCAAATGAAAAAAATTCCCAGGATTGATCTGAGGGTCAAATACTATTTAAAGAAATTGCCCACCCAGGGAGAATTCTGAAAGGCTCAATATAAAGGAATTCAGAGAAAAGCCTCTTATTGTCTTATTTCGGGAAAAATGGTGTTTTGTAACCTGATTTTTCAATTTTTATTTTTGAGATGGAGTTTCACTCGTCACCCAGGCTGGAGTGCAATGGCGCGATGTCGGCTCACTGCAACCTCCGCCACCTGGGTTTAAGTGATTCTCCTGCTTCAGCTTCCCAAGTAGCTGGGATTACAGGCACCCACCACCATGCCCAGCCAATTTTTTGTATTTTTAGTAGAGACGGGGTTTCACCATGTTGGCCAGGCTGGTCTCAAACTCCGGACTTCAGGTGATACACCCACCTCAGCCGCTCAAAGTGTTGGGATTACAGGTGTGAGCCACCGCTCCCGGCCTTGTAACCTGACTTACAGACCTCCTAAGATAAGTGACTCCTTGTGAAACCAGGATGAAATATGAAAGATCGAAAGCTACTTTTGCCTTAATTTTTGCAGCAGCAATAGAATAAAAAAGAAAATGCAAGGAAAAAAATTAAAAAATAAAGCGACCTTTGCCAAGAGCAAGTTAGAAATTCAAGACATGAAGCCAGGGTGGCACTTTTGGCTGTTTTTGTAGATTTCATCCAGTCTCTCCCCCATGAAGGCAGAACAGGGGAAGAGGCACAGTTTTCCAGAATTCCATGTTGGGATATGGGGGAAGAAGAGGAAGAAAATTCCCATATTCTGAAATGTATAGATTTGGAAGCTTTTAGGTACCAATTCATTCAGACCTAAATTTACTAAATAAGCCAATTGAGGGGGAAAAAAAAGGAAAAAAACTTCTAAAAAGAGAGAGTACAGTGTCTGTGGCAGTGAAGCCAACTAGATACCAGGAATAAAGTTTGGAGTATAGATCTCTATCATGGAATCACTCAGGGATGTTAAGCCAGCTCATCAAAGGCCACGTAGTAAGGTAAAGGTGGAGCCCGCGTCTCCTAATTTACTGTCCCATTTCCTTCCGACACCACACTATCTTGAATTTAGGGAAAAGTTAATTTCCAAGTGTTTGTGCAATGGGCCAGAACTTCTCCCTGAAGGAACATACTCCCAGTTCTTGAGGTTCATGGGTTTGCCTCACCAGTGCGCTCCCCAGTGCTGAGTAAGGCTCACTGTGCTCCCTGGCTGGTCATTCCCCACCCTGCTGAGACAGCCTGACACAAACATCCTGGTGAAGCCACAAGGAGACCACCTTGATTTTCACGCAGGGAGGTCTTGGTTTCACAGCTTGGTTCAAGTTTCCTGAGGTGTCAAAACTATCTGATACCTCTTCGGAGCCAAAACAAAGCAAGCAGCTCCCGGAGGCAGATAAACTTAGGCTCCAACTCCTTCTAGAAGCTGAGTGAAACCACTCCTTCCTTGTCCAACTGGAAAAACCTAAGAAATAGGCCTCTCCAGGTCCCTTCTGGTCTTTGAGATAATTCTCTAGGAGAGCTGTGGCCATGCCTGCATTAAAACAAATGCGACTGGCCAGGAATGCAGTGTAGAATTGAAACATCAGGGCTGAGTGATTCATTCCTCTTTACCCAGTTTTTGTTTTGTTTTGTTTATCTGTCTTCCCTCTTGGGGAAGCCTCCACCCAGTTCTCCCATCCAGGCCAGTGGGTTCTGAACCCCCTCCTTCCCTCCTTCAGCCATCCCACTTGCCCTGCTTGGGCCTTTTCAGCAGTGTGTGTCACATCATCATCAGATGGAACCAGAAGCAGCCAGGAGTGCTTTTTGGCACTTCCAGCTCAGCCAGTACCGTAGAGGATCCAGGGTTACTATCCATGGTGAAAAGAACTTTCTCTAGAATTGGTATTAATGAGGTTAAGTAACTTAATTTCCACCAACAACTTATCCAGACATTTAAAAAGGCAATAGAGATAAACAGCTTAGTAACAACAGATTGGCCTTCAAATTTCAGAGTATTGTTTTCTCCCTAACTGAGCTGTCTGCTTGACTGGTTAGTCTAATAAATGCACGGAGAAGGTGCACACACAACACAGTACTTTTCACTATTTAACACCATGATCATGTGGAATACATTAGAAAGGAAATAGGTCAAAAACCATCATGTGAACCGTCTAATTTGATGTTTGGGCTAAGGCTAAAATCTTCACAGGGAGGTTCTAAAGTGCTGAAATGCAGAACATTCAGGCTGACTGGTTCACCCACACCAGAGAGAGAAACTCAAGTGGGGCTGGGAGGGCAGGGGGGCCCAGAAGTGACCCAGGAATAACCTGCCCTTGTGTTCATTTCCAGAGACCAAAAAAAAAAAAATTTTTTTTTTTTTTTTTTTTTTTTGAGGCAGAGTCTTGCTCTGTCGCCCAGGCTGGAGTGCAGTGGTGCGATCTTGGCTCACTGCCACTTCTGCCTCCTGGGTTCACGTGATTCTTCTGCCTCAGCCTCCCGAGTAGCTGGGACTACAGGAGCCCGCCACCACGCCCAGCTAATTTTTGTATTTTTAGTAGAGATGGGGTTTCACCATCTTGGCCAGGCGGGTCTCGAACTCCTGACCTTGTGATCCGCACACCTTGGCCTCCCAAAGTGCTGGGATTACAGGCATGAACCACCACGCCCAGCTCAGAGACCAAAATTAAAGAATCTCAAGTAATTAACTACTGTAGCCAGGTTTACAATATAGTACCAGAGTCTCAGGGATGGAAGGAATTCATCATACAAGATCCTGGTCACCTTAACCTGGCCTCACAAAAGCCATCTTTTCAAAATTGAACCATCACTATAAAAAGAAAATTGGTGTCAGTGAGTCCCAGGAATACACATAATAGTTTCTTTAAAGGCAGGGCTAATTGGTGACACATCTCTCTTGGAAAGACACATGTACCACAAACAAAAACAGGATCCAACCACTTGTATCTAGATAGTTATCTTTCTAGGCAGAAAATCTAACATTCAGTAACTAAACCAAATCCCAGAGCCTCAGCAGCCAAAATGGCCCTAGCTGACATTTCATCCAGCCTCATTTTATAGAGGAGAAAGTAGAGGCCCATATCTTGTCCATAGTTGTACACCTGGGATCCAGGCCAGAATTCTTATAGCTACACGGGCCTGGGATCCAGCATTTTAGGTTGAGTAAAATCATTTCCTGCTAGGTCCCTGATTCTATTGAGAACCAGGGCTAAGGCTTTATGGATTTGGGAAAACTTAAGTTTCTATTGCAAACTTCAACCAGTGGGTCCCAGAGGTGCTTTGAAGTCTCCGGCTTCCACATTTGACCACAAAGTGCTGCTTATGTCCTGATGCTTACATGATTCAGTTAAGGTGCTTTCCAAACCCGGTGACAACAGCTGGGGCCTTCATCTCCAGTAAGTTTCCTGATGAGCAGCAGAGGTCTATACTTAGGGTTCCTGTGAAAAACACAAACTCCCAGTCTCACATTTGGTCACACTGAAGGTTTGGCCAAATTATTTCATACAAGTAGTTCTCACTGGCCAAACAGGTGGTTTTTCTCCTGGAAAAGTGGGATCAAAGTGACTTTGGTCCTGATTGTTCTTGCTTCCAAGATGTGTAAGAACCAGATCACCACCCCCCAACCAAAAAGCAAAACAAAATAGATATAGCCTCCAGATTAATAGTTGCAGACTGGGATTCCAAATGTTTAAGAATCAGTGGGGACATTTTCCATGTCTTCCATGGAGTAATTAAAGTAACCAAAGGCTTACCCCAAAATGGGCTCATGCTCATATCTCAGGCTGTTCCTCCATCCTGCAGTTTAATTACAAGGAGCAAGACTGAATCCATGGACCCTTAAATTCTCCTTGTGCCTCTCCAAAGAAAAGAAGGAAAAGAATTAAAGATGGTGACCCTGGGGGACGGGCTAGTAGCAGGAGTACAGCTGTGACTTCACAGCTCGCAAGGAGTCGTCACACTGTGCATCTGAGGTCAGGCCCTCGGGCAGCAGCGTCTGGCCCAGGATGCTGTCACAGGCAGGAACAGGTTGGCAGAACTCTTTCACAAAATCGTCTTCTGAAGCCAGCAGTACCGCGTTCCAGGTGGCAGTGTCCAGCTCCCCAGCCGTGCCCCCATACTCCTTGGGGAGGATGCTTCTTGGAAGGTTTGTGTGGAGAGAGTTCAAGTCAGACCCATGGAGGAAGAACTAAAAGGGAATGAAATGAAAACACACATGTCCTTAGGTTAATCAGGAATGCAGAAATCTCCTCCATGGTAGGTGCTCAAATAAATATCTGTTGAATGAAGAAAGGAAATGTTAATGGCAACTCTACCCTTACTTTTTCAGCCCAGAAAGCCTGGAGTATCCTTAATTCTCTTTTCCTTATACCATACATCCTGTTGGCTGGAGCTTCAGAATATATCCAGGATCCAGCCGCCTCACCACCACACTATTCAATTAATGGCAGCAGCCACATCGCTTCTCCCTGGATTCCTCCAGTGGCCTCCTATCTGGTCTCCCTGCTCCCACTCTTGTCCCTCTGCAATCTAAGTTCTTTTCAGTGAAACTCAGATCACAGTCGTGCCTCTATGTACAGCCTTCCAGCACTCCCACCTCAGACTCTGAGGCCCATCATAATCTAGCCTCATTACTTCTCTGAGTGCTCCTCTCACCACCTGCCCCTCCAGTCTTGACCCAGCTGCGCCAGCCTAGCTGCTCTCCCAGCATGCCGGACAGGCTCCCACGTCAGGGTTGTGTCCTTGCTGGCCTCCCAGATACCTAGATGGCTCACTCTCTCACTTCTTGTCTTTGCTCAAATGTCAGCTTCTCAAGGCTGCCATCTCTAACCACTCAGTTGAATACTGCAACCCTTCCCACCTCACACACGCTATACTTTTCTCTGCTTTATTTTTCTCTGTAGCACTTACCACATTCTAATACTAGATAATTCACTGTGGCTCCCTTTAGAATATAATTTTCCTAGGGGCAGGGGTTTTGGTCTGTTTTGTTCATCTAGAACATGCTTGTACATAGAGTTGATCAATAGATATTTCTGAATAAAGGAACCTATGAAGGAACAAACGAAGAACATTGTGGGCCCCAAATCAGCGCATTTCACAGATGTAAAAGACCTGTCCAAAGGCTGCTTTGGTGAAAGTTCCAAACAGAATCTTTAGGGACCCACATGGGTTCACATACAGTCAGGGAAGCCACTAAGTTAGTGGTTTGCAAATCTAGCTGTGCATCAGAATTTCCTAAGGGGATTTTAAAGCACAGATCCCTGAGCTGATGAATCAAAATCTTCAGGGAAAGAGCCTAGGAATCTGGAGCTGGATTTCAAGTTCCCTCCCTTACCTCCTTGAGATTTTCCATCTATATATGTTACTTTGAAAAAGCAAGGGCCCAGTGCGGTGGCTCACGCCTGTAATCCCAGCACTTTCGGAGGCCAAGGCGGGTGGATCACCTGAGGTCAGGAGTTTGAGACCAGCCTGGCCAACATGGTAAAAGCCTATCTCTACTAAAAATACAAAAATTAGCTGTGCGTGGTGGCACGTGCCTGTAATCCCAGCTACTGGGGAGGCTGAGGCAGGAGAACTGCTTGAACCCGGGAGGTAGGGGTTGCAGTGAGCTGAGATCGCACCACTGCACTCCAGCCTGGGTGACGGAGCGAGACTCCGTCTCAAAAAAAGAAAAAGCAAGTAAAATTCAGGGCCCAGTCTTTGCAGTGACCTTCCTAGGCCTAGGGAAGGAGAAAAATACCACCCATCCCATTTCAATCAGTGGGACTGGGAAAGGCTGAAGAGGGAATTGGCTCTTCTGGGTCAGAAAGGAAGACAAAGTGCTATTTATCCCTTCTTAAATAAGAGGTAAGCTAAAAACTCACATAGCTCGTAAACCTTGAATTGCTCCACAAACTGTACAGTGGGACAACATATTAGGCAAATGGAAAGGCTTAAGTAGCATTTTTAAACCCCACAGTTCTAATGACCATAACTTAAAAAAAATTTATTTTAGAGACAGTGTTCTGCTCTGTTACCCAGGCTGGAACACAGTGGCAAGACCATAGCCCATTGTTCAAGCCCATGGCAGCCTTGAATTCCTGAGCTCAAGCAGTCCTCCCACCTCAGCCTCCTGAGTAGTGGAGACTACAGACATGTGCCACCACACCCACCTAATTTTTTTTTTTTTTTGAGACAGTCTCACTGTTGCCCAAGCTGGAGTGCAGCGGCATGATCTTGGCTCACTGCAACCTCCGCCTCCCGGATTCAAGTGATTCTCCTCCCTCAGCCTCCCAAGTAGCTGCAATTACAGGCATGTGCCACCATGCCTGGCTAATTTTTTGTATTTTTAGTAGAGTCGGGGTTTCACCATGTTGGCCAGGCTGGTCTCGAACTCCTGACCTCAAGTGATCCATCCACCTCGGCCTCCCAAAGTGCTGGGATTACAGGCGTGAGCCACTGTGCCCCAGGCACACCCACCTAATTTAAAAAATTTTTTTAGAGATGAGTCTTGCTATACTGCCCAGGGAGGCTCTTATGATAAAAATCCTGGTTCTGCTCTCTCTACTGGCAAATATTAAATTCTTGTTCATTTACTCTTCCATCTTCTCCTCACAAAAGGGACTGTTCATTTATTTTATCTGTAACTCTGTACTTTTCCAAATTAGTTGTTCCAGGGCAAAAATAATAAACAAGTACCAGATGTCACAAATAAATCAACAGAGGAAAAGAAAAATCTGAAGTCAATAGGATCATCACTTACTCTGTTTGCTATTTTCTCCTTTAGAAATGGTTTTATGATGGCAAAAATGCCTTTAAATATTCGAGGTTCATTCACCACATGGACTGCTTTTATCCGAATGGGGAAACCATCCTGTGTGGGAAAGGCAAAGGGGTTTAGAACATCTGGAGAATCTTTCCACACCTTCCTCCCCCAAGTTAAATCTTCACTTTCAGCCCCAACATCAGTCTGATCTGATCCTTATGGCCTCCTCAATGACAGTCCACGTGGGGCCTAACTAGGAAGACGGACCTCAGGGAAAGTCTTTCCTGGGACCCAAAACTGGGTTAGAAGAGAGGCAAACAGAGGCTGGGTGTAGTGGCTCATGCCTGTAATCCCAGCAGTTTGGGAGGCCGAGGTGGGCGGATCACTTGAGGTCAGGAGTTCGAGACCAGCCTGGCCAACATGGTGAAATCCCATCTCCACTAAAAATACAAAAATTAGCTGGGCATGGTGGCACGTGTCTATAATCCCAGCTACTTGGAGAGGCTGAGGCTGGAGAACTGCTTGAACCCTGGAGGTGGAGGTTGCAGTGAGCCAAAATCGTGTCACTGTACTCCAGCCTGGATGACAGCCTGGACTCCATCTCAAAAAAAAAAGAAGAGAGGCAAACATATGAAGAGCTGCTGCTCTTACAGCAGAAAACAGTCTGAGTCTACAGGGACAGATCTGGCAAATACCAGACCTTCCAGATCAGTGTTGCCCAAAGTATATTTCTCAGGCTATTAGAGGTTATATAAAACAGGGCTCCACAGCAGGCAAATGAGTTTGAGAAACGTAGTCCACTAAGCATAATCAAGTGAGTTTCCTTAACTGCATTCCTGTTCAGAGCCTTTAACATGTAAATTCTTACAGTGAAATTCACAAGAAAGGGACATGCTATACAGCATTTCCCAAACTTACTTAATTTTTTCTCCTCTCCAGATGATCTTACGGTACTAACACTGATCCACACTCTTGATCCTGACACTTGAATCTACAAGGTATTCAGGAGGAGGCATCAAAAGGAGTGCCAGCGAAGGAAAGCCAGGGTTGGCTCAAAGCCAGAATCCAAATGTTTGATAATGTCCAAATGTGCACTGATTTATTTAAATAATAAACCTGGTGCACCACAGGGGCTGAAACATTTGTGGAATCAGTGAGAAGAGCTACTATACCACCGGTGCCCCATAGTTTACAAGGGAAAACACCCCACGTGGTGGGTCAGAATGAACAAGTAATCAAAACCTGTCACAGCTGTGACAGGCTATATTTTCTCTAGGTCTCCATCTTCCCATCTATCAAAAAGGAAAAATAGTTTTTGCCTTGCCTATCTCAGAGGATTCGCTGAGGGACTGAATAGGCCCTGATGACTGTAAAAGCACTGTGCAAGCTGTTAAACACGGTGCAGATATGGAGGGAGCACCACAGTCCCCAGTGACTCATGTTCTGAAACACAGAACATGAGGTGTGAAGCATCTGACCAAAATACAGCCCAACAGAACACCATATCCCTCAGGTCCACAGAGGGCAGGAGGGGCTCCAGCACCTTACGCAGAAGCATAATTTCTTAGGTTTTTTGTTTGTTTGTTTTCTGAGACAGAGTTTTGCTGTTCTCACCCAGGCTGGAGTGCAATGGCGCGATCTCAGCTCACTGCAACCTCCGCCTCCTGGGTTCAAATGATTCTCCTGCCTCAGCCTCCCAAGTAGCTGGGATTACAGGTGCCTGCCACCATGCCCAGCTAATTTTCGTATTTTTGGTAGAGATGGGGTTTTACCATGTTGGCCAGGCTGGTCTCAAACTCCTGACCTCAAGTGATCCACCTGCCTCGGCCTCCCAAAGAATTGGATTACAGGCGTGAGCCACCGCGCCCAGCCAGTTTTGTTTGTTATGAGAATTCTTCCTCTGCCTTCCAGACCAAGAAAAGGCAACAAGCAAATTCTCTAGTTTTTTGGACTCTTGTCTTACTGAAGTACCTACTCCAGAGAGTACTTGAGAGACTGATGAGAACAAGTGGTAAATAGGACTTTTAAATTTCTTCCCATAATGCTTTTGTGTTTTTCAGATTGCAGGTGTGGGATGTGCAGTTTGTGTATCATGTGAGACCCACAGTAAATGGACAGGCCCTGGGGAAAGCCAGAGCCACCACGAAACAGGCAGGACACATACGGGTCTTACCTGGAGGATGCCAATCACCTTTTTGGCTATAAAAGGGCCAAAGTGAGATGCTTTTGATAAACTCACTCCTTTGTAGTCTGCAAGAATTACAATTCCATTCACCTGGGTTTCTTCAGACTGAATGAGTTTTTCTAAGGTCAAGTATATGGCTCGGATGTTTTCAGTAATTGGATAGTTGCTTGGTATCCATCTGTCTAAGGTCATAAGAGATTGACAGTATGTTACAGAAGTTAATATAAATAAGTGGTCAAACAAAGATTTATCTCCTTTCTATCACTGTTGTTTCAAAATGGAAAAGAAAGATATTCTAGTAGCCATGACTCTTATTTAGGTTAGTAAATGGAACAATAAGCAGCAGCTGGTTTCTTAACTCCAAACAGCAGCACATTTTGTGATGGAAATACAATTGAGTGTTGAGGTTAAGAGCATGAGCTCTGGCTGGGCACAGTGGCTCATGCCTGTAATCCCAGTACTTTGGAAGGCCGAGGTGGGAGGAATTAAGCATAAGCCCAGGAATTCAAGACCAGCCCAGGCAACATGGCGAAACCCCATGTCTACAAAATATACAAACACTAGCCAGGTATGGTGGGGTGTGGCTGTAGTCTCACTACTTGGGAGACTGAGGTGGGAGGATCTCTTGAGCTCAGGAGGTTGAGGCTGCAGTGATCATGCCACTGTACTCCAGCCTGGGTGACAGGGTGAGACCCTGTCTCAAAAATATAAAAAAAAGTATGCACTCTGAAGTCAGACACACCTGAGGTTTGAATGTTACTAGCTATGTGACCTTGGGCAAGTTACTATAATACCTCACTCTGAGCCCCGATGTCCTCATAAGTAGAATAGGGTGATAATGCCTACCTTCATGGACATCTGTGCTTTCTGCCATCATGTATTTCCCCTTATCTTCATAGCACTAACCTGATTTTCCTTAGGGAACCACCTCCTCCCACTCTAGCCATGCAGTTTGGATAGAACTGACTTGACTCCTGACTTCAGAGGTGAGCAAGTGACTGGGGATTGATTGGCCAATCTGACAGCACATCCTTCTGGCCACAGTGTGTGATCCAAGCCAGGTCAAGCAGAGTCAAGGAGACTCAATTCTAGGACCCCTGGCCCTTTGGAAAGAGTTCTGTCTTCCCTCTTGTAGTTTTGAGGCGGTGAGTCTGAGATTCACGGGCCCCATGAGGCAAGAGAGCTGGCCTGGGAGTGAAGCCCCTGTTGAGGACAGCAGTGGTGGGGACAGCTTTCCAGTGCCAGAGTTTGGGCCCCTGAATGGAAATACGGCTAGACCTCAGTTATCTGAGCAACTGAGGTTTTTTTGTTTGTTTCAGCTAACGTGAGTTGGCTGTCACTTGCCACACAGACTGAGTTTTGGCCAGATGTGGTGGCTCACGCCTGGAATCCCAACACTTTGGGAGGCCAAGGTGGGTGGATCATTGGAGGTCAGGAGTTCAAGACCAGCCTGGCCAACATGGTGAAACCCTGTCTTTACTGAAAATACAAAAATTAGCTGGGCATGGTGGTGCACACCTGTAGTCTCAGCTACTTGGGAGGCTGAGGCAGGAGAATCACTTGAACCCAGGAGGCAGAGGTTACAGTGAGCCGAGATCGCGCCACTGCACTCCAACATGGGCAACAGAGCGAGACTCTGTCTCAAAAAAAAAGCTGAGTCTTGACTCATACACGACCTTGACGGAGGTATTGTAAGGATGGAACATAGTGCTATGTTCCCCTCCTCTTTCCAAGGTGGATACTTTTTTAATACACCCCATGTATTTAATGATTCTTTCCTCTCTTTGGGAAAAAAAAAATGAGAATGCCCACTTTTTACTGTTAACCACTGTTCTCAAGAAAATCCCAGCAAAATCTATGTGCCTCTTTCTTAAAAGATAAAACTTCCCATTTGCCAACAATGGGATATGTGATGTGTGCAAAAAACTTTTTTTTTTTTTTTTTTTGAGACAGAGTCTTGCCCTGTCACCCAGGCTGGAGTGCAGTGGCGTGATCTCGGCTCATTGCAACCTCTGCCTCCCGGGTTCAAGCGATTCTCCTGCCTCAGCCTCCGGGGTAGTTGGGATTACAGGCATGTGCCACCACGCCCAGCTAATTTTTGTATTTTCAGTAGAGACAGGGGGTGGGGGTTGGGGGGAGGCGGGGGCCGTTTACTGTGTTGGCTAGGCTGGTCTGGAACTCCTGACCTCATGATCCACCTGCCTTAGCCTCTCAAAGTGCTGGGATTACAGGCATGAGCCACCACACCTGACCTGATATGTGCAAAATTCTCGTGAAAGATCTTTGTCCCCAAATTGTGCCAGCTTGCTGTCTAACGTTGCTGCCAATTAACCCTGCCTCTATGTAACTGGATATCATCCCTTTCAATCACATGTCTCAAAAGAGCTTTAACAAAGGCAAAGCTGATACCCAATTGAGAAGAAACCTTTCTGTGTATGCCTCTTCCTAAAACGCTGGGTCAGTGGAAAGGGGTCCAGATCTGCTCCAGACATATGGGGAAAAAATTCATCTCACAAGCAAAGGGTTGAAACTACACAAGCAAAGGTGCAATCAGTGTTGTAATATCTGACTGTGTTGTAATATTCTTATGAGTTGAGTACAGAGGAGCAGCAGAAAAACCTGCTGACTGGTTTCTAAGTCTCCTGGCGCCCTAAAATCTGCACTGCATTGCTTATTTTAAAATAAACACCACTAATTTTGGCAAGTACCTAAAATGGCAGGTAAGCCATTAACAGTGGTCTTGGTACATACATAGTAAAGTCTGAAGAGAATGGTTTAGCCTCCAAAGAGAGTTTGGGGAATGAGTAAAGGCGGAGGAAAGTGCATGGAGGTGTCCACTCCCCATCAAACTTCCCTTCAAGAGGGCGTTTATATGAATGAGCGAAAGAGGGCTATTAGTGTGTTCTCATTCCCTGGCTTACTTGGGGAGAACATTGCATCTTACTTTCCATTTTTCTCTCAGCTCTGGTCTGATGGAAAATGTTGAGGCTAGGAATGGAGTAGAACATTCCAAAGTTTAATAACGCTTTTGGTGTCATGGAAGAGAACAGGCCTAAGAATCAGAAATCTTGAGTTCTGGCAGCCCCTGGTCATTGTGTTGAAATGCTCCCCAAAGAGCATTTTTTTTTAAATTTTTTGTAGAGACAAGGTCTCACTATGTTGCCCAGGCTGGTCTCAAACTCCTGGCCTCAAGCAATCCTTCTCCCTCACCCTCCCAAAGTGCGGGGATTACAGGTATGAGCTGCTGCGCCTGGCAGGGGAGTATTTCTAAATGCTCTTTTAGTGGCAGGGAGCCCCCATTCGTAAACCACCATGACAAAGAAATGTAAGGTATCCTAATCACTGCCATGAAATGCTAAGATCAAAAAACAAATCCAAAGTGAATCCTGTCAGTGGCTTCACAAAATAGAGGAAAGGAAGGAAAGGTTGGAGGAGGCACAGAGGAGGCACCTTTCCAGGTGTCTGCCCAGTCCGCACCCTTGCACTGATACCTGTACCTCAACCTATTCACAAAGAGGG
Organism: Homo sapiens; assembly: GCF_000001405.40. Taxonomy (NCBI): domain Eukaryota; kingdom Metazoa; phylum Chordata; class Mammalia; order Primates; family Hominidae; genus Homo; species Homo sapiens. The sequence continues at coordinate 44,480,999 of NC_000020.11, read as the reverse complement.
CTCAGAGAGGGCCCTGGCAGTCATGCTTGTATCCTATGGCCAGGGGCAGATTCTTAGGCCCCACCAGATGCTCCCCACTAGAAATTGGGAATCTGCATTGAGGAACTTAATTTGGTGGTCAGGCAAACCTGAGAGCTGAGAGGGTGCCAGATTTAACTACGTGCACAGGAGCGGGACAGCCATACACAGAAAAAGTGTGAAGAAGATATGCAAAAGGCAGAAATGTGTGGCTGAAGGATACACAGACCGTCAGGCAGAGACAGGGAGAACGGCTGTCTTGGCTCCTGGTGGCATTCTGGTTCTTGGTTCTAGGCCCTAGTAAAAGCTGCCACGCCTTCAGCTCTCTGGTTCTGGGAGGGACTCCTGTCTCCTTCGACTAAATCCTCCCTTTTTTCTGAAGTTGGTTTGAGTAGGTTTGTGTTATCTGCAATCAAAAGAGCCTTGACTATAACAAAGGAGGGGTAAAAAAGGGACTTGGAAAGGAGGACAGGGTGCTGAATGGACACACTGCAGAAGGACTGGACACACACACCCCACAACAGTCTAGGGAGATACCTGGGCGGATGCAGACGACATGGCAGCCCCTGGGGTCAGTGTGGGGCAGCACGGTGAGGAACCCGGAAGCAAGGACATCTTTTAAGGCTGATGGCTTCAAGTTATTGAAGACTTCGGGCCAGCTTCTTCTACAGCTGTGGTAGTTGACGAGGAGCTGCAGGGCCCGGTCGTAATCAAACTTGCGGGCTCGGAGGAAGCGCAGCAGGAAGGCATCGTCGAGGGATGTGCTCAGGTTGGGGTACTCCTTCCGCACCATGTCACGAAGGGCCTGCACATCTCGAAGTCTCCATTCCGGCTTTTCCTGCAGCTCTTCCCGGGCTTTGGTGACCAGGTCTTCTGTCAGTGAGCACACATAGCCCGGAGGCTCAGGTGGTGGTGGCAGCTCATTTTCAGAGAGTGAGGCCACAGAAGGGCTGGTTCTCAGAGAGTCACTTTCTTCGGACATTAGCTACCAAGGTCCCTGCCAACAGAGAAGCCCTAAGCAAAGTTAACAAGTGCTTATTTCAAATCCTAGGGCAGTACAGTGTAGGGGACAGGAACACTTCTGTAAAAACCGAGTAACCTCAGGGCAGTGTTTCTCAACTGGGGGCAATGAACTGGATCTAAACCATACACGCAAGTCTGACCCCAGGCCGGCTGCTGTTAGTCCCCAGGGAGGCAGGCAGCAGCTACAGCAGACTATACACTCCCTAATAAACACCAGGGCCTTCCTTATAAATGTATTAATAGGTGCTCGACCTTATTCATCATTAAATAAATGTGAATTAAAACAACTGTAATGTATATGCTGTAATCCCAGCACTTTGGGAGGTTGGGGCAGGCGGATCACCTGACCAGCCTGGCTAACATGGTGAAACCCCATCTCTACTAAAAATACAAAAATTAGGTAGGTGTGGTGAGTGCCTGTAATCTCAGCTACTTGGGAGACTAAGGCAGGATAATTGCTTGAACCCGGGACGTGGAGGTTGCAGTGAGCCGAGATGGCGCTGCTGCACTCCAGCCACAGCAAGACTCTCAAAAAAAAAAAAAAAAAAAAAAAAAAAAACAACTCAGATTCAGATTGGCAAAAATAAACGTACTCTAATATGCTTGCTGCTGCTGGGAGTATAAATTGACAGCCTCTTTGGAGGGCATTTGTCAATATCTTCAGAATGTAAACCTACATGCCCTTTGGGTCAGCAATTCCATTTCTAGGACATATACTTGTATATATATGCATAATATGCACATGGCCTTCACAAGTATTGATTATAATGATAAAAGATTGGAAACATCTTAACTGCCTATCAGGGGAGACTGGTTAAGTAATATTACCATATTAATGGGGTACTAGTCAGTCATGAAAAAGAATTAGGGGGCCGGGCGCGGTGGCTCACGCCTGTAATCCCAGCATTTTGGGAGGCCGAGGCAGGCGACTCATGAGGTCAGGCGATCGAGACCATCCTCGCTAACGCGGTGAAACCCCATCTCTACTAAAAATACAAAAAATTAGCCGGGCGTGGTGGCAGGTGCCTGTAGTCCCAGCTACTAGGGAGGCTGAGGCAGGAGAATGGCGTGAACCCGGGAGGCAGAGCTTGCAGTGAGCCGAGATCATGACTGCACTCCCACCTGGGTGACAGAGCAAGACTCCCTCTCAAAACAAACAAACAAAAAAAGCGAAAAGTAGGCAGATCTTTATGAATTGACATATTAAAAAAGCAAGTTGCAGAATAGTGTACAGAAAATCACGTTTTTAAACTATACACATACACTTGTGAATGCACACAAAACTTCTGGAAAGAGATATAAGAAACTTACCAATGGTTATCTCTTGGAACAGAACTGGACAAGTGAAGATTTAAGATGAGAAAGAGGATTTTTACTATACTGTTTGAATTTTTTACTACACACCCATGTAACTTATCGTGGCAGTCGGGAATATGTGCCGGTCAGATCTGCTGGGAAAACGTAATTGATAAAGGGCCCCAGTGGCTGTCCCTCTAGATCCACTATCCAGGGGAAGCCAGAACTTTCCACAGCCCTTCTGTGGCCTCACTGCTCCTAGCCAATGATTTAGTGAGACATAGGACTCCTCTAACAGGCAGCGTTTGCTTGAGGGCCTGGCCAAACCTTTGTTGGGACTGCCCTGCAGTCAGAGACTTGCTGCCCAAACCTCCTTCACAGGAGCTGATCTGCATCACTGCCAGTGGCTCTTCCTGACTTCTCCAGCTCCCTTCCCAGGTGCTGTCCTTCGCAAGGGTTGCCTCTACATTTCTAGCACGTCTAACCTCATCCTAGTGTCTGCTTCTTAGAGGACCTGAACTCATGCACTTTTTTGTTTAAGAGAGAGACAGGGTCTTGCTCTGTCACCCAGGCTGAAGTGCAGTGGCGCAATCATAGCTCTCTGCAACCTCGAACTCCTAAGTTCAAGCAATCCTCCTGCCTCAGCCTCCCAGGTAGCTGGGACTATAGGCACACACCACGCCTGGCTAATTTTTAAATTTTTTCTTGGGCTGTGTGTGGTGGCTTATGCCTGTAATCCCAACACTTTGGTAGGCTGAAGTGGATGGATCACCTGAGGTCAGGAGTTCGAGACCAGCCTGGCCAACATGGTGAAACCCTGTCTCTACTAAAAATACAAAAATTAGCCAGGCATGGTGGTGCGGGCCTGTAGTGCCAGCTACTTGGGAGGTTGAAGCAGGATAATCGCTTGAAACCAGGAAGCGGAGGTTGCAGTGAGCCGAGATCATGTCACTGCACTCCAGCTTGGGCGACAGGGCGAGACGCTATCTCAGATAAATAAATAAATAAATAAATAAATAGATAGATAGATAAATAAATAAAAATATATTTTAAAAGGACCAATCTGCTGTCTTGAGAATGGACTCTAAGGGAGTGAGGACTGAAGCAGACCATTTAGAGGCTATTGCAATAATCCAGCTGAGAGATGCTGGTGGCCTGGAGTAGGTAGCCTTCACTGACCCCCAGCCAGGTTAGGTGCCTCCCCCGCACTTCTCCCACCCTGTTGCAATTGTCTGTTGGCAATTTGTGAGCAACATCCAAGTTTGTCTTGTTCATCACCTGAAACCCAGCGCCTAACATGGTGTTAGACACATAATCTGCACTCCATAAATATTTGTTGAATGACTTTAGTCTGGTTGGCACAGGTATGCTAAGTGAGGAATGGAACAACTATGGCTTTGTTTCTATGGAAGTAACCAAGAGATGCCTGCAATCCCATCAAACATCAGTGTTCACAAGGTACAAGCCTCACCTCAAAGCCCCTCTCCAGCCTCATTTTCCATCGCACCCCACCTTGATGCACATTAAATGCCAGTCAAAACAAACTAATAACCCATCATCCTTGGAATAACTCGTGCACTTCTGATACACTCTGCCTGGAATTTCCTCTTCTAATTTGTTCCTAACTTGACAGCTCAGGCTCAGCTGCCATGTCACCACCTCAGTGAATCCTTCCCAAACTCCCTGAGGGTGATTCCCTCCAGTTTTCCACAGAACTGGGTTCCTATTTCTTTTTTAGAAATTACAGTCCAATGCTATGGGCATTTATCTAGAGTCAGTTTCACCACGCACTCATTTATCAAATAATTACCGATCACCTACCATATATGTCAGGCACTGTGCTCACAGGCACTGGGAACACAGACGCAAACAATACAATTCCTTGCCTAATAAAGCTTACATTATAGTGGAATGAAGAGAATGCATACTTGAGCATTTTACCATGTATCAAGCATTGCTAAGCCCTTTACCCATTTCCTCATTTAATCTTCACGTTATTTGGTGAGAGCGCTATTACTGTTGCCATTTTACAAAGGAGGACAAAAAGGACTGTCCCCTAGAATCTAAGTTCCACGAGGGCAGAGGGCTTGTCTGCCATGTCCACTGCCACCCCCAGTGCCGGGCACATGGCAGTGGTCTGTACACATCAGCGGAGGATATAGGTTAAGCGATTCGCCCAAGGGGGCACACCCGGTGAGGCAGAGCAAGGATGCGTCTAGCCCCACCCTGGGCTTCTAATCTGTACCCTCCACCTGGAGCTTCATGTTGACTCTCCAGGGACTCAGCAGTGCCGAGCGCTCAGCAGGACTCAGTCACAGGCTGGTGAATGAGCTGACAGGCGGACATATGAGTGAGATGCAGACACCATTGGTAACGGTGAAGCCAAAGATCTCCCCCACCTGGAGCCCATCCTTTCTGGAGCATCACTTTCCTTTCCACCCCTTCCTCTCAACAAGGAGAGGTCAGGAAGCCATCTCTCCTAGAGCCCCCGAGACCCCATATCCCGTGGACAACCTTCCGAGGCCCCCACTTCCGGCTGTCACCCCCTCCCCAGGTGTCCCCATTTCCTGGGGTCTCTCGCTCCTCTGGTCCCCACTTCCGGTTATCCTTCCCTCTCAGGGGTCCCTCTCCTCAGCTCCCAGGGCACACGGATGGGCTCGCGGGCACTCACCGGCCCGACTACGGGCGGAGCGCGGGTCAATCGGCGGCGGGAGCCTCGTCCGGCAGCGCACGCAGAACCGACCCGCACTCCCTGCCCGGCCTGCCCGGCCTCTCGCGCCGGAAGTGACGATCCAGGGCGTGGGAGGCGGGGCTCCGCCTAGGAGCGCGCATGTGCGACGCCTCCCCGCGGCGTTGGTGTTCAGTCCCCACCTGGCTGCCGGAGCTCCGAGCTGCGGACCTGGAGTGGCTGGGAGGAGCTGGGGCACCAGCCGCTTGTCAAACCCGGCTTATAGATGGGGAAACTGAGGCTCAGAGAAGGAAGGAAAGAAGCTGCCATTTTCCAAGAACATGCTAACATGTACCTGTTGTTTAACATCCATGATCTCATTAACTCCTCATATTTATGCAATTCCCCTATTTCAGGAAAGGGAAACTGGCAATCAAGGCAGTAAAGGGCTTCAAACCCGGACCTCAGGATTAGCATTCTAGACTTCCCCCCACTATGGCTGCTATCAGGACTAGCTGCTCCAAAAAGGGAGACTCCAAACCAGGGGACATCTGTCTGTCATTAACTGAGTGACCTGGAGCAAGTCCCCATTCCTTCTTGTGCTTCCGTTTCCTTACCTGAAACCTGATTCTTGCTCTGGAGCCTGATTCAATAATTACTTTTTTCCTGCTTTGGGGTTCATTACGTTCCCTCCAGACAAAGGCTTTACTAACTCCCACCCCAGTCCATTAAGATCCGCCCGCAAGTATTTTGTGCAACTGCAACTTTGAGGCAAATCTCCTAGGTCCCTCTGAGGCAGAACCTCTGGTGGTCCAGGAGAACTCTGAGCCTAAAGAAACGACCTTAAACAGTCTTTTCATTTTCCTACCCCAGGGGCAAGAGGAGTCCCAAGAAGATGGGAAGTGACCCATGAGGGCCACAAGAACGTGGCAGTTTCTGCCAGATTGAGGGGCAGGGGGCAGCAGTATGGAGGCGACCTGGGAATCATGAGTTTTGACTCCTGCTCTCAGTTTCATCACTTCTAAGATTGACAGACAAAATATATAACATTCACTACAGTTTGAATTTCAGATAAACATTTAAGCATGTTCCTTTCCAAACACACACACACATACACACAGATAAGTGTGTCCTATGCAACATTTGGGACACATTTATACTTTAAAAATTGTTGTTTATAGGAAATTCAAATATGACTACTGGGCATCCTGGATTTTGTTTTGTTTGCTAAATCTATGTATTATTTTCCTGTTACTGTTACAAGGAATTACTGCAAACTTCATGGATTGAAACAACACAGATATATTCTCTTGCAGTTCTCTAGGTCAAAAGTCTAAAATCAAGGTGTTGGCAAGGCTGCATTCTTTTGGGGATTTGGAGGAAGCATCAGTTCCTTTCCTTTTACAGTTTGTAGAGGCCACCTGCATTCCTTAGCTTATGGCCCCTTCTTCAAATCACCTCAACCTCTGGCTTCTGTTGTCACCTCTACTACTGACTGATCCTCCTGCTTCCCTCTTCTTATAAGGACTCTTGGGATTACATTGGGCTCAGCCAGATAATCCAGGATAATCTTACCATCTCAAGATCCTTACATTAATCACATCTGTGAGATCTTTTAAAACGTAAGGTAAGGCCGGGTGCAGTGGCTCACGCCTGGAATCCCAGCACTTTGGGAGGCTGAAGCAGGTGGATCACTTGAGATCAGGAGTATGATGAGACCACCCCAGCCAACATGGTGAAACCCTGTCTCTACTAAAAATACAAAAATTAGTTGGGCGTGGTGGCACACGCCTGTAATCCGAGGCCCCCACTTCCGGCTGTCACACCCAACTATGCGGGAGCCTGAGGCAGGAGAATCACTTGAACCCAGGAGGCAGAGGTTGCAGTGAGCCGAGATCATGCCACTGCCCTCCAGCCTGGGCGACAGAGCGAGACTCTGTCTCAAAAAGAAAACCCCCCAAAACAGCCGGATGTGGTGGCTCATGCCTATAATCTCAGCACTTTGAGAAGCCAAGGCAGGTGGATCACCTGAGTTCAGGAGTTCGAGACCAGCCTGGCCAACCTGGTGAAACCCTGTCTCTACTAAAAATACAAAAATTAGCCAGGCCTGTAATCCCAGCCACCTGGGAGGCTGCCTGGGCTCAAGCCATTCTCCTGCGCCCTGCCAAATGGCAGCTCTTGTGGCAAAGGGTGAGGGATGACCCTGTCCTAACCAGGCTGTCCTAGGTATTGGAATAAATTCACCCCTCTCCTTAACCCAAACCTAGGACCTACTACTGGTACCTGGAGCCCAGATGGCAATCCTAGATGTTGCCAGCAGGAGAAGAACTTGGTCTCAAGGGCAGGGCAGGGAGAGGATTCAGAGATGCCCCAGAAATCCCTGCCTCTTCCCTCAACTGAGGGCCATTATTTCTTGTTCCTCTTGGTATTACATTTTAGAGAACCAGATTATATCAGGATTAGAACATCTCCGATAAACAATGACAACAAAAAGAGTTTCTGCTTTTTGAATTATATATACCAGGCACTGTGCTTGTATGATCTTAATTTCACCTTACAATGACCCTGTGAACAGCGAGCTAGGATTGTCCCATTTACAGAAGAGGAAACTAAAATCCAGAAAGAGGCCAGGCTTGGTGGCTCATGCCTGTAATCCCAGCAATTTGGGAGGCCAAAGTGGTGGATCACTTGAGGTCAGGAGTTTGAGACCAGCCTGGCCAACATGGTGAAATCCCGTGTCTACTAAAAATACAAACATTAACCAGGCATGGTGGCAGGCGCCTGTAATCCCAGCTACTCTGGAGGCTGAGGCAGGAGAATCACCTGAACCCGGGAGGTGGAGGTTGCAGTCAGTCAAGATTGTGCCATTGCACTCCAGGCCGGGCAACAGAGCGAGACTCCATCTCAAAAAATAATAATAAAATAAAATAATGTAAAATATTCAGAAAGAGAAAGTCTCCTAAGGGCTCAAGATATGAAAGAGAGAGCTAGGTATCAATTCAAGCCTGTATGACACCATGGTCCCAAATTTTACTTTGTCCTAAAGGTCATGTAGCCCTGTCTCTGTTTCTACAGGTTGGGAAAAAGGATCAGAGAAGGACAAAAAATTGCCCAAAGTCACATGATGACTAAGTGTTTGAGCTGGTATTTGATGTCTGTCTTCTCTGCCTTGGACACTCAGAATTTATGGAGTCTGAACAACCTCTTGAAAAGACTCATTTCCTTATGTATAAAATGGGGATATGGCCTTTGTTTAGAGGGGATCCTTGGGAGGATGTCATAGAACGGCATGTGCAGGTCGAGCACGGTGGCTCACATCTGTAACCCCAGCACTGTGGGAGGCTGAGGCGGGCGGATCACTTGAGGCTAGGAGTTTGAGACCAGCCTGGCCAACAGGGTGAAACCCTGTCTCTACTAAAAACACAAAAAAACAAGCTGGGTGTGGTGGCACACGCCTGTAATCCCAGCTACTCAGGAGGCTGAGGCAGGAGAATCGCTTGTACCGGGGGGCAGAGGTTGCAGTAAGCCGAGATCATGCCACTGCACTCCAGCCCGGGCAACAGAGTGAGACTCTGTCTCAAAAAAAAAAAAGAATGGCATGTGCAGAGTTCTGGCACATTGTATCATGAAATGTCTGTTTATCGGTGATGATCACCCCCTCTCAAGCAGAAAGATCACCAGGGGGCGGCTTGCCCTGTGTCTTGGTTTGGAAGGTTTCAAACATCTTGCTCTCCTCGTTTCATCCAGCCTCTGAAGAAAAAAATCTTGACATTGCATTGCATACCTGCTGGAGGAGGCTAGACATGCCTGAGCTGTCTCTGTTCAGGGCCTGTGATTCTGAGCTCAGAAAATCTCCTAGGACCAGCCTTAGTATTGATTCTAAGGTAAGGCTTATTTAGTTTTATTTATTTTCTTTTTATTTTTTTTTGAGATGGAGTCCCACTCTGTCACCCGGGCTGGAGTGCAGTGGCACAATCTCGACTCTGTGCAACCTGTACCCCCTGGGTTCCAGCGATTCTCCTGCCTCAGCTTCCCTAGTAGCTGGGGCTACAGGTGTGTACCACTACGCGCGGCTAATTTTTGTATTTTTAGTAGAGACGGGTTTCACCATGTTGGCCAGGCTAGTCTCAAACTCCTGACCTCAGATGATCTGCCTGCCTCAGCCTCCCAAAGTGCTGGGATTACAGGAGTGAGCCACCGTGCCCTGCCTGGCAAGGCTTATTTAGGATGGCACCACAGTATAGGGCATAATTTCTCAACATTAGCACTATTGACATTTGGAGCTGGAAAAGTCTTTGTTTCGGGGGCATGGGAGAGATGTTGTCCTGTAGGATGTTTAATGTCATTCCTAGGCTTTACCCACTAGATGACAGTAGCACTCCACATTCACAGTGATAAAAACCAAAGGTATCTCCAGACATTGCCAAATACCAGCTGGGAGACAAAGCTGCTCTGAATTAAGAACTAGTGTGGGAGAAAGAATGTTAGGTTCTGGTCAGACAGACCTGAGTCTAAAGCCTGTGTCACTTACCAGCTGTGTAACAATGGAACAGTTATCTGTCTCTCCAACCCTTGGTTTCATCAACCATAAAATCCTATACTAACTGCTACCAGTCACTGAATGCTTTCATTGGTACAGTGATAAGCTCTTTGCATGGATAGTTTCATTTGATTGTCAATAACAGAATCATGGGACCAGGCACGGTGGCTCACGCCTGTAATCCCAGCACTTTGGGAGGCTGAGGCAGGAGGATGACTTGAGGCCAGGATTTCAAGACCAGCCTGGCCAACATGGTGAAACACCATCTCTCCTAAAAATACAAAAATTAGCTGGGTGTGGTGGTGGGTGCCTGTAATCCCAGCTGCTCAGGAGGCAGAAGCAGGAGAATCGTTTGAACCCGGCAGGTGGAGGTTGCAGTGAGCCGAGATCGTGCCATTGCGCTCCAGCCTAAACAACAGAGCAAGACTCCACCTCAAAAAACAAACAAAAAAGCCCCCCACCAAACCCCCCAGAATCCTGTAAAGACACTGACCAGTGGAAATAGGGAGGAAGATGAGGAGGGAGTGGTCCATATCAGGCATCTTCTCTGTACCTTGCATGAAAGCAGGTGACCTCACATGCATCTCTGCGCTGTCACTGGCTGTGTGATCTTGGGCAAATCACATTTCCCCTGGGGCTCAGTTTCCTCATTGGTGAAAATAATACCAGCTGGGGAATTCTGGAAAGATGGAGGCAATAATGCCTAGCATAGATTTGAATATCCCCAAATCCCCAAATAAAAATAGAAAAAAATTCATAAACACATTTACAACAAAACTAAGTGACAAGGCATCTTCATGAACTCCAAAAAACGTGTGGGGACAAATCACCAACAGCTACAAGGCCTGCATGCCATTGGCATCTCTGTGCAGTAGAAACAGAAGGGAAGCAGCAAGGTGTCTGGCGGGCCTGAGACATGGAGAGTGCTAAAATTGCAACATGTATTCACGTGTTGTTGGGAAAACAGCAGCTGAAACTGGAAAGCGTTTGCCAACTCCAGTAGTGGGCGAGTGTAAGGTGTTTGCCACACAACCTAAGGTTTAAAGGAGTTTTTAACCCCTGTGAATTACTGAGTCATTTTAACCAGTAATTATAGCATCTTTCCATTTTATCAGCCCCTGTATCCTTGAAAATGAAAGATTCCAAGTGTGGAAGAAAGGAACTACAGGTGTAATACAGAATAGATTCCATAAACATCCTATAAAACTCTATTTACATTGGATATATCAATGTGAACTCGAAACTATTTTTAAAGGAAATGTATATGCGTGTATTCATATATATAATACCTAGTTCTAGCTATTAAAAAGACTTAAACCATAATCAATCTTGTAGCAATGAGCATATCTTGCACCCAGATAATAGTTTTGATTAATACAAATAAAAAGACTTCTTGAAGAAATTACTCATTCCAGATCTGTAGCAGGAAATATACAAAATAAGCCTGGAATATCTTGTCACGCCAATTAACAAGGAAGCTATCGAAGGCTACCAGGGTCACACCAAAAGGACTTACAAGCCAGCCTGTGGATGAAACAATTTTAGCTGCAACAAAGACAATACTTGCAGTTGATTGAAACTTATCAAATATGTTTAGCCGGGAGTGGCGGCTCACGCCTGTAATGCCAGCACTTTGGGAGGCTGAGGCGGGCGGATCACCTGAGGTCCGGAGTTCGAGACCAGCCTGACCAACATGGAGAAACTCCGTCTCTACTAAAATACAAAAATTAGCCAGGTATGATGGTGGGTGCCTGTAATCCCAGCTACTGGGGAGGCTGAGACAGGAGAATCTGTTGAACACGGTAGACGGTGGTTGCAGTGAGCCAAGAAAGATCATGCCACTGCCTGGGCGGTTGAGCGAGACTCCATCTCAACAAAAAATAAATAAATAAAAATAAAAAGTGGACTCAACTAAACAATAACATCTAGGAATGCACACTCAGATGATTAAGTCATGAAGAAATGCAAGGAAGTAATTAATAGTCGGATTAGTGATTATTTTGGGGGGATGGGCTGTGATTGGTATGGAGTACCTGGTGAGGTGGGGAGGGGAACCCTGAGGTGGCTGAAAAAATTCTGTATTTTGACCGGGGTGGTGGTTACAGGGTGTTTGCCTTGATATAACTCACTAAGCTACAATTTTTTTTTTTTGAGATAGTGTCTCACTTTGTTGCCTGGGGTGGAGTACAGTAGTGTGATCTCAGCTCACTGTGGCCTCAGACCTCCCTAGACTCAAGTAATCCTCCTGCTTCAGCCTCCTGAGTAACTGGGGCTACAGGTACGTGCCAACCATGCCTGGCTAATTTATGTATTTTTCGTAGAGATGGCATTTCAGGTTTTGCCATGTTCCCCAGGTTGGTCTCAAACTCCTGAGCTCAAGTGATCTACTCACCTCGGCTTCTCAAAGTGGTGGGATTACAGGTGTAAGCCACTGCACCTGGCTGCTACAAATTTAATTTGTGTGGTTTTCTGCAACTGTTTTGCTCTATAATATAAAGGTTTTAAAAAATGAGGACAGCAACACTTACTTCACACTATGTGTGTGTGCATATGTGTGTTTACATGTACATATACATGTATCTAAATGTATGGTTTCTGTTAGCACCAGGTATGTAGGTAGATGCTCACTAAATATGACTTCCATGTGAATTTTGTTCAAAACACTGACCCGTGTGATTTCAGCACCATTACCGACATTACTAACTTGTGTGGCTAATTAAAAATAGTTCATGCTTCCCAACTGGGGCAGAGACTGGAAAAATAAAACAAAATAAAAAATCGTTAATGGTTATTAGGTGATACTATGTGCCAGGCACTGTTTCCAGTGCAACTAATCTAATTGAATCCTTATAACTGTATTATGATTATTCCCATTTTACAGAGAAGAAAACTGAGGCTTAGAGACTTTCCCTGTGGCCACACAGGAGGTGGCAGGGCAGCCTGTTTTGTTTTGTATTATTTTGTTTTGAGGCAGCGTCTCACTCTGTGGCCCAGGCTGGAGTGCAGTGGCACAATCTTGGCTCACTGCAACCTCTGCCTCCTGGGTTCAGGCTATTCTCTTGCCTCAGTCTCCTGAGTAGCTGGGATTACAGGGACATGCCACCACGCCCAGCTAATTTTATTTGCATTTTTAGTAGAGATGGGGTTTCGCCATATTGGCCAGGTTGGTCTCGAATTCCTGGCCTCAAGTGAGCCACCCGCCTTGGCCTCCCAAAGTGCTAGGATTACAGGCATGAGCCACCGCACCTGGCCAGTAGCCTGGTTTGGAACCCAGGCAGTCTGGCTTTCAGCTCTGCCCTCTCATCCACTGTAGCATATGTACCATACTGTTTTTTACTTGGTGTCTAGTGCCCCTGTTTGCAATAATAACTCCCCCTTATGGAGTGCCTGCTAATATGTGTGCCATTCTTTGACATTCACTACCCGAATCTCACATCAACCCTGGAAGGTGAAGGTACTTGTTAGTCTGCATTTGGTGGCTAGGAAAACTAGAACTCAGAGAGCTGAAAAACTTGCTCAAAGTAACAGAGTAAGTAAATGGCAGTAAGTGATGGAGGAGGAGTTTGAATTGGGGACGGGGAGGGTTCATACTCTGACCCTTGGGATTCTAAAGAACAAAGTGTCCTATACTCTTAAACAGATGCTCATCTGATGGGTCTGACCCAGTTTGAGGTCATGCGTTGCCCAACCAGTGGTCCGGAGCCTGGCTTGGCTTGAGAAGTGTCCAGACGCAGGCTGGGGGAAGTCAGAGGCTTCGCAAACACCAGACATGTTTGACCCCAATCAGAGGGTCGTGCAAAGCTTGTGACCCCGGGCCTGGGGTTCCCTAAGGAGCGAGAGACTCCTGTTTCTCCATGTGCCAGCCTTGTGCTCACAAGCTGCAGAATCAGGTCCTAGAACGAAGCTGGCCACCTCTCGGGACAGGGTAAAGAGATGCCCATGGGTTGGCTGTGCAGATTTCCCAGAAGTGGGAAGAACCTGGCTGTGTTTTTGTGGTCACACATTGATTTCCTAACCTGAGTCAGCATGGCTGCTTGGAGGTACAGTATGTCCTCTCTGTTCCCAGGGGCCCTGGATCCCAGCCTGGCTGAAGCATTTCCAAAACAGGGCCTGGAATAGTGAGGGAAACGGAAGGGGTGGAGATCCCAAATCCCCTCCGTCAGTACCAGCCACCCACCGTTGTATTAAAAACGCCCAGCATGGACTGAGTTCTTACCAGGTGCCAGGTCCCGTGCTAAGCATGTCATATGTATTCACTTAACTAACCTTACAGAGATGCAATGGAGTAGAGGCTCTTCCATTTAACAAAGGAGTAAACAGACTCAGAGAAGCCACATCACTTGTAAATGGTCCCACGGAGATGGAATTTGCAGGTCTGTGATTGTGGAATTCTGGAGTGTTAGCTCCGCAAATTCACTACTTCACTCAGCCCTCACCACAAACCCCCACCCAGTAAGGTGCTGCCACCCGCAGTAAGGATATGAAAAAACTGAGGCTGGGGGTGGTGGACATGACTTGTAAGATGTTTCTAGAAAGCTCTGCTGTGACAACCAGTAACTGTTTTTTAAAAGCCCAGTCCAACTCTCTGGGCTCGGACCTAGTTCGCGGTGACATGGCCAAACCTACCAAGAAAGTCGGGATCGTCGGTAAATACGGGACCCGCTATGGGGCCTCCCTCTGGAAAATGGTGAAGAAAGTTGAAATCAGCCAGCAGGCCAAGTACACTTGCTCTTTCTGTGGCAAAACCAAGATGAAGAGATGAGCTGCGGGGATCTGGCACTGTGGTTCCCGCGTGAAGACAGTGGCTGGCGGTGCCTGGACATACAATACCACCTCCGCTATCACGGTAAAGTCCGCCATCAGAAGCCTGAAGGAGTTGAAAGACCAGTAGACGCTCCTCTACTCTTTGAGACATCACTGGCCTGTAATAAATGGGTTAATTTACGTAACAACAACAACAACAAAAAAGAGCCCAGTCCAAACCCACAGCTGCTAAAATTTGGCCATGGCTACCCAAAACCCCCACATTTACTATTACCCCTATACCCACCACATTCTCCTAGGATGGGAAGAGGAAGCAAAGAGTTCTTTGGTGACCATCTCCCTGGAAGGGTGGAATGGGGTCATGGGGGCTCTTCCATGAGAGGGGCCACTATATGTAGAGAATAATGTGTGGCCATTATGAGGGGGCCCAGTGGTCTCATGTGGGCATGGACATCTAGAGGCTGAGAGAAACGGGCTGCCTGGCTGAACTGGTGAAGGAGCCAGTGTGGGCGTGCTAAGGTAAGCCACATTCCCAGGACTTTCGGAGTACAGGCTGCTGGCTGGAGTGTTTCCCATGGGCCAGTGTTGGCAGAGAGCACCTACAAGGGGTCCTCTTGGGTCCTGTCCCCTAGAGCCTCCTGGAGGGGCAGAGGTGTGGCAGCAGCAAGAAGCTTGAGTTGGATGTTGGGTTCCTAAGGGCTGACGAAGGACTTGCAAGGGACCCCTATGAGGAGAGATGCATCCCCCAAGGTTAAGAGTGAGAGGGCCCCTGTGACAGTGGCCATCTCCATGGAGCCCACGACAGAAAGGGGCAGCTTGAAGCCAGCCAGGATGGTGGCAGCTCAAGGGAGACCCTTCCTCTCCCCTTGCCATCTCCAACACCCCCCACTGTACCCCACGGGTGGGTGAGGGAAGGAGAGATAGAGAAGGAGTCACCCACACCACCTCCCTGAAGCAGGCCTGAGGGTGAGGGGAGAAGGTTTAAACCCAAATCAAATTGGGAATTTTGGTTAGAAGCTTGACTGGACATTCTCATTTCTAAATTGAGGTTGTGTTTGTGACCTAAAGTGACCATAGAATTGCCTGTTTCCTCAGAACAAGCAGAAGAATAATGGGGAGATTTCACCCAGTGGCAGGGAAAATGTTTCTCTACCAAATACATCTTAGAAAGGACACTGGGAGATACAAATTAAGGTATGCTTTGATTATGTCACAGGCTGGGTTTGTTCAACATGCTGGTCTCAGTGAGAAGGAGGATTCTCCAAAACAAGTCTAGGAAGTGAATGTTCCAGAATGTTCTAGAACTTGATTCATTAGGCAGGCAAGAAGTGTGCCTCTGGGAACCTCTTGAGCCCTTCATGGGCTAGCACACCAACACCATCCCCCCAGATGCTTCAGTTGTTGGCTTCGAATGGCTTACTATTTCCATTTCTACGGAGAACTGCCATCTCAGGAATCACCTCACCCTGGAGTTTATTCCCCTCACCCACAGGGTGGCTGGCAGCCAACAGCTGACTCGTACAGAGGTACACAAAGCCAGCCTTTTTGCTAGACTTTACCTGAGACCACATCTTTTCTTGTTTCCCTCCCTGTCTTGCTTCCCTTCATCCCTTACAGGTTCTTTCCTTTATAAATCACACAGTACCTAATCTTTGCTTCAGGCTCTGTGTCTGAGGAGCTGAAAATGATTTTGGGCATCAGGAGGTGCTTTTGTGACTGGGCTCTTTCACTAGTTCTGAGCTAGGTAATCCATTAGCGAAACTTCTAGATCCTAAATCAAACTACATAGATTCAAATCACAGCACCATTACTTCACTGCTGTGTGACCTTGGCCAATGACTAGTTACTACATCCCAGTTTTCTCATCTGTCATACAGAAGGCAAACACTGACCCACCTCACAGGGCTTTGCAAGGATTCAACATACAAAAGCACCTAGGATAGTGCCTGGCACAATCGATGGTGCCATTGTTATTCCTCCAGGCTAACAGCACTGACTAAGTGCAAAGGAAGTGGCTTTTTGCCATCTAGTTGAGGATGCTGTATCCTGGGGTAAGTGGCCAGATCATAGGATGGCTGTGGTTCAATTGTAATAAAATAATCACCCTTGGCCAGGCTGGTGGCTCACACCTGTAATCCAGCACTTTGGGAGGCCGAAGCAGGTGGATCACCTGACGTCAGGAGTTCGAGACCAGCCTGGCTAACATGGTGAAACCTTGTCTCCACTAAAAATACAAAAATTAGCCAGGCATGGTGGTGCGTGCCTGTAATCCCAGCTACTTGGGAGGCTGAGGCAGGAGAATCACTTGAACCTGGGAGGCGGAGGTTGCAGTGAGCTGAGATTGCAACACTGCACGAGACTCCATCTCAAAAACAACAACAACAACAAAAACCCACCGTTTATGGAACCCCTACTATGTCCCAGTCCCTGTTCTATGTGCTGCATATGTGCTTATGTGCTAGTTCACTCTGTCTTCACTACCTTTCAAAACTGATGTAATTATCTCCTTTCTTTTTTGAGATGGAGTCTCGCTCTGTTGCCAGGCTGGAGTACAGTGGCACGATCTTGACTCACTGCAACCTCCGCCTCCCGGGTTCATGTGATTCTCCTGCCTCAGCCTCCCGAGTAGCTGGGACTACAGGTGCACACCACCATGCCCAGCTAATTTTTGTACTTTCAGTAGAGATGGGGTTTCACCATGTTGGCCAGGATGGTCTCGATCTCTTGACCTCATGATCTGCCTGCCTCAGCCTCCTAAAGTGCTGGGATTACAGGCGTGAGCCACTGCACCCGGCCAATTATCTCCATTTTACACATGAAAACACTGAGGTCCAGACAGTCTAAGAAACCATCTATTAGATCCACAGGTTAAAAAAAATGAGTGCATCTAAAATGACTATAATTAAAAAGGCCAGACTGGGAAGTAGTTTGCAGTTTCTTAAAAAGTTAAACACACACTTATGTGACCAGCAATTGTATTCCTGCATAATGAAAGCGTTTGTCCTCTCAAAGACATGAACATGAGTGTTCATAGCAGTTTTATTTGTAATAGGCAAAAACTGGGGGAAACAATGACATGCCCAGGGGCATGGGTGAAGAAACTATGGCTTCTGTATCTTTCTTTGTTGTTTGTTTGAGACAAAGTGGAGTGCAGTGGTGCGATCACGGCTCACTGCAGCTCGACCTTAGGGCTCAAGCGATTCTCCCACCTCAACCTCCTGAGTAGCTGAGACTACAGACAGGCACATGCCACCATGCCTGGCTAATTTTTTGGTGTTTAGTAGAGACACGGTTTCGCTATGTGGCCCAGGCTGGTCTCAAACTCCTGGGCTCAAGTGATCTGCTCGTCTCAGCCTCCCAAAGTGTTGGGATTACAGGTGTGAGCCACCGTGCTTCACCTGTGAGATCTATTAGGTTGGTGCAAAAGTGATTGCGGTTTTTGCCGTTAAAAGTAATGGCGAAATGGCCAGGCATGGTGGTTCATGCCTGAATGAGAGAAGTCAGACAGAAAGAGTACATATTTGCGGGGCGCAGCGGCTCACGCCTGTAATCCTAGCACTTGGAGAGGCTGAGGTGGGCGGATCACCTGAAGCCAGGAGTTCGAGACTACTAAAAATACAAAAAAAAAAAAAATTAGCCAGGTATGGTAGCGCACGCCTGTGATCCCAGCTACTAAGGCTGAGGCAGGAGAATTGCTTGAACCCCTGGGGGGCAGAGGTTTCAGTGACCCGAGATTTCACCACTGCACTCCAGCCTGGGCAACAGAGAGAGGCTCTGTCTCAAAAAAAAAAAAAAAAAAATTAAGACAGAGTACATATAGCATGATTTCATTTCTATAAAATCCCAGAAAATGTAAAGCCATCTATAGTGAAAGAAAGCAACCTATATTGGTGATGGTTACCTGGGAATGGGGTGGTGGGATGAATGGGGGATGGCTTATAAACGAGCATGAAGCTTTTGGAAGCGATGGAAACACTTGGCATCTTGATTGTGGTGATGGTTCCTTGGGTATGTACATATGTTGAAACTCATCAGATTATTCAATTTAAGTATGTTTAGTTTATTGAACATCATTATATCTCAACAATGCTGTTTATTTTTTATTTTTATTTTTGAGACTGAGTCTCACTTTGTCACCCAGGCACGTTCTTGGCTCACTGCAACCTCCACCTTCTGGGTTCAAATGATTCTCCTGCCTCAGCCTCCCGAGTAGCTGGGATTACAGGTGTGCATCACCACGCCCAGCTAATTTTTGTATTTTTAGTAGAGATGGGGTTTCACCATGTTGGCCACTCTGGTCTCGAACTCCTGACCTCAGGTGACTCGCCTGCCTTGGCCTCCCAAAGTGTTGGAATTATAGACGTGAACCACTGTGTCTGGCGATAATGCTGATTTTTTTTTAAACTAGAGTGGCACAATGAAGATTTGAACCCACGTATGTCTCACTGGACGTATGCCCAGGAACTGGTAAGCTATAAAAAGACCTCCTTTATTGTCTGGAGACATAGAATTAGTCCAAACGGTGTCACCTCCAGGAAGCCTTACTGTCACTTCCATGGAGGACAGTGGCCTGGGCCCACACCACCCTCCTGCCTGTCTTCAGCCTTTGCTAGTGGATCCTTTTCCCACTTCGAAGACTCCCCTTACATCCTCCTCCATGTTGTCCTCCAAATGTGCTGGCTGAGAGCCCAGCGCCTGAATCAGAGGGACCTGGGTTTGAATCCCACCTCTGCCATTGAACACCAGCTGTCTGACCTTGACTGCGTTCCTTTGCTTCTCTGGGCTTCAGATTCCCCATCTGAATAATAATAGAAGCTACCTTGGGATTGCCTCAAGGATCAAATGCGAGAGAGTTCACCTTAAACAATGAGTGGAGGGCCTGGTGTGTAATAAAGCACTCAATAAATGTTAACTATTATTGATCTTCACCTGGGCAGTGGCTGCTGACTGTTTAAGTTTCTCAGCCTTTGAATCAGTTACTTCCGACCCAGCTCTATTTATTGACATGGAAAGATGCCCAAAGCGTACTGCTGAAGGGAAAAAAGCAGGCTACAAAAGAATATATGCCTCACAGGCCATTTTAAAGATCAAAGCTAACAATGACATCTAGCTCCTAGTAGGGTACCTGGGACACAGGAAACTGTCACTGAAAGCTAGCTGTGACTATTAGTAATATGAAAGGATTTTTGTAGTCAGTATGATGCCACATTCAAATATTATGTGAGTTCCTGTGAAACGAGATGATATTTGCAATGTGCTTGCATCAAAGGGAGGTAGAGCTGCGTGTTCCCTTCTGCCTTCCTTCTGACACATTTCAGGGAGTGACCATGGGCAGGGCTTGAGTTGGCCTTGGGACCCATTGATTTGATGTGAATTTTGCTACTTTTTTTTTTTTTAAGAGACAGAGTCTCACAGTTTGGACTGCAGTGGCTATTCACAGGCGTGATCCCACCACTGATCAGGGCGTGAGATTTGACCTGCTCTGTTTCCAGCCTGGGCCAGTTCACCTCTCCTTAGGCAACCTGGTGTTTCTTTGCTCCCAGGAGGTCATGTTTTGGTCCTTTTTTATGTGGCACTGGAGTGAAAGAAAAGAAAAGCATTGCCCTTTGGCATTGAGACTACAAACTTGGGTTTAGGGTGCTCTTTGTAATAACTGAGGTACTATAACAAATTAAACACTCGAGGGCGCTCCAGTCTATCAGCAATAGAGAGAAATACAAAAAGCCATGATAATAACGATGCTGTATGAATGCTGCTGTTACATTTAACAATGCTGTTTACATTTAACATTGAGTTCTTACTATGAGAGCCTAAAATGTAGCAAGAGAGTCACAAACTTTATCACATTTTAACCTTGCAAACATCCCATCAGTTAGAGAATATTATCAAAGATTTTATAATAGGGCATATCGCTCTGTGGGATTTAAAAAATTTGTGTATTATATATATACGTATATACATATATATACACATATATACGTATATACATATATATATACGTATATACATATATATACACATATATATATATGTATATATATATAATTTTTTTTGAGACAGGGTCTCACTCTGTCGCCCAGGCTGGAGTGCAGTGGCACAATTGCGGCTCACAGTAGCCGAGATCTCCTGGGCTCAAGCAATCCTCCTGCCTCAGCCTTCCAAGAAGCTGGGACTACGGGTATGCACAACCATACCTGGCTGATTTTTTAATTTTTCTGTAGAGACAGGGTCTTGCCATGTTGCCCAAGCTGGCCTTTGACCTCCCAAAGTACTGGGATTACAGACATGAGCCACCGCAACTGGCCTAAAAATATTTTTTTATGGAGTTGTAATTCACAAGTGTTGTAAAAGGTAAAAACATTAAGTGTACAGCTTGGTGAATTGTTACATGTGTATACACACAGGTAACCTCCATCCAGATCAAGATGTAAAGCTTTTCTAATATCCTTTCTACTCACTCCTACTCCCACCCAACGAAACCATGCTCCTGATTCTATTACCATTTATTCGTTTTGCTTATTTCTGAACTTCACATAAATGGAATCATACATATGCAAACTTTAGGGTTGCCATAAAAATTCAGGATGTCATTTTATTTTTTTTTTTTTTGAGATGGAGTCTTGCCCTTTCACCCAGGCTGGAGTGCAATGACATGATCTCAGCTCACTGCAATCTCCGCCTCCCAAGTTCAAGTGATTCTCCTGTCTCAGCCTCCCAAGTAGCTGGGATTACAGGCACGTGCCACCATGCCTGGCTAATTTTTTTTTTTTTTTTTTTTGTATCTTTAGTAGAGACAGGGTTTCACCATGTTGGCCAGGCTGGTCTCAAACTCCTGACCTCATGATCCTCCCGTCTTGGCCTCCCAAAGTGCTGGGATTACAGGCATGAGCCACCGCACCTGGCATCAATGTGCTCTTCTTAATCACTGTATAGTATTCTTTTTCTTTTTCTTTTTTTTAGAGATGGGGGTCTTGGTATATTGCCCAAGCTGGTCTCAAACTCCTGAGCTCAAGTAATCCACCTGCTTCAGCCTTCCAAAGTGTTGGGATTATAGGCATGAGCCACGGTTCCCAGCCCATGAGCCACTCAATTGCTGTATAGTATTCTATTGTACAAATGTACCACCATGTACTTATTCCTTCTACTGTCGGTGGCCAAGGGTGGGTTATCTTAGAAAAGCAGTATAGAGTGGTGGTAAGTGAATGCACTGTGGTATCAGAGGCCTGGGGGACTTGTCTCTTAGCTCCACCTCTTACTTGTGACCTTAGCCAAGTTACTTAATCTCCTTATGCCTCAGCTAACTCCACATTAATATGGACTAATAATAGTACCTCAAATGCTGTTGTATGGTTTAAAGGAGATATTCCATATAAACCACTTCAAATTAGTCCCAGCACAGAGTTAACTCAGTACATGTTATCTGTGTCATACCCATGAAACCTAGGAGAAGACTGAAGTTCAGAGGCTTGAAGATACTTGCTCAAAGTCACACACCCAGTATGTAACAGATCCCTTTGTCATGGATATTGACTAAATTAGAGTCATTCATTCATTCAACATTTTTTTTTTTGCACATCTATTATGTGCCAAGCACTCTTTTAGGACCTGAAACAGCCAGAAAGTTTCTACCGATATGAAACGTACATTCTTTTTATTTTTTTGAGATAGGGTCTCACTCTGTTGCCCAGGCTGCAGCGCAGTGGCACAATCTTGGCTCACTGCAACCTCTACCTCCCAAGGCTCAAGCAATCCTCCCACCTCAGCCTCCCAATTAGTTGGGACTACAGCTGCACATTGCAACACCTTAGGGAGGTCTCACTAAGTTGCCCAGACTGGTCTCAAACTCCTGGGCTCAAGTGATCCTCCTGCCTTGGCCTCCCAAAGTGCTGGGATTACAGGTGTGAGCCACTGTCTCCAGCCTAAATCAAATTCTTACTTATAGAAAGAAGCTTATAGACATGGCAATGTGCCTGGAATATCTTGTTTAGTGTGTATATGTGTGTATATATATATGTATAAATGTGTGTATACATATATGTATATATGTGTGTATACACACACACACACACACACACATATATATATACGTATATATACATATATATGTGTATATACATATATAAAATCAGGTCCTAAGACCATAAGCAGGTGTGGTATGTCTGCATGGAGCCCCGTCTGGGGATACACTGAACAACCCTTTAAATAGCACTTATTCTGTGTTGAGTGCTGTGCTAAGCACTCCACAAATGGTTAGCTTGTTTCATGCTCCTAACATTTAATACCCTATGTGTGACAGGTGCTGCCATTATACAGATTTGCAGGTAAAGAAATAGGCAGCAGAGAGGCTACACTCTAGCATGGTTAGGTTGCAAGCCAGCACGTGGCCCTGGGCACTTTGGTCTGAGTCTGTGCTCTTGACCACTTAGCTCTGCTACCTCTGCTAAGAGCATTTTTCTCTGGGTAGTAAAATTTCCACATTTTGAACTTTCTTATTTGTACTTCTCTTTATTGGTTGAGCTTTTGTGATAAGTAGGTTCCGTTTTCATTAAAAAAATTACTGGAGTTCTAATATGGGTTTTTGATGTCTTTAAGAATTAACTATGAATGCCTGCAGGGAAGGCTAGAATCCTAAGAGGGAGTCATTTTTCCAAAGGGACAAACCACTCCGGTCTCTTTTTGTGGCAATGAGACTACTGTCCTTGGTGTTGAGGACCCAGGGGCCAGCCCTGACTTTCTCCCACCCACTGTGATCCTGGGCAAGTCCCTGGTGTCCCTGTCACTACCTTCCAACAGCGAGGCACCTGGCATGGAGTGGCCCTTAATAAATATCCATTGGATAGAGGAAGAATGAACCACTGTCTCCTCTGGGCCTTGCTCCACCTCCACCACCACCAATATCTGCTCCCTGCCTATCCTTGGGGCCTTGAGAATTAACGAATGAATGAAGTCACTGTAAAGTGCTCATTATTTACAGGTTTTTATATTTATTTATTTTGAGACAGAGTCTCACTCTGTGGCCCAGGCTGGAGTGCAATGGCACGATCTTGGTTCACTGCAACCTCCGCCTCCCGGGTTCAAGTGATTCTCCTGCCTCAGCCTCCTGAGTAGCTGGGATTACAGGCACCCGCCACCATGCCCAGCTAATTTTTGTATTTTTAGTAGAGATGGGGTTTCACCATGTCGGCCAGGCTGGTCTTGAACCCTTGACCTCAAGCGATCCACCCACCTTGGCCTCCCAAAGTGCTGGGATTGCAGGTGTGAGCCACCACACCTGGCCTTGTTTGTAGGTTTTTAGAAAGGCAAACAGCAAGCAACATCAGACCCAACCAGATGGATAACTAATGGTGACCCCCCGAGGCTAGGGGAGTGTCCTTCCAAGCGTCCCTGAAACCAATGTGCAGGCTGCATCAGAGACAGGCCCAGGCCTTGCTGCTGGGAGTTTCCTGCCTGTGACCACCCCCACCTCGTGACCCGGCTCCTATCACCCCAGCCTCAGAAAGGCTGGGCCGCAGGGCCATAAATGCCTGCTATCATCAGTCCGTATCTCTAGAGCTGGGCTGTTTGCCAGGAGCCCTGCAATTATTTTTATTACATACAAGTCCTATAATTAATTTTTATCACTGTTTTCTCACAGCCACCTTGCAAGGAGGGCTAGTTTTGCTCTCTTTTGGTTTGGAGTTGGGGGAACTGGAACCCAGGCCTTGAAGGGGTTTCATGGAATTTCCTGGCTTTGCCCAAAGCTCTAGAAAGGGTTAGGGTTTGAATTCATAGACCGTGCTGGGGTCCGAGCAGAGAGTTGGCAGCAAGGTGGGGTGGGTGGTGGAGAATAGCCATTCAGAGTAGACAAAAGCCCTGAGGCTTGGCTGCTTCTTAGCTGTGTGACCTTAGGCAAGTCACTCAAACTCTCTGTGCCTTAGGTCCTTTTGTTTTGTTTTGTCTTGTTTTGTTTTTGAGACGGAGTTTCACTCTTGTTGCCCAGGCAGGAATGCAATGGTGCGATCTCGGCTCACCGCAAACTCTGCCTCCCGGGTTCAAGCGATTCTCCTGCCTCAGCTTCCTGAGTAGCTGGGATTATAGGCATGCACCACTATGCCCAGCTAATTTTGTATTTTTAGTAGAAATGGGGTTTCTCCATGTTTGTCAGGCTGGTCTCTAACTCCTGACCTCAGGTGATCTGCCCGCCTAGGCCTCCCAAAGTGCTGGGATTATAGGTGTGAGCTACCGCGCCCGGCTCCCCCCACCGTTTTTTGTTTTTTTTTATAAGATACATGGTCTTGATCTGTTGCCCAGGCTGAAGTGCAGTGGCCTGATCATAGCTCACTGCAGCCTTGAGCTCCTGGGCTCAAGTGTTCCTCTTGCCTCAACCTCCTGAGCAGCTAGGACTACAGGCAGGCATCACCGAGCCCAGCTAATTCGAAAAATCTTTTTTGGTAGAGATGGAGGTTTTACTATGTTGCCCAGGCTGGTCTTGAACTCCTGGCCACAAGCAATCCTCCTATCTCGGCCTCCCAAAATTCTGAGATTAATAGGCATGAACCACTGTTCCTGGCTGTGCCTTAGGAAGGAATAACAATACTCACCTCATCAGTTAGTACAGATGAGTGCTCAGTAACTGAGGTTCTATTGACTCTTGAGTCGGAAACTGGATTCATCCAGGACCTGTCCCACTGGATGACTTGGTCATGCCCCTTGCCATCTCTGAGCCTCAGATGCCTCATCTGTAAAATGGACATCATCTTGCCTGCCGCACCCCCTGGTCTCTCATCTCTAGTCGCATCGGTCTTCACAGCTTCCAACTGCCCCCAGCTTTGCCTTGTTAACTCCCAATTATCCACTCAGTTGTTCTTCCTTCTCTCCCTCCCTTCTTCTCTTCACTCATTTAATAAATATTTTGTGACACCTGCTATGTGCCAGGTGATGGATAAGACAGGCAAAATCATTGTCTTCATGAAGGGGAGATAGACAATAAACTAAAAAAAGAAAAAAAGGGCCGGGCACAGTGTCTCACGTCCATAATCCCAGCATTTTGGGAGGCCGAGGCAGGCAGATCACCCGAGGTCAGGAGTTCAAGACCAGCCTGGCCAACATGGTGAAATCCCGTCTCTACTAAAAATACAAAAAAATAGACAGGCATGGTGGTGGGTGCTCATAATGCCAGCTACTTGGGAGGCTGAGGCAGGAGAATAGCTTGAACCCAGGAGGCAGAGGTTGCATTGAGCCGAGATCTTGCCATGCACTCCAGCCTGGGTGACAGAGCGAGATTCCATCTCAAAAAAAATAAAAAAGGAAAAAAGAAAGAAAACCCCAAATAAACAAGGGAATTGCAGACTGTAATCAGCATTTCCTAAGGGGAAGTTATAGTACCCTAAGAGGAAGTAACTGGGAAGGTTGCTTCCTAGAAAGGCCTCTCCAAGGAGACACTTTTGTTTTTTCATTTTGTTTTTTGTTTTTTTGAAACAGGGTCTGGCTCTGTTGTCCAGGCTGGAGTTCAGTGGTGAGCCCAGCCCTGACAATTGTATTCTTTTCACCCTATTCAGCAAAGGGTCGTCAGATGCTTCCCATACTTGGAATGGATTATTTCCTCATTTGTTTTCCCTTCTATCCAAACACAATCCTGCTTTGTCCAGAGAAATATTTCCAAATGGTAATGGTTTCTGTGTATGTGTTTCAAAAAATTTTACATAAATTTTGAAGTATAACGCACATACGGCTTGGCATGATGGCTAATGCCTGTAATCCTAACACTTTGGGATGCTGAGTCGGGAGGATCACTAGAGCCCAGGAGTTGGAGGCTAGCTTGGGCAACATAGCAAAACCCCCTGCCTCTACAAATAATAATAATAAATTAGCCAGGCATGGTGGCACGTGCCTGTATGTAGTCCCAGCTACTCGGGAGGCTGAGGTGGGAGGATTGCCTGAGCCTCAGAAGGTGGAGGCTGCAGCGAGCTGTACTCCACCTGGGTGCCACTGCACTCCAGCCTGGGTGACAAATATTTCAACTCAAAAGAAAACAAAAACCAAAAAACAGACATCAAAAAATGCACAAACTCAAGTGTGCAGCTCAATGAATCATCGCAAAGAGAACCCCCATGCCACTGGGACCCAGATGAAGAAATGGAACCCGGCCAGGCTCCCAGAAGTCTTCCCTTTGCCCCTCCCAATCACTCACTAGCACCCCTCTCCAGGGTAACCACAAGCCTGACTCCTGACACCAGAGATGAGTCTTGTCTGTTGTTAAACATTAAAGAAACGGAATAACACAGGATGTAGTCTTTTGTGTCTGGCTTATGTTTGTGAGATTCATCCATATTTTTCATAGCTAGAGTTTATTCTTGTTACTGTATAGTGTTCCATTGAATGAATATGCCACAGTTTCAAATAGTTTTTTGTTTTATTTTATTTTATTTTTTTTTTTGAGACGGAGTCTTGCTCTGTCGCCCAGGCTGGAGTGCAGTGGCGGGATCTCGGCTCACTGCAAGCTCCGCCTCCCTGGTTCACGCCATTCTCCTGCCTCAGCCTCCCAAGTAGCTGGGACTACAGGCGCCCGCCACTACGCCCGGCTAATTTTTTGTATTTTTAGTAGAGACGGGGTTTCACCGTTTTAGCCGGGATGGTCTCGATCTCCTGACCTCGTGATCCGCCCGCCTCGGCCTCCCAAAGTGCTGGGATTACAGGCGTGAGCCACCACACCTGGCCAGTGTTGTTGTGGTTGTTGTTTTTAACAGCTTTCCTGATAATCTGAGCACACATTCAATTTGGGCAGGGCAGCGGTGGAAGGAGAGCAGGAACTGGGTTTGACCCACAGGCACGTTTTGTTTCACACACCTTGTGTTTTTGTATTGTTTTCATTGAATTAGTTGCTGATAAAGATGGATGTTTGTCTCCTCCTGAAGGATCTGCCATTGCTGGTCCCCAATTCCAAGTGCCTGGAGTTGAGTCCTGGCTGCATCTTCTCAGCTCATGCATTCTATTCCCGTTTGCCACAGTCCCCACCACTCTCTGTTGCCCTAAAACCACTCACTGACATCACCCACCTGGCCCTGTAAACATTTGAGTCTTCCATTCTAGCTTTAATTCAGCAGAGGTGGCCAAAAATGCTTTATTCTAAGGTCTGCACAACAATGGGCTAATCAAGCAGCTCAAGTTAGTTTATACGTGGCCTCCATAGTGTTAAATTTTGGGATGCATATTTCAGTGTTCAAAAATGTATTGTCATTATTACTATTTCAAAAATGTTTTAAAATATATTTCCATTATTATTATTATCATCATTATTGATATTATTACTGTCTCCAAAGACGTTTTAAAAATATATTTGCCTGGCGTGGTGGCTCACGCCTGTAATCCCAGCACTTTGGGAGGCCGAGGTGGGCAGATCTCTTGAAGTCAGGAGTTTGAAACCAGCCTGGCCAAAATGGTGAAACTCCATCTCTACTAAAAATACAAAAATTAGCTGCGCATAGCGGTGCATGCTTGTAATCTCAGCTACTTGGGAGGAGGCTGAGGCTAAAGAATCACTTGAGGCCGGGAGGTAGAGGTTGCAGTGAGCTAAGATCATGTCACGGCACTCCAGCCTGGGTGACAGAGCCGAGACTTCCTCTCAAAAAATAAAAAATAAAAATATATTCAAATATATAGCACAGGTCAAATTAAATATGGCAACTCTGGACCCAGATGGCCTGGAATCAAATCCTGGCTTTACTACTCAGGAGTTGTGTGAACTCAGGCAATTACAGAACCTTTCTGTGCGATTGTATAAAGAGAGATGTTAATATTTACCTTGCTGGGTTCTTATAAAGATTAAATGAGCTAATACTTGTGAAGTCAGTGCCTGGCACAAAATAAGTATTCAACATATATTGTTTGTTTATTTATTTATTTATTTTGAGATGGAGTCTCGCTCTGTTGCCCAGGCTGGAGTGCAGTGGCACGATCTTGGCTCACTGCAACCTCTGCCCGCTGGGTTGAAGCGATTCTCCTGCCTCAGCCTCCCAAGTAGGTAGAATTACAGGCATCTGCCACCACTCCCAGCTAATTTTTGTGTTTTTAGTAGAGACGGGGTTTCGCCATGTTGGCCAGGCTGGTCTCATACTCCTGACCTCAAGTGATTTGCCCGAGCCAGCCTCCCTAAGTGCTGGGATTACAGGCGTGAGCCACTGTGTCGGGCAGCTAGCTATTTATTATCTTTAAAATTAGTATGGGCAAGCTGATCATTTGACCTGCTGGGGTCACCAGCCATCCTAATCCGCTGAGACTGAGGGAGAGTTTCAGGACACAGGACTTTCAGAGCTAAAACTAGACAAGTCCTGGGCAAAAGAGGATGAGTTGGTCACCCTAGCCCTGCCTGATGGTAATATTTCCCTCCAGTTTAACAGACTGACCTTTTACTTGTATTAAATTACAGGTTTGATGTTGAAAATGATATTTGCACTACGTATTGTAGAACCCCTCTCAAGCATCCCTATGATATAATTTCTGCAAAACACTAATCTTGCTTATATTTTCCTCACGTTACAGATTGGGAAAGTGAGGCCCAGGGGTGCAAACCAGTCCAATATTAGCGGCAGAGCTCTTCCCTAGACCCGTCTTGAAGCTGCTGCCCCATCATTTCCTCCAGGTAGCTGGTGGATACTGTTTATCTGGTGCTCACTATGCCCTAGGTAACACTGTAAGTGATTTTCATTAAATTTAATCTCATTCAATCTTAGGAGGTGGGTTCTACCATTATAACCATTTTAGAGACGGGATGCTCATAGTTGTCTTCTGTCCCACTCACCCACCCATACCCCTGGGACTAGAATTCATTCATTTGGTACATCTTTGCCTGATTGTGGTTTCCTTGGAACTTTTGTTACAGGGAAACTCACCAGGGTTTCCTGGGTCTTGTTTAGCCATTGAGCCTAACCTTCTGTCTGTTTTAAGACTTTTTTTTGGGGGGGGTGGGGGGGACAGAGTCTTGCTCTGTCACCCAGGTTGGAGTGCAGTGGCGCAATCTCAGCCCACTGCAACCTCCACCTCCCAGATTCAAGCAGTTCTCCCTGCCTCAGCCTCCCGAGTAGTGGCTTGGGATTACAGGCGCTCACCACCATGCCCAGATAATTTTTTTTTTTTTTGGTATTTTTAGTAGAGACAGGGTTTCACCATGTTGGCCAGTCTGGTTTCAAACTCCTGACCTCAGGTGATCCACCCACCTTGGCCTCCCAAAATGCTGGGATTACAGGCGTGAGCCACTGAGCCTGGCCTTGTTTTAAGATATTTTTAAAGGACCTTTTGTTTCAATTGGCAAATGTCTGCTGCTCTCCTACTACTGGGGCTACGTGGTGACTGACAAAGAGACTTTGCCCTCAAGGACTCGAGGCTGCTGGGGAACCCCGCTCACCAGGGTCTCTCTCCACTGCACTATGGCCAGCTTGAGGGCAAGGATGGGGTCTTTTCATCTCTGTGTCACTAAGAGGAGATCAACAGCAGGTGTGGAAACTGGCAGATCACACCACAAAGCAGAGAGGCCAGCAGGAGTCCAGAATCCCAGCCATGAACTGTCGGGCTTCAGGCAGGGAGCAGTGGGAGACCCAAAGTCTCCGTGCTATTGATATTTGGGGCTGGCTAATTCTGTTGTGGGGGATGTCCTGTGCGGAGTAGGATGGTTAGCACTATCTGTTGCCTCTGCCAGTAGCATCTTCTCTACCAGTCATGACAACCTAAAGTGTCTCCAGACATCACCGAATGTCCCCTGGGGGCAAAGTCACCCCAGATTGTGAACCACTGGCTTAACTGAAGCAAACTTAATGAAGGAAGTGTTTGCAGAGGTGAGGCATGCAGGGACTGGCAACAGTGGGGAGCTGTTAGCACCCCAAGGCCAAAGAGGTGAGAGAGAGAATGGTGTTACTTGACCCAGAGATAGCTGGAGCCATATAAGTGAGGCTAAGACAGGAGTTAAGACCATGGAGAAATTCAGCCACTGCCAAAATTAAGGCAAAACAGGGAGGGAGCTGGGGGTGGCATAAACATGCCCAGTTCTCCCTCATCCTGCCCTTTTATCTCTGCCGATTCCTCCCCTTGGCTGAATGTATTGTGATGTCAGAAGGCACAGGTGCCTCCAGGCCACAGAGCAGGACAGACAGGGTTGGAGATTGGACCACTCGTGTGTGGATGAGGTGGGTAAGCAGAGAAGAACCATCACAGGGAGGCAGGAACAGGCCCCAGAAGACAGGACATTTGTGTACTTCTTGGAGGACGTGTACTTCCCCAGTTGGAGAAAGCTGGGAAACAGTATCTCACCAGCAGGAAGAGCAGGCATGAAGCCATGGAGCTCTGAGACAGCCTGGCTCCCTGCATTGTTTATTTAATTGTGATTGTTTGTTTGATTGATTCTGCTCTGTGTGCATGTGGTGAAAGTAAAACATTTCAAAAGGTACAAAAGGGCATAAAATGAGAAGTAGGTCTTCCTCCCACCCCGACCCCAGCTACCCAGCCCCCCAACACCCACCCCGAAAGCCATCTCACTCTCCGGTCTCTCATCGCCTTCCGGAAATAGTTGGTGCACATGCTAGCTTGTGTCACTTAAACTCCTAATTTGATTTAATTTCACGGGTGTTTACAGAGCCCCTACTGTGTGCAAAGAAATGAACTGAGCTCTCTGGCCTCACACCCTAAGCCCAACCCTGATCCACTAAGCACTGGCAGCTTCAGGCCCACCACTGCTGGCCTCCCATCTCTTTCTCCAAGCAACGGGTAAGCCTGTCACAGTTATGTTGTTCAATTTATTTTATTTTATTTTATTTTATTTTTTGAGGTGGAGTCTTGTTCTGTCACCCAGGCTGGAGTGCAGTGTAGCTATCTCAGCTCACTGCAACCTCTGTCTCCCGGGTTCAAGCGATTCTCCCACTGCAGCCTCCCGAATAGCTGGGATTACAGGCACCCGCCACTACGCCCTGCTAATTTTTGTGTTTTTAGTAGAGATGGGGTTTGACCATGTTGGCCAGGCTGGTCTTAAACTCCTGGCCTCAAGTGATCCACCTGTCTCGGCCTCCCAAAGTGCTGGGATTACAGGTGTGAGCCACCATGCCCGGCTTCAATGGATGTTTTGTGGATTGGACTGAATTAAAACTGAACCATTGGTGAGAAGCAAATTAGAATGCAGGAGACACATAAACCTTGGGTGTGGTTCAGGAGACCATGTGTTTTGGGGAGAGGAGTGAGGGTTCTGTCTCCAAAGACTTGCTCTTGCTGGAGCCAATGGACAGTTAGTTGTCTAAGAAGGGAATGCCTATAGTGTGACCTAGAGGGGGCGCTAGAGTGTGAGCAGGTTGGGACTTGATCTGGCTTAGATCAGTCCAGGGAAGACCAGATCTTGCCTGGCTACCCCCAGCTGGTGTCTGTAGCCCTTGGGGGAGTTTAAGACCAGGAAAGGGGAGTTTCTGGCCAGCTGCAGAAATGGGGAATTCCACAAACAACATGTAAACTTGTCGGTACCCGGAAGCAAACAACCAAATCTGGGTATCAGATGCCCAGGCAGAAGCCGGGAGGCCAGAGCAGCCCAGGTCTCCAGGAGCAGACAAGGACCAGGCTCTTCCTTGCCTGCCCTGCTCTTCCCTGCTGATGTCTTGTTCTCTCAACACCCGGCTCTTTCCTGACAGTGCCTGTGTGTTGAGCACTTCCAGACAAACACGCCTGCCATGATGGACCACATTTCTGTGCAGATGCTGAGTACACACCGTCTCCCACTCCCACGGCTGCTTTGCAAGGACAGTGTTAATGATCCTCACTTTGTAAACAAGGAAAACTGAAGCTCAGAAAGGAGGGATGGAGGGCGGTAAGGTTGGGCATCCTACACATATGGTGATATCATTGAACATTTTGTGTTGAAGAATGATGGAGTGTTGAACACAGAATCAGAGAATTTTACTTTATTTTATTTTTTGAGAAGGAGTCTCAATCTGTCAACCAGGCTGGAGTGCAGTGGCGCGATCTCGGCTCAGGGCAACTTCCACCTCCTGGGTTCAAGGGATCCTCCTGCCTCAGCCTCCCGAGTCGCAGGGATCACAGGCATGTACTACCAGGCCCGGCTAATTGTTTTGTGTTTTTGGTGGAGACGGGGTTTCACAATGTTGGCCAGGCTGGTCTCAAACTCCTGACCTCAAGTGATCTGCCCACCTTGGCCTCGCAAAGTACTGGGATTACAGGCATGAGCCACTGTGCCTGGCCAAGAATTTTAGAATCATAAAATCTAGGAGTCCTGGGCTCCTAGGTTACCAGTATAACCCACACTGCCACCAACTCCCTGTCCATTCCCCACACTGTAAATGAAATGTCTCTCTGGGGCCCACCTCCCATTCACTCAGGCCTCTTCTCTCACCTGGGATCTTGTTCCAGACTTGTCTCTTGTCTCTCCTCCTTCCAAACCCGTACACAGGAGCCAGAGGCATCTTTCCAAACTACCAAGCAGATTGTGCCACTCTGCTGCCCCTTAAAACCCTTCCCTGGCTCCCCTTTGCCCTCAGGATAAAGTTCAAACTCCTTGACATGGTTTACTAGGTTCTCAGTCATCTGGCCACAGTCTGGCCACTCTGCCTTCTACCGCCCCCCACCCCCAACTCTATACCAACCCATACAGAACTTGTTTTGCTTCACCAGATGTGCTGGATGCTGGCTCTCTCCCCTGACCCCTGGACCTTTGCACTGGCTGTTCCCGCTACCTGGAACACAGTCTACAACACCACCTCCTTCTCTGGTTGAAGTCCTCTCTCTTCCTGTTTGCTCTGAGGACAGTTTCTGCTCACATCCCTCCTGAATATCTGGGTTGGTGTTCCTTCATTTACCACAGTCCCCACCCCAGCTGCTGTGCTTACCATGTGACAGAGATCACTACATCATGTGTGCCCGTGTGTTTGCCTGTGTCCCCATCCACTCATGAGCCACAGGAGGGCAGATATCGGGATCATCTTTTCTCTACTGAATCCCTAGCACCCAGCACTGTGCCTGGCAGAGAAGAGTTGTTCAGCCAAGATATATGTTGATAAATGAATCATAAGATGTTAGAATCACAAGCTTTTAGAGCCATGGACTTGGTGAAACAGAAGCCTAAAGTCTCAGAATTATATAATCCTAGACTTAGCATTAATTATACACAGAAACTGAGAATCTCCGAATCTTAGGATCTCAAGGTTGAAAGAATTCTTATATAGGCATCTTGTCCAAGGACTATCAGTGGATTAGGAAAATTTTAATTGTGCCCTTCTATATTATTTAATGTATATTTTTACATTTATTTATATAAAAACTATAATACATTTGTCTTTCAAACATTTATTTTATTTTAATAAAAGTTTAGTTGGCGCCTATTGAGTGAGAATGCACTCACCGCAGCGGCCCCAAACATTTATTTTTATAATGTGTCCTTCTATATTTATTAAGCACTTATTTATTAACCAATATTAATTAGCCTATTTATTCTGTGACCAGACACTGTGCTAGGCAACTATGTGAGTCATCTATGTCTGCATAACTAATTACTAATTACCTTAATTTTAAAACAACAAACATGTATTATATCATAGTTTCTGTGTGGTAGGACTTCAGAAATGGCTTGGCTGGATGGTTCTGGCTTAGATCTCTCATGAGGTTGTAGTCAAAATACCAGCTGGGACAGTGATCCCCTGAAAGCTTGACTGGGGCTTGAGAATCCACTTTCAATTTGGCTCACTTGCATGGCTGGCAGTTGGCAGGAGGCCTCAATTCCTCCCATGTGGACCTTGCCATAGGATTGCTTGAGTGTCCTTACAGCATGGCTGCTGGCATCCCCAGAGCAAGGGATTCAAGGTGGCAAGATGAAATCCACAATGCCTCTTATCATCTAGCCTCAAAAGTCACACTCCATCTTTTTCACAATATCCTAGTGATTACACAGACAACGCTACTCAGTTTGGGAGGGGAGTAAATAATGGTGGGAATACCAGGAAATGGGGATCACTGGGGGACATCTTGG
Source organism: Homo sapiens (assembly GCF_000001405.40). Classification (NCBI taxonomy): domain Eukaryota; kingdom Metazoa; phylum Chordata; class Mammalia; order Primates; family Hominidae; genus Homo; species Homo sapiens. Next base: position 44,446,706 of record NC_000020.11, on the reverse strand, counting down.
AGGCTGGCTACCACAGCAGCATTGAATGAGACTAGAGTCTCTGCTCTTATGGAGTTAACAGTCTAGAGAGGGAAGGATAGAGGAAGACAATCAAACAAGACAATTAGTTAGAGCTGGAGTAAGCAAACTACATTCATAGGCCAAATCCAGCCTACTGCCTACTTTTGTAAATAAAGTTCATTGAACTCAGCCACACCCATTCACTTACATATTGCTTATGGCTGTTTTACGCTGTAAGAGCAGACTTAAGTAGTTGCAGCAGGGACTGTATATCCTGCAAAGCCTCGTGTATTTAGCCAAGTGATCAGGGAAGGCCTCTCCAAGAGGCAACGTTTGAGTAGGGACCTGAATGTTTAGAAGGAAGTGGCCATGAGAAGAGCTGAGGACAGAATGTTCCAGATAAAGGGAACATTAGGGTAAAGGCTGTGAAATGGGAACAGCTTTAGTGTGTTGAGGAACAGGGAGGAGCCCAAGGGGGCTGGAATGGAGTGACCATGGGGAGATGATCTCATAGGCGTGATCAGGAACCAGGTTCTGTAGGACCTTGGGGCCCTGGTGAAGAATTTAAAATTGTTCCAAGAATGATGGGAAGCCATTGGAGGGTTTTAAGCAGAGAGAGGTAGGATCTGATGGGGATGGTAGAGATGCCTGGTGTAGTTTGGCCCCATTCTTTGAGCAAGATGGTGCCTCTACTGGCCCCCTAGAGTGCAGCTGTCCCGGAACCTGTTAGTGTTGACAAGAGTCAGGTGAAGACCTTTGGCATCATCCCACAATTACATGTTCAGGTCTTACCAATCCTTCTGATCTGGAAGTCCTTTCTTTTGACTCACTCTGAGTCCCTTGCTGTCCCTTGCCAGCCTGCCTCTTCTGGATCTAAGAAATCTGTGAAGTTGGAAAGAACACTGCATTTTGAGCCCTGGGTTCCAGACCGTGCCCTTCCCTGACTTGCCTGCAACAGTCCAGCAGCCTCTCTGTGTCTCAGTTTCCTTGTCTGTAAAATGAAGGGAGAGTCCAGTCTGCCTGGCCCAAGACCAGGTGATTAAATGTCCTAGGAAGAGCATGAAGGGCGTGTGGCAGCATGGGTTGGGATGGACTTGGCCAGACTGGGGTTGCTGAGGTGAGCAGTGGGAAGTAGGGGTGGTTGGTACATTGGGAAGAAGGCTTCCGGCTAACCCTCCTCAGCTAGAGTTTTTTGGTTTTTTTTTCTTGAGATGGAGTCTTGCTCTGTCTCCCAGGCTGTAGTGCAGTGGCGTGATCTTGGCTCACTGCAACCTCTGCCTTAGCCTCCGGTTCAAGTGATCCTCCTGCCTTAGCCTCCGGAGTAGCTGGGATTACAGGTGCCCACCACCCCATGCCTGGGTAATTTTTACATTTTTAGTAGAGACAGGGTATCATCATGTTGGCCAGGCTGGTCTTGAACTCCTGACCTCAGGTGATTTGCTCACCTCGGCCTCCCAGAATGCTGGGATTACAGGTGTGAGCCACCATGCTGGCCTGAGTTTTGAACAATAGGAGAACTTACTGCCTCCCAGAGGCCCTTGGGATGGCAGAGTTGGAGTTGTCTGGCTGGGACCAAGACCTTTGAGGGAGGAAGAGCCAGGGGGCTAATCCACATCCAAGTCATCCTCAGGTGTCAGGAAGAGCACAGTATCTGTTGTCAGAGAGAGCCCTGGCACCATCACTGATTTGCCCTGTGGCCTCTGTGTCCTCAGTTTTCTCATCTGTGAAATGAGATAACCTGACTGGAGATGCTTCTGCTGTAAGCAGCACTAGCATTTTATGTACCACTTAGAAAAGACACTGCCAATTAATTGTGACAATGCCTCCTTATCACTTAGAATTTTTATTTTCTATTTATTAAAAGGCTCTTTGAGACTTAGACATAGTTTTTAAAATTATATATTGGCAGGGCACTGCAGCTTACACCTGTAAAACTCCCAGCACTTTTGGAGACCGAGGCGGGAGGAGGTCAGGAGTTTGAGACCAGCCTGGCCAACATGGTGAAAACCCATCTCTACTGAAAATACAAAACTTAGCCGGGTGTGGTGGCGGGCACCTTTTATCCCAGCTACTCGGGAGGCTGAGGCAGGAGAATCGCTGGAACCTGGGAGGTGGAGGCTGCAGTGAGCCAAGATCTTGCCACTGCACTCCAGCCTGGGCGACAGAGTGGAACTCCATCTAAAAAAAAAAAATTGCCAGGCATGGTGGCTCATACCTGTAATTCCAGCACTTTGGGAGGCCGAGGTGGGCAGATCACTTCAGGTCAAGAGTTCGAGACCAGCCTGGTCAACATGGTGAAACCCCATCTTCATTAAAAATACAAAAATTAGCCAGGTGTGGTGGTGCGCGCTTGTAGTTCCAGCTACTCGGGAGGCTGAGGCAGAAGAATTGCTTGAACCGGGAAGGTGGAGGTTGCAGTGAGCTGAGATCACACTATTACACTCCAGCCTGGGCGACAGGGCAAGATTCTGTCTCAAGAAAATAAAAAATCATATATCACCCTTGTGCACACATAAAAAGGAAAATCTGGGTAAGATAGATTAGGTAAGGAGTTTCAAAATCTCACAGTCAGCATCCAGCCCACTGAGGTCACTTTTCTGCCCAGAATCTTCATTGTCCATATTTTTCCATGCAATATCAACTTCCATCCCATTAATGCTTTGTTCCTACAGCATTTCTTCTTTTTTTTTTTTCTTTTTTTTTTTTTGAGACGGAGTCTCACTCTGTTTCCCAGGCTGGAGTGCAGTGGTGGGATCTCGGCTCACTGCAAGCTCTGCCTCCGGGGTTCACACCATTCTCCTGCCTCAGCCTCCCGAGTAGCTGGGACTACAGGCGCCTGCCACCATGCTCGGATAATTTTTTGTATTTTTAGTAGAGATGAGGTTTCACCGTGTTAGCCAGGATGGTCTCAATCTCCTGACCTCGTGATCCACCCGCCTTGGCCTCCCAAAGTACTGGGATTACAGGCGTGAGCCACCATACCCGGCCCATGCAGCATTTCTTGAAAAAACACTCCACTATTGTCTCCTGGATTTCCTCCCAACCCACTTCCTCCTATTCTGCAGGTTTTGCCCCAGGTGCTTTCTTGATCTTATCAGAAGGTGTTAATGGAAGGTTTTGGGAAACAAGCAGGACTCTGGTCCCTTCCTCAAATGGTCCTTAAGTCATTTTTGATGAAATACAAAGGGGGTGCAGTTGTCCAGTTAGGCCACTGGAAATAATGACCAGAACCAACTAGGTCAGGGCTACCACCTGATCAAACCCTTAGCAATTGTGGGACGCCATTGATTTAAAGACGCATCCTGATTTCAGAGATACCATAATGTGAAAAAGGGCATGTCATAGAATGTTTAAAAACATTGCAATAAGGCTAGACGCAGTGGCTCACACCTGCAGTCCCAGCACTTTGCAAGCTGAAGTGGGGGGACAAGTTGAACCCAGGAGTTTGAGATCAGCCTGGGCAACATAGTGAGACCCTAAGTCTCCAAAAAATTTAAAAATTTGCCAAGCATGGTGGCATGTGTCTGTTGTCTCAGCTACTTAGGAGGGTGAGGCAGGAGGATCACTTGAGCCCAGGGGATCGAGGTTGCCATGGGCCATGATTGAGCCACTGCACCCCAACCTGGGTGACAAAGCAAGATCTGTCTCAAAAAGAAAAAAACTCACAGGGTTTTATGTGAGGATGAAATGAGGTAAATGAATGATGGTCCCTGACCACAGGCCCCAGAATGCTCGGCTCAGCACGGCCGCTCCCTTGGCATTGCTCAACTCTCCCCTGACTCCTCTCAGCCCAGGCTATTGCCCTCCCTTGCAGGGCCAGCTCAAGTTTATAACGACAATCGCTGCCCCTTGCAGACGTGATCTCAAAGCCATAAAGGCTTTTACAGTTTCACTCTCCCCCCTAGATAAGCCTGGGGAGCCCTTCCCAAGGCCGGGGAGCAATCTCAGAGCCACAGGGGGAGGGGCTGGGCGTTGCACAAGTTGGGAAATGGAACAAGTTTTATGGCCCCAACTTCGCTAAAAATATCACGTTCTCAGATCCTTGGCTGGAATCTGCTAGTGAAACCTCAGCACCTGCAGTGATATTCACTCATTCATTCTTCCACTCATTTGATACAAAGGGAAGAGTGTGCAGGACACACCAGCATGGATATTCTCACTTCACCACTATTATGCTGTGTGTGGACCCAGGGCAAACCACTTTCCTCTCATCCGTATAGCAGGGCTAGTCCATTTCACCTCCCCAACAATCTCAGTAAGGTGAGTGGGTAAGACCAGTATGTCAGCACACTTAGCACCTAGTAGGTCTGCAACAAATTTGCTTGAATCCCTTTCGTTCACCAACTATATTCATCTTTTTTGTTTTTATTTTTTACAACAGGGTCTCACTCTGTTTCCCAGGCTGGAGTGCAGTGACACAATTACGGTCACGGTCACTGCAGCCTCGAACTCCTGGATTCAAGCAATCTTCCTGCCTCAGCCTCCCAAGTAGCTGGGGCTACAGGCACACACCACCACGCCTGGTTAAGTTTTTTTATATTTGCAGAGATCGGGGGGTCTCACTAAGTTGCCCTGGTGGGTCTTGAACTCCTAGGGACCTGAGGATTGCTCCAAGCAATCCTCCCACCTCAGCCTTCCAAAGTGCTGGGATTACGGGCGTGAGCCACCATGCCCGGCCTCTATTCACCTCACTTGTTCTTTGCAGCTTTCCCTTTCCCTCTCTCCAACCTCCATGGTGGTGCAACCTAGAGTGAAGTCCTCACCTATTTTCTGTTTCCTCTCTTCACTCTTCAATGAGCCCAAGCAACTATTGGCTTTTCATTTCTTTCATTTGTTAAATTAAGGTATAATTTTCTTTCTTTTTTTTTTTGAGATGGAGTCTCACTCCTGTTGCACAGGCTGAAGTGTAGTGGTGCCATCTCGGCTTACTGCAACCTCTCCACCTCCCGGGTTCAAGCGATTCTCCTTCCTCAGCTTCCCGAATAGCTGGGATTACAGGTGTGCGCCACCATGCCCAGCTAATTTTTGTATTTTTAGTAGAGATGGGCTTTTGCCATATTGGCTAGGCTGGTCTCAAACTCCTGACCTCAGGTGATCCGCCTGCCTTGGCCTCCCAAAGTGCTAGGATTACAGGCGTGTGCCACCGCACCTGGCCAAATTAAGGTATAATTTCCATAGACTAAGATTTGCCCTTTTTAGTGTATGCTTTTGCACGTTTTGGCACATGTATGCAGTCATGTCACCACCATCACAATCAAGATTTTCTCAGAGCATTCCCATCACTCCAAACCCCCTCCCCTGTGTCCCTTGGTATTCAAACCCCTACCCCAGCCCTTGCCCCTGGCAGCCACATACCTGTGTCTATGGTTTTGCCTTCTCCAGAACATCACAGAGATGGAATCATATAGTATGTAGTCTTCTGAGCCTGGCTTCTTTCACCTAGTGTTATGAGTTTGAGTTCCATGGTTTTCTTTTTTTTCTTTTTTGAGACTAAGTCTCCCTCTGTCGCCTAGCCTGGAGTGCGGTGGCTCGATCTTAGCTCACTGCAACCTCCGCCTCCAGGGTTCAAGCAATTCTTCTGCTTCAGCCTCCTGAGTAGCTGGGATTACAGGCATGTGCCACCACACCCAGCTTATTTTTGTGTTTTTAATAGAGATGGGGTTTCACCATGTTGGCCAGGCTGGTCTTGACCTCTTGACCTCAAATGATCCACCCCCTCCTCCGCCTCCCGAAGTGCTAGGAATAGAGCCACCACGACTGGGCCCATGTTGTTTGTATCAGTAGTTCTCTTCTTTTTATTGCTGAGCAATCTTCCTATTGACTTTTTTTTCTTCAATAGAGACAGGGTCTTGCTCTATCATCTAGGCTAAAGTGCAGTGGTTTGATCATGGCTCACTGCAACCTCAAACTTTTGGGCTTAAACAATTCTCCTGCCTCAGCCTCCAGAGGAGCTGGGACTACAGGCATGTGCCAGCACACCTACCTTTTTTTTTTTTTTTAATTTTTTGTAGAGACGGGGGTTTTGCTGTGTTGCCGATGCTGGTCTCGAACTCCTGGCCTCAAGGGATTCTCCCTTTTTCGCCTCCCAAAGCTCTGGGATTACAGGAGTGAGCACCATGCTCAGCCCAGTTGATTATTAAACTTCTCATCTATGCTTATGACTTAGACTCTTTATCTCTAGCCCCAACTTTTCCCCAAGCTCTAGACTCATATATCCAACAAGTCCCTGGATGTTTAATTGGGATCTCAAACAGCACATCCAAAACCAAGCTCTTATTTTCTAACCCAAATTTGCAGCTCCTCCAGTCTTCCTCTGTCAACAGACAGCACCACCTGGCCACAGTTACTTTCCTTCACATACCTTAGTAAGTTCTTGGCTGTTCTACTTCCAGAACACTCCACTCTGACCGCCTCTCACCACCACCACCTGTATTCATTTTCTATTGCTGCATAACAAATTGCCACAAATGCAGATGCTTAAAACACTGCCCATTTGTCAGCTGGGCACAGTGGCTCACGCCTGTAATCCCAGCACTTTGGGAGTCCGAGGTGGGCAGATTACCTGAGGTCAAGAGTTCGAGACCAGCCTGGCCAACACGGTGAAACCCCATCTCCATTAAAAATACAAAATTAGCTGGGCGTGGTGGTGCATGCCTGTAATCCCAGCTACTTGGGAGGCTGAGGCAGGAGAATCACTTGAACCTGGGAGGTGGAGGTTGCAGTGAACCAAGATCACATCATTGCACTCCAGCCTGGGCAAAAAGAGCGAAACTCTGTTTCCAAAGAAAAGAAAAGAAAACGCTGCCCATTTGTGATCTCACAGGTCTATAGTCCAGCAGTCCAGATGTGGTGTGATTGGGTCTCCTGCTCGGGTTCTTAAACGACTGGGCTGTGTACCTACCTGAGGGCTCTAGGAAAGGATCCAAGCTCATTCATGTTGTTGCCTGCATTCAGTTCCTCATGGTCGTTGGACTGTCACCCTGTCACCATTTTCTTGCTGGTTGTCAGCCAGGGGTCTCTCAGTTTCTAGAGGCCACTTGCATCCCTTGCCAAGTGGCCCCCTTGTCTTCAAAGCCAGCAACAGAGACTCTCCCTTATGTGGAATCACATTTCTAATTTCTCACGTTTCTAATTCTCATGTTTCTAATTTCATAGAAAGAGTTCAGCTCCCTTTATGGCCTCACCTGATTAGGCCAGGCCCACCAAAGAATATCTCTCTATCAAAAAGTCAGCTGGTTTGGGACTTAAATTACATCTGCAAAATCTCTTCACAGGAACACCTAGATTCATGTCTAATTGGATAACTGAAAGAAGGTGTGTATGCACCAAAGGCAGGCGTCTTGGGGGGCATTTAAAAAATTCTGCCCACTCCACAACCCTAGTCCATGCTGCCATCATCTTTCACCTGGACCACTGCCCAGGCCACCTGTGGGCGTCTCTGCTTCCACTGTTTTTCCACATAGTCCATTATCTATACAGCAGAGAGTGGCCTTTTAAGAACATCAAGCAGATCATATCACTTCTCTATTCAAAAATGAAGAGCTTCCTACTATACCAACAAGAAAATCCAGAATCTTTCTCGTGGCCTAGAAGGCTACCTCTGGTCTCACCCCTGCCTACCTCTCAGACTCAGAAAAATGTTCAACAGATAGACACTCACTAAATATTTGTTGAATGAACGAATGAATGAATGAATGAATGAAAGTCTCTTGGATTGGTGCTTTTCTCTACTCCACTGCCACCATCTTGTTGTAGACATCACTACCTCTCACCTGATCCAGTGCACTTGTGTCTTCATTGGTCTCCCAGCTTACAGTTGCACCTCTTCGTCTGCCACAAAGCAGCCAGGGTGTTGTTTTAAAGATACAGATCTGGCCAGGTGCAGTGGCTCACACCTGTAATTCCAACACTTTGTGAGGCCGAGGCGGGTGGACTGCTTGAGCTCAGGAGTTCAAGACAAGCCTGGACAGCATGGCAAGACCCCGTCTCTACTAAAAATACAAAAAAATAGTTGTTGGTGCCTGTGGTCCCAGCTATTCAGGAAGCTGAGGTAGGAGGATCACTTGAGCCCAGGGGGCAGAGGTTGCAGTGGGCTGTGATTGCGCCACTGCACTCCAGCCTGGGTGACAGAGGGAGACCCTGTCTCAAAAAAAAAAAAATATATATATATACACACACACATATATGTATAAATATATATATATACATATGTATAAGTATATAAACATACATACACACATATGTATATAAGTATGTTTACATACGCACATATGTATATATGTATGTAAACATACATACATATATAATATATATAATACATAAACATATATAAATATATAATATATAAACATATATAATATATAAATATATAATATATAAACATATATAATATATAAATATATAATATATAAACATATATAATATATAAATATATAATATATAAACATAATATATAAATATATAATATATAAACATATAATATATAAATATATAATATATAAACATATAATATATAAATATATAATATATAAACATATAATATATAAATATATAATATATAAACATATAATATATAAATATATAATATATAAACATATAATATATAAATATATAATATATAAACATATAATATATAAACATATATAATATATAAACATATAATATATAAACATATATAATATATAAACATATAATATATAAACATATATAATATATCAAATATATAATATACAAATATATAATATATAAATATATATAAATATATAATATATAAATATATAAAATATACATAAAATATATAATATATAAATATATAAAAATATATATAAAATATATAATATATAGATATATAAAAATATATATAAAATATATAATATAAAATATATATAATATAAAAATATATAATATAAAATATATAAATATATAATATATAATATATATAAATATATGTATCTTTATATACATATATACAGATCTGCCTACAACCTTCACTGCTCTCAAACCTCCAGTGGGCCGGGCGTGGCGGCTCATGCCTGTAATCCTAGCATATTGGGAGGCCAAGGCGGGTGGATCACTTGAGGTCAGGGGTTGGAAACCAGCCTGGCCAACATGGCGAAACCCCATCTCTACTAAAAATACAAAAATTATCTGGGTGTGGTTGCATGCTCCTGTAATCTCAGCTACTTGGGAGGCTGAGGCAGGAGACTTGCTAGAACCTGGGAGATAGAGATTGCAGCGAGCCAAGATCGCGCCATTGCACTCCAGCCTGGGTGACAGAGCGAGAACCCCTCTCAAAAAACAAACAGAAACCTCTAGTGGCTTCCTTTTCCCCGGAAGAAATTCCATACTCCTCTGTCCAGTATTTGAGGTCCCCACCACTTGTGTGCGGGCCAGCTGTCCTAGTGAGTGAGCTTCCAGAAGTGGATGAGGGCTTCCAGTGGAACTGGGGGAAGTTTTAGAAACATACTGGAAGGTATTAAGTGATATTGTCCCCAAAGTCTGTCCTTTACAGGCCTTTTCTGAAAGCTTTAAGGAGAAAGTCTCCATTGGGTACGTGTATGCCCGTAACATCTCTGTAATATTTGTCAGTTTTCCTTTTTAATACGAAAACAAGAGCAGAGCTTTCCCTGGGGCGATTCCACCTGGCTGCAGCTGAAAAACATTGTTTTCTTTTCACTAATTTTGCAGTCACCTCTTATTTACGGCAAATGATGCTGGTTTCCTATTTATGTCAGTGACCTGAAGTTTAAGGGGAATCATGTTGAACTGATTTAATGAAAAATAAGTAATGGAAGTTACAGCGGTCCTTGGGCATGGAGAGGTCAAGGTGGCCTGTGCACGAAGGTTGGAAAATGCCAGCCCTCGTCTTGCCCCCATGCACAGAGTTCCCGCTGCCTCCTCCCACTTGCTGCTCAGTCCTCAGCCTCGAGCGCACTTCTGTCTTGCCTCATTATTGCCTCTGAATCGTCCCTCAAAGCATACACCACTCCCTGAGTGCAGTCGCCTCTCCCTCCCTACCACCTCACCAGCTGTCACGTTCACCCCTTTGGCTCTTAACTGCTTCTAATTTTCGCCTGTCCATATGAAAACTGAAAGCTCTGGGAGGGAGGCGCCTCACGCTATTGCTTCTCCATAATCCCAGGGTTCCCGGCACAGGGCTCTGCCCATCAACATTTGTCATGAGATGAGCTTTCCACCATTCACACTACTTCTGTGCCCACCACGCAGTGATGGAGTCACCAGTGTCTTCCTCGAGGCCTCATATTGGCCCCTGGAGTCAGACAATGAGCATCAGATCAGCGGCCACACCAGGTATGGATTGGTGACCAGCTGTGTGTGGACCTTGGGCAAGTCCCTTCCTCTCTCCTCCTGAGCCTGTTTCCTCTTTGTTGTTGTTGTTGTTGTGGCAGGGTCTCAAGCTTTTGCCCACGCTGGAGTGCAGTGGCATGATCTCGGCTCACTGGAACCTCTGTCTCCCGGGTTCAAGCGATTCTGCTGCCTCAGCCTCCCGAGTAGTCGGGACTACTGGCACATGCCACCACGCCTGGCTGGTTTTTTTTTTTTGTTGTATTTTTAATGGAGATGAGGTTTCACCACGTTGGCCAGGCTGGTCTCAAACTCTTGACCTCAGGTGATCCACCTGCCTCAGCCTCCCAAAGTGCTGAGATTACAGGCGTGATCCACCATGACCGGTCTTGTTTCCTCATTTGTGAAACAGAACCACAAGAATGACAGCCTCAGAGGTTGTTGTGGGAATTAAATTATGTCCAGCCATGTTTGGCAAAGAGGAAGAGCCCAGTAAATGTCCTTGGCATCATGATTTGGTGTCTAACTCCACCATTGTCAAACAGCTGCCTGGGATCCTGTGATTCAGGCCTCTGAGATCACATCCTGGAATTTACATATGATACGTGGATTTGAGAAGTGTAGCTCAAAGGTTATCTGGGTTCCACAAATGAGGAAGTAGGACGATTTCACCAATTTGGGATGACAGGCCATTCACACTGCATGAAACTTTCTTTGGATCTTCAAGCAGCCTGTCACCCAGGGTCCCTTCTACTTCTGGTCCCCACTCTGAGCAATGATGGAATGATGGAATAAGAAGCTTCTAGTAGCATGGCTTGGGGAAACAACTTTTCAGAGGTGCTAAAAAGAAGTCAGCCTGGGCAACATAGCAAGACCTCATCTTTACTAAAAATAAAAGAAAAAAATAGCCAGGTGTGCTGGCACACTGTACCCCAGCTACTCAAAAGGCTGAGGCAGGAGGATTGCTTGAACTCTGGAGGCAGAGGTTGCAGAGAGCTATGATGGCACCACTACACTCCAGCCTGGGTGACAGAGTGAGACCCTGACTCAAAAAAAAAAAAAAAAAATGAGGAGCCTTAGAAATTCCAGTTTTTTTCCATTGTTTTGTAGCAGAGAAAGAGGTTTAATTGTAGGGCCACCAAACAAAGATGTAAGAGGAAACCTCAAATCTGTCTCCCCGAGAAGCTTGAGAATTGAGAATTCCTTTTTTTTTTTTTTTTTTTTTTTGGAGATGGAGTCTCGCTCTGTCACCCAGGCTGGAGTGCAGTGGCATGATCTCGGCTCACTGCAGCCTCCGCCTCCTGGGTTCAAGCAACTCTCCTGGCTCAGCCTCCTGAGTAGCTGGGATTACAGGTGTGCACCACTGTGCCCGGCTAATTTTTGTATTTTTAGTAGAGATGGGGTTTCACCATGTTGGCCAGGCTAGTCTTGAACTCCTAATCTCAGGTGATCCGCCCACCTTGGCCTCCCAAAGTGCTGGGATTACAGGGGTGAACCACTGTGCTCAGCCAAGAATTCCCATTTCTTAATCAGGCTACCTGGGTGGTGGAAGCATGGGCTCAGGTCTTGGCTGGGGTCTCTAGCTGTGTGACCTTGGACAAGTTTCTTCACCTTTCTGAACCTCAGTTTCATCATCTCTAAAATGGGAATTTTACTGTCTGCCACCTGAGCTGATGCTGTTTAGCAACTGAAGTAGAAACCAAACCTAAAGCTCCGGCTGCCTGCGCTGAGATTTGAGATTAACCAGGGCAAAGGGCTGATGAGGTGGAGGATCCAAGGGTAGAGGAATTTATGGCAGCCAAGGGTTTATGGTTTTGATATGGGTTTATTAAGCACAATTTAGGACTGAAATAGTCTCCTCTGGCCTCCACCCCCCCCCCCCCGCGCTTGTCCCCGATGGCGGCAGCATGAACAAGGCCTCCGTTGCAACGTTATCGAAAACATTTCCTGGTGCTGACTAGTGGAGGGAAGGCACAGGGGAAGGCGGGAGCGGCCCTAGGGATCAGGTAGACAGCGAATGGGTGCTCTGAAGCCTGGAGAGTTTAATGGTTAACTTCTCGCTAAAAAGGGGCGCATGAAGAGTTCACTTGTACTCCTCATGTAACGGGAGCTCTCACAGTTACTGTGATCTCATTCCATTGAATCCTGACATCTGCCCTGGAGGGAGATATCATTCCCACTTTACAGATGAGGCTCGGAGTGGTGGAGTGACCTGCCCAAGGTTACGCTGATCAGCAAAACGTGTGCTTCCCAGACCAGAACTTTTGTCCCCTCCCTTAAGGAAGAGGTGAAAGGATCGCCCTGCTCTACCCTCATCCCCAAGGAGGATGTCCCCATATGTAGGCATCCCATGGTCCAGCCATTGCCGAATGCTGTGGTGTGCTGGTGAATGTTAACAACGGGCTCTCCAGGAACAAAAGCCCGGATTTGTAGAGTTTGCTAGTCCTTGTGGTGTAAACACTCCGGCAATAACCAATTTCAAGCTATCAGTGTGGCACTGGCAAACATGGAGTTGGGAAGAGAAGCTAACAGTCAGTTCTCACAAGCCAGCTCCAGCACAACCCCGAGTGAATGGAACGCTGTGGTCTGTGGTGACCGAGACACAAGGCCACCCTCCTGTAATAGTTTAGCCTTGGAGAGAAGCCCAGTGGCTACAGATCTGGCTGGAGATTCTCAAGTGCATCTCTTGCTTTTATTCTTTTTACTTATTATTTATGTTTTGAGACAGAGTCTTGTTCTTTCATCCAGGCTGTAGTGCAGTGTTGCATTCATAGCTCACTGCATCCTCGAACTCCTGGGCTGAAGCAATCTTCCCACCTCAGCCTTCAGAGTAGCTGGTACTATAGGCACACACCACTATACCTGGCTAATTTTTAAATTTTTTGTAGAGATGGGGTCTCCTTATATTGCTCTGGCTGGTCTCGAACTCCTGAGCTCAAGTGATCCTCCCGCCTCAGCCTCCCAAAGTGCTGGGATTACAGAGGTGAGCCACTGTGCACAGCCTTGTTCTAGAAAAAAAAACAAAAAACAAAACAAAACAAAACAAAAAAACCACTTGCTTTTATGAAATGTCCCCACAGCTACTCATCTTCCATTGCTGGCAGATTGAGGTGACCCAGCAAAAGGTTCTGTCTTGAACCTTGGTGGAGGATGACAGACCCTTGGACCCTCTTGCCATTCTTCCAGATCTTGCCATTGCACTCTCCCCTCATCACTCCCCTCTTCAAGAAGGGGGATCAACTTTCACTCTCTCGATATACTAAGTACTTGGAATCAAGAGACCAGGGTTAGATGTCCACCTCTGCCTTCCAAGAGAAGTCACTTCCCCCAAGCCTCAGTCTCCTCATCTGGAAAGTGGGAGTAATCATGTCTAACTGCTTACCTCTTGATGTGAAGACTGAAAAATTATAATGGACACAAAAACATTCTGCACATCACAAAGAACTATAAAACTATTCTCATTCTTCCTTTAAAAAAAATTTTTTAACCCCCAAGTAGAACCAGAAGATTCAGTCTTATTTCTGATACCTGAAAGAAAAGATACTTATCCAAGGACTTAGAAAACATATGCGCCATTTATTTTGTTTTATAAACTTTTGTTAAAACACAGAAGAGTAAGAAATGTTTTTTGTTTCTTTGCCCCATCAGGCGGCAGTGATGGGGGCTCAGGGGTCAGCGCAAGACCTAATGACATTCACACCCACAGAAAGATGTGGGTCGTTCTGATGGGACCCAGCCCGCTTTGATAATTGCTTGATGTAAATTTCACAATTCATCTTAATCAGGGCAGATCACAGAAAAATTTGGCAAAAGTAATTGGCTTGGTAATGACAAGAAATAGAAGAGCGTTCATTTCTGACCCTCTCCTCTCCTCTGTCCACTCTCAGGAGAGCCATGCGGATTTTTAGAAGCTCCTGAGACCCGCCTGAAGATCAGGGTGTCTTGGTGGGGAAATTGTGCCCACGCTTGTCCCCCCAGCAACCCTCTGTTTGTCCATCAGATTTTATGTTTTAGGACCACAACTCAAGTAGCCAAAAAAAAAAAAAAAAAAAAAAAAGAGAGCGAGAGATTTTCTAATATCATGTCAGCTTAGAGTCAAAAAAGTAAACTTTGTTTTGTGTTTCTCACATTACAATAAAGTTATTAAGGTGGAATGGGTTTCTCCTCCAGAAAGGGGTAGATTCCCAGCAGAGAACTGACCCCCTGCTCCAACAGATTGTTCCCATGAAGGGCCACTGTTGCCCACGGCACTCCATGGGACATTCTTATCTCAACCTTTCTCCCAAGACAGAGGTCTGAGCAACGCTGGAGGGAGGAGGTGGAGGAACACAGTGGGAATGACCACAATGCCCAGAAATGGTTCCAGCCTCCCTGCCTTACCGCAGACCAGGCTGAGCCGTCTGGCAGGGATTTCAGGGGCACTTGAGTGAGGTGGTGGGGGAAGGCTTGGGAGCTCTGAGCAGGGCACAGTCTCCGCTGGGATTGGGGGCTTGGCTGGGACTGCCGTAGGGATGTGGTGATTCCTCCCTGACACATTGCCCCAATACTTCTCCACGCCTCTTTCTCATAAAAAACAATCACTAATGGTGGGATTTCTGGGCACTGGGGCACTGCCTCCAACCACTCAGAGGGGTCAGTGTTGAGCAGGGGGCAGGAGTCGGTCCAACAGTTTCCCTCCTACCTAATCACACCTCCAGCCCCATAACACATCCCTTTTGTTCACACTGGTCAGTGGCATTTTCCAGAATGTCCTCAAAGCCACCAAGATTCCACATGGATGACATGCTGGTCGCTCCATCCTGGGGTCTAATGCTTCCAGAATGCACCTGGAGTGACGGTCTCCGGAGCAGCCCTCAAACCCAGGCCTGCTTAGCCCTCCCCTGCCCCCACACTGTGCACACTGTCCCACCCCCATGCCAACAGGCCAGATGAGCCTGACTTCCAGGAAACAGACCCCTGCCACCCCTCCCCTTGACTTGGGGAGTGAAGAGAGAAAAGCTGTCAAGAGTCATGAATTCTCCTTAATATTTATCAGCAAACAGGATGCTCGACCCTAAGTGAATTTTAGTGCAGCCTCAGGCCAATCTTGGTCCTGGGAGTGGGCAGGGTTCCCAGAAGAACGAGTCTGGTTTCTGAGGCTGTAGAAGGGAGCCGGAAGCCCCTCAACTTGATCACGGTGAGAACACAGGGAGCCTTTGGAGAAGCTATTCAGCCACTGTAGTTAAGAGCTCCTGTTCTGATCCAGGGAGACCTGGGTTCAAGTCCTGACTCAGCCACTTCCTAGTTGTGTGAGTTTCAGAAAAAAAATCACTTCACCTCTTAGAACGCAATTTCAGCTTCTGTAACAATCTCTAGGTTAGGAGGGAGTGGGGCGGGTGAGGGCGGGGAGGGAGGAGGAGAATAAAAAACAAAAACAATCTCTAGGTTAATAGGGAGGAAGGGAGGATTAAATGAGATGATGCATGTCAGATGCCTTAAGACAGTGCCTGGGAGTAAGGAAGAGCTTGAGACAGGCCCTGGGAGCTTATTCCTCCTGGATGTCACTCTGATGTGAGGGTTTACCCATCTTGTCCTCTCCAGCCCCAAGCCTCATTACTCTCACCCGCATTATATCATCCACCCCACCTGACCTCCCAGCTTCCAGCCTCCCGTCCTCTGCAGAACTGCTGTGTTCATTTTCTGGAAGCCCAGCTCCCTGCATACTCCTTGAAGCTGATCAGGACCTCAGCCTGGTGTTCCAGACCCTATGCTCTCCAGCAGGCCCTCTCTCTCTTCATCATCCCTCTCCCACACCATTCTTCCTCAATTCTTGCTAGATTCTTACTACCACTAGGCCTTGGCTCAGGCTGTTCTTTGGAATGTCCCATCTCACCTGCTCTACCAGCCAGAATTCTACCCTTTCTCAAAGGCCTGGTGGATGGTCTGCCTCTTTCTGATGCTTTTCCTCTCCACTCCAAGTTCCTGTTGCAGTCGCCAACCTGGGTTTGTTTTCTCGGGTTGAAGGCCTTCAGGGATCCTCACCCAAGTACCCACCCAAGTCCCTGAAGAAGGAGGATGAGGTTGGGTTGGAGGAGAAAGGCGTCTTCCCTCACCACAGCCTTCTAGACCCTGCCTGGTGCCTGGTCCCAGTCAGTGCTTACAACATGTTCCCAGAATGACTGGGGGAATCGTTTCCAAGGCCTCCTTGGCCTCTGGAGAGGTGGTGTTGGAGAAGACGGGATGGCTGAGCAAGGTGACAGCAGAGGGAGGCAGCAGAGGTGGGGGCAGCAGCAGAAGGAGGAGCAAGGTGCCCCAAGTGCCACAATTGGACCCAGCCTCACAGGGCTCTGTCTGGACACCATGACAGGGGCTAGGAGAGGAGAAGCACCAGGCTAGGGAAGAAGGGAGCTGGGTTTAAGTAAGGCCTCAAGTCATCTCCAGGCGGCTGTCCTTTGGGATGAAGTCGGGGGTTGGACATGGATGAAGGTGAAGGTGAAGGCAGTGGCTTCAACATGAGAAAAGTTGTCCAAGGCAGTAGAGGTCTCCCCAAGTCAAAGTCTTGTTATCCAGAGCAGGGCGTCAAGGGTGGCAGTGGGATGTGGCCCTTAGGCCATGTTCTCGGGCCCTTCATCCTTCCCATTCCTGCTCTGGGACTGGTCCTGGCATCACGTCTTCCTTTGCCGTGACCACGTGATCACCAGGTGCTCTCTTAGGGGGCTGGGGGGAGCCAGTGGAGCCCCCAAGCCCCAGCGGCTTGCTAGATAACTTCCTGCTTGGTGATGGTCGGCTGGGGGATGGCAGAGAGGGGCTTGACGATTGTGGCGACGGCTCCCGGCAGGAGCTTATAGGGCTCAGACCCTGAGCCACCTGGCGGTGAGGGCTGTGGGGTCTCAGGGGTGGCTGGAAGGACAAACAGACAGACAGGGGCTGCTCAAAATTCCAGCCTTTGTGGGAGTAAATGAAGAGGCCCGGGAAAGTTCTCCCCTCCCACCCTGCCCCACCTTGACTTAATTTCTTCCTCTATAAAATGAGAGAATTAATTAAACCAGATAATCCCTAAGGTCTTTTATTGCTCAACCTTCTGTGAGTCCCAGATCATAAAGCCTAAGTTTTATGAGGTCTGGAAGGTCCTACCACCCATCTCCTCCATCATTTATTTGATATGCAGACTTGGACTGCTTCTCCCAAACCAAGGCCCAGGCCTGGCTGTCCCCAGCGGCAATGGGATGGGTGACAGGGATAGTCTTTCCTGGGAGAAGGAGCAGCAGTTGATGAAACCCCGGACCAGCTGGCTCAAAAAATACCATTTCTTGGATATTTAGGAGATGAGTAATAGAAACTAATTGGCCTCACTCTCATGGCAGGTTTGGAGAGCAAATTTGACCCAATTGGCCATCTTTGTTCAATGGAAAACTTTCCCTGAGAACAATGTCAGTAAAATATCATCTTATCTCAGTGGATCACTTCATCCCATTGATAATCTTATCCTTTGAAGAGCTTTGCCCAATGACAAGTTTATACTTTGGAGGTTTCAGAGGATGGTCTAGCCCAGCAGACATCCTGACCCAATGGGTAGTCTCATCTAATTGTCTAATGGATAGCCTTACCCAACTGTGCAGCCTTACTTCAATGACCACTTTTACTTAATGGACAATGTCAACTAATGGAATTCTCACCCAAGAACATCTTCACCCAATGGGTTACCTCATCCAGTGGATTGCCTCATCCCAACAATGGCTTCATTCAGTAAAGGCTGTCAGTCACCTTACTGAATAAACAGCCTCAACAAATGGACAATCTTGCCCTTTATTCCCTACCCTGGAACCCAGAAAACTGTTGCATCCTGGTTCTACCTTCTAGACTCCACTTTCTCCTGCCTCCTGTCTTAAGCCCCATCCTCACCCTTTGCAAGGTAAAATCCCAGAGTTTGCCCACCTGCCTGTCCCCTGGGTCGGGGCCACTCACACATCTGTCCGTTGCTGAGGTGAGTGGGCATTGTGTTGGCAACGATGACGTTGGTTCCCATATGTTCCTGCATCAGGTGAGGGTGCAGGGGGTGGTGGGCATGGGGTGCATCGCTGGGGGACCCTGCAGGTAGAGAAGGTCGATCAGGATGGAGAGTCTGGGATGCAGACCTCAGGCCTTGGGACGCCATCTTCCTCAGGCGTGGCCAATCAACCAGCCCATCCAATATTGGCAGTGCCTGTTGGGTACCTATTCCTGGGTTAGTAAACTAGGGTGTACCATTCCCATCTATAGACTTCATGAGGGTGTTAAGAGGACCCCAAAAAACCAAGAGAACAAAAGTGAGTTGAAAGGAACAAGGTGCATATAAGGAAGCTCTGAGATCACGTAAATGTTCTAATGAGTAGTGTATTGGTCACATAGTAACATAATGGATGTAATCAATGGCTCTCAAAGCTCCTTGGAGTGCAAGTCCTTCAACCATTTGGTCCCGCCTCACCTTTCAGCCTCATCCCCCACATCTCTGCTGCAGCCAACTGACCTACTTATAGCATCTATGTGTCCCCTGTGTTTTTCTATCTCTATGCTTCTGCTCACGTTGTTGCTTCTGTCAGAGATGTTTTTCCACCCCAAACCTGTTCCATGTCCATAAGCCCAAATCCCAGCTCATATATTTCCTCTCTTTAGAAGCCTCTCCTGATTCTCCTTCCTTGGATTTCTCATAGTAATTTGTCTGTAACACAACTTTTAGGAACAACCACTTCTTCTGTCTATGAGCATTACAATTTCAGAGGTATTTTTCTTCTTTCTTTGAGGGCCTAGCAGATTGTCTGGAACACAGTAACCGCTTCAAACATATGTCAGGGAGTAAAAATACCACATGGGATATGGTTTAATAATAGCCTATGGTGAGTAATATGACGATGATGGAATTTCAACGCTTGCAAGCGATCTCTACAGTACATCTATTTCAGTGATAAATAACAATTGTTGATAATTAACAATTATCACGTGCCAGGTACTGTTGTATAGCACTTCCCATGTTTCACATAATTTAATCCTCACAGCAATCCTATAGGATGGATACTATTATTAGCCCATTCTACAGATGAGACAACTGAGCCCAGAGAGCTCTTAATTATTTGGCAACAGACCACAGGCTCCTGATCCTGATCTCAATGACACCTGATTCATAATAACCCCATGTTCACAGGGTCAAAGTGAGAATGAAATGAGCTATCACATAACAGCGATTCCCAACTGGGGATGATTTTGGCCCATCAGGAGACATTTGACAATATCCAAAGACATTTTTGGTTGTCACCACTGGAGAAGTGCTACTGGCACCTTATGGGTACAGGACAGAGATGCAGCTGAACAATGTACAGGACAGCCCCACACAACAAAGAATTGTCCAGTTCCAAGTATCAATAGTACCAATGTTGAGAAACCTCACCCTCGCCTTGTCATCTTCAGTCACTGAAACACCTCCAAAATCTCGAATTCAACATCCCCACTTTGACTTCACCTCATGTCCTTCCAGCTCCCGTAATCTAATACCATCGCTGCAAAAATTCTTCAGCCCTACTGAGACTGTCAATTCACTGACACTCTCTTTTCACTATCACCCCATCCTTTTGTTGTTGTTGTTGAGACAGAGCCTTGTTCTGTCGCCCACGCTGGAGTGCAATGTCATGATCTCAGCTCACTTCAACCTCCATCTCCCGGGTTCAAGTGATTGTCCTGCCTCAGCCTCCCGAGTAGCTGGGATTACAGGTGCATGCCACCATGTCTGGCTAATTTTTTTTTGTATTTTTAGTAGAGATGGTGTTTTGCTGTGTTGCCAGGTTGGTCTTGAACTCCTAGCCTCAAGTGATCCACCCGCCTCGGCCTCCCAAAGTGCTAGGATTACAGGTGTGAGCCACCGTGCCCGGCCTCTATCTTTATTTCTTTTTGAGTGCAGCCCAGACTCCATGACCTATCATTCTAATCACTCCCTTGCAGTCATCCTAACTCCTTCATACTCCCCTTCATAGTCAAACCATTTCAAAGGGTTATCTACTCTATCTCCACCTTCCCACTCACTCTCTTTGGAGCACTCTCCAATCTGGTTTCCACTCTCCCAGCTCTCTGATGCTGCTTTCAACACAATTGCCAAGAGCCTCCAGCTGTCAATCCAATGGACCCTTTCCTCTCTCTTCCCCTCCTCTCTTCACCTCTCCTTTCTTCCCCGCTTCTTTCTGTTTCTCTGTAGAGTTTAACACCATTAAACACTCTGTCCTTCAAACACGCTCTTCTCTTGGATTCTGGAATTGCCCTGGTTTTCTCCTACCCCTCTGGCCAGTCTTCTTCCCTTCCCTCCATGGCTCCATCTTCCCCCTGATTCCACAGAGCTGCCTTTAATCTTGTGCTTGAGCAACAGACTCATACATTCAACAGCCTCCTTGATAACTTGGATTTGTAATAGTCATCTCATGCTTAATGAAAGTCCACAATGAGGCTGGGCATGGTGGCTCACACCTGTAATCCCAGCACTTTGAGAGGCCAAGTCGGAAGGATTGCTTAAGGCTAGGAGTTCAAGACCAGCCTGGGCAACATAGTGAGACCTTGTCTCTATAAAAAATAAGAATGAAGAATTAGCTGGGTGTGGTGGCACGCACCTGTAGTCCCAGCTACTTGAAAGGCTGGGGTAGGAGGATCTCTTGAGCCTGGAAGGTTGAGGCTACAGTGAACTATGATTGCGCCACTGCACTCCAGCCTGGGTGGCAGAGAGAGATCTCGTCTCAAAAAAAAAAAAAAAAGGAAAAAAGAAAAGAGGGTCCACAATGGATCTCTGAGGTCACCCCTCACTACCACCCCCAGACCCAGTGTCTTGTTGTTTATTCTGTCCTCCTCATTTCAGTAAATTACTCCATCGTCATTTCTGCTACTCAAAGCAAAAATGTAGACTTTGTCCTTGACTCTTCCTCTTTCTCTCACTCCCTATGTCTGATCAATCAGCAAATCCTGTGGGTGTGGGCTCTTCCTCCAAATAGATGATCAGGTTTATCTTCACTGCTCCATTGCCAGGGTCCAAGCCTCCATCATCCATCACATGATTGGAGACAGTGACATTCTCAGGAATCTGCAATTCACTCTCTACCCAACAGAGTGGTTTGTTTGAAGCATTAGTCTGGGATGGGTGTGGCGGCTCACACCTGTCATTCCAGCACTTTGGGAGACTGAGGTGGGTGATCACTTGAGGTCAGGAGTTTGAGACCATCTTGGCCAATAGGGTGAAACCCTGTCTTTACTAAAAATATAAAAAAATGAGCAGGGCGTGGTGGCGGGCGCCTGTAATCCCAACTACTCAGGAGGCTGTGGCAGGAGAATTGCTTGAACTCGGGAGGTGGAGGTTGCAGTCAGCCAAGATTGTGCCACTGCACTCCAGCCTGGATGATTGAGGGAGACTTTGTCTCAAAGAATAAAAATACTTAGTCTGGTTTTCACTCTCCTTACAATAGTTGCAATGAGAATAAAATCCAAATTTCTGAAAAGGCTGACAAAGCCATATGTTTATGATTTGGTTTCTGCCCAATCTCCATCTTCACCTCCTACACGTCCTCCATCTCACAACCTTGCCCTTCTTTCTCAAACACAACACTCTCTCCTATCCGCAGCCCTTGAAGTAGTTTCTTCTTCTTGGAATATTCCTCTCTTGTCTTTTAAGCCTTCCATTTCCTTTCAGCCGTTAGGGTCTTAGCACAAGAGTCACCACTTCAGAGAGGTCTCCTGTGGCCTCCCCTATCTAAAGAGGATTCCTTTTCAGTTAAACTCTATCATATTACCTGTTTATTTCAAAATCATAAAATGTGAGGCTTTATATACACATGCACGCACATACGGGCATATACACAGATATCCACGCATCCATACATACTCACACACACACAGCCTCCCCGAGGGCAAAGATCTTGTTCTTTGCTGAATTGCCAGCACTTAGAACAGTGACTGGCACGTGCTAGGTTCTCGGTGCCTGAACAAATAGACCATTGCCTTGTTCCCATTTTTCTGGTGAGGAAACTGAGGCACAGACAGGTTAAGCAACTTGCCCAAAGCGGCACAGTGGGGAAGCCAAGGAGCTGAGGGGTGAGCTCACTGTGTGAGGCCTGTCTCCTGGGGAGTCCCCACTCCAACCCCGCCCCTCCTGGGCTTGGCACGGACCTCCCAGCAGCATCTCCTGCAACAGGTTGTCAATCTTGGCCATGCCGAAGAGCTTGATGAACTGGATCTGCTCGATCATCTGCCAGGTGATGCTCTGCAAGGTGGGCAGCAGCAGCAGCAGCTCTCCAAAGCGGCCACGCGAGTCATACTGGCGGTCGTTGATGTAGTCCTCCAAGCTCACCTGCACCTGGGAACGCAGCCGCTTGATCTTCCCTGGATCGCTCAGCCCCTTGGCATCTACAATGGAAGAGGGTGGGCAAGGGAGGGCAGCAGGGTCCAGCTGGAGCATCTGGGGAGTCAAGACCCAGATGTCCCCTGACTTGTATCACACAAGGAGTCTTCAGCAGTGTGGGCACAAGGATTCAGGGACCTCAACAACCAGGGTACGCCAGCATGAATTATGATTTCCTAGACACAGGCAGAAAAAGATTTCTGCCACATTTCCTAAAGCACTAAACCAGAAGAGAGGGGAATAGGAGATGGAGGGCGGGACTTGAGGAATGCATCCAATAAGCACCTAGCAACCGCCTCATCTTACACACGGGGAAACCCAGACACAGTGCAAAGATAGGACTTGTCCTGGGTCGCACAGCCAGTTGTTGGCAGAGCCACAATGGGAACTTGGGGTTTTGGGCCACAGTTGAGGTCCCCTCATCCAGACCTCAGCAGTTGCTGCTTCTACTGTGTTAGAATAGGCTCCCCTTCCCTGGTTCCTGCTTCCTATCACCTTAGGGACTCAGGTTAGGTTTCACCTCCTCCAGGAAGTCTGCCTTCTACCCTCCTATATCTGTATCCTGTGTCCCTCCTGTTTCCAAATCTCTGCGGCCCCTCCATCACTGCTGACCACACAGGATGTAATTGTTGTGCCATCCAACTGTGAGTTTGGCAGGGGCACGCGTATGTCTTATTTGCCATTTTTATTTTATTTTATTTTATTTTGAGACTGAGTCTCCCTCTGACCCCCAGCCTGGAGTGCAGTGGCGTGATCTCGGCTCACCGCAACCTCTGCCTCCTGGGTTCAAGCGATTCTCCTGCCTCAGCCTCCCGAGTAGCTGGGATTACAGGCACACACCACCACACCCAGCTAATTTTTGTATTTTAGTAGAGACGGGGTTTCACCATGCTGGTCAGGCTCATCTCAAACTTCTGACCTCAAGTAATCTGCCTGCCTCAGCCTCCCAAAATGTTGGGATTACAGGCGTGAGCCACTGCACCCGGCCTTTGCCTTTTCAAACTCACCACCTAGCACCATGCATAGTCAATATTTATTGAATAGGGCCAGGCATGGTGGCTCATGCCTGTAAGCCCAGCACTGTCAGAGGCCGAGGCGGGGGGATCACTTGAGGTCAGGAGTTTGAGACCAGCCTGGTCAATATGGTGAAACCCCATCTCTACTGATAATACAAAAATTCACCTGGCGTGGTGACACATGCCTGTAATCCCAGCGACTCAGGAGGTGAGGTGGGAGAATCGCTTGAAACTGGGAGGTGGAGGTCGCAGTGAGCCAAGACGGTGCCACTGCACTCCAGCCTGGGTGACAGACTATATATATATATATTTTAAAAAATATATATTTATATATAAATATATATTTATTGATAACTATATGTATATTTTTTGTTAGATGGCTGGATGAATGAATGAAAAAAAAATCAGTGAATAAATTCTAGATCCTTAGCCTAGAAAGGAACTTAAGCGGTCATACAATATTTAATCTCAACCTTCATGGAGGTAATGCATTTATTTCCTCTTTCATGGACAAAGGAAGTGGCAGAAAGAACATTCACCCACATTTCTAGTGGGCTGTCTCCACTGAATCATGCTTATTCATTAGTTCATTCAGGCCACACATGTTTATTGAGCACCTCCTGCATGCCAGGCCTTGAACTAGGTCCCCCGCCCCTTCAAATTGCTGGAGGCTGCTGCCTCTGACTCAGCATCAGTGATCCTTCCCATTTTGCAGAACAATTCTGCCAGTCCAGCCTCGTGTTGAGCACTACAGAGGATACAGGCTGGGCCAGGCTGTGGAGGGAACTAGAACTAGAAATCTCACCCTCTGGTAAGTGTGGGATAGCAGGTGGTAGGTAAGAATGTGGGCTTGAGAGAGAGAAATTGGGATTGACAGGTGGTCTGAAGTTCAAATCCAAGCTCTGCCATTTTCCGGTTGTGTGACCTTGAGCAAGTTAATCATGCCTCAGTTTCCTTATCTGTAAAATGGAGATAATAATAATTCCTACTTCACAGGTACCATGTTGGTAAGTAAGACAATCCACATAAAGTGTTTAAAAACAGCTCTTTAGGGAGCATTCAATACATGGGGCTCATCTTCCACTTCATCACTCTCTCTATATATAATATATATCACTATATATATATAAAATATATATCACTATATATAATATATATTATACGTAATATATCACTATATACTATATATATCACTATATATTATATATATATAATATATATTATATATATATACACATATATGTATTTTTTTGAGATGAAGTTTTGCTCTTGTTGCCCAGGCTGGAGTGCAATGGCATGATCTTGGCTCACTGCAACCCCCGCCTCCCAGGTTCAAGCGATTCTCCTGCCTCAGCCTCCTGAGTAGCTGGGATTACAGGCACGGACCACCACACACAACTGATTTTTGTATTTTTAGTAGAGACGGGGTTTCACCATGTTGGCCAGGCTGGTCTTGAACTCCTGACGTCAAGTAATCTGCCTGCCTCAGTCTCCCAAAGTGCTGGGATTACAGGCGTGAGCCACCACACCCAGCCTTTTCATTACTATTATTACTAGAGGTAATCTATTTGCAGCGTGAAGGACAGTGCCTGGCACACAGTAGGTCCCCTCTAACATGTAAGCAGGGAAGGCAAGCAAGCCTCCAGAGTTCAGGCACCTTTGATGCTGGGAAACAAAAGCAAGTTTTGTACAAAGACTGATGACAAATGCATTCTGTATAAATGCAGGTGCAAAAGTCAGTGGACAGAATGGGGAGAGGAGAGCCAAGAGCCACAGGAGAGGGTAGGAATGCTTTTTCTTCATCCTGCAATGTGAAGGGTTGGGAGATACCGTCTACAGTTGATAGAACAAGAAAGGAAAGATAAAAGCACATAACTTGCAACAGAGACTCAAAAATAGCAATAAAAATATATTGGGAAAAATGGGGAAGAAAAGATGGGAATGGTGATGGAGAAAAGCAAAATCCTCTGCCATCCTAGGAGGAACATTATGATCCAAAATGGATGCATCAACAAATATAAGGCTTTGTCTTTCATTTAGAATTGTTGAGGAAACTGCCAGAAGAAACAATTAAAATAATCAGACATGCTTCTCTTGGGGAGTAGACTTAGAGCTGGAAAAGTAGGATGGGGAGAAGTATTTGCATTTTAAGTATGTGTAGATTTATTTATTTATTTATTATTATTTTTTAGATGAGGTCTTGCTTTGTCACCCAGACTGGAGTGCAGTGGTGCAATCACATCTCACAGCAGCCTCCACCTCCTGGGCTCAAGAGATCCTCCCACCTTGGCCTCCTGAGTAGCTGGGACTGCAGGTGCTCACCTTGGCTTCCCGAGTAGCTGGGACTGCAGGTGCTCACCACTATCCCTGGCTAATTTTTTTTAGTTTCTATAGAGACGAGGTCTTGTTATGTTGGCCAGGCTGGCCTCGAACTCCTGGCCTGAAGTGATCCTCCTGCCTCTGCCTCCCAAAGTGCTGGGATTACAGATGTGAGCCACCACATCCGGTTCTAGATATTATTTTGATAAATTTTTTTGAGGAAAAGAAGCAAATATGAAAGAAAAGAGGAAGATGGGAAGTAAAGAGAAAGAAGGATGGAGGGAAGAAGTAAAAGAAGGGAAAGCCCAGGCCTTTGGAGTCAGGGTGCCCTGTCAAGTCATATCCTCCCTTTGTTTTTGTTTTTTTGAGATGGAGTCACCCAGGCTGGAATGCAGTGGCGGGATCTTGGCTCACTGCAACCTCCGCCTCCCAGGTTCAAGCAATTCTCCTGCCTCAGCCTCCCGAATAGCTGGGATTACAGGCGTGCACCACCATGCCTGGCTAATTTTTGTATTTTTAGTAGAGATGGGGTTTCTCCATGTTAGCCAGGCTCATCTTGAACCCCTGACCTCAGGTGATCCGCCCGCCTCAGCCTCCCAAAGTGCTGGGATTACAGGTGTGAGCCACTGCGCCCGGCCATATTGTCTCTTCAAATCTTGACTTGCCTCATCTGTTAAATGAAAACGGCCTCTCCTGGCTGTCGTTAACATGAGATGAGGCTGTGAACTCAGTGTACAGAACCCAATAGGAGAAGTCTGGCAGAGCGTTCTGGAGAGAGAGTCAGGGATGGCTTAGGAGGTGTGCACTGTACCTGGGTCAAAGAAGATGATGGCTTTGAGGTAGGCATACTCATTGTCATCGATCTGCAGCTCCTGGAAGGGCAGCACCAGCTCGTCAAGGATGCGTATGGACACCCGGCTCATCTCCGCCAGCTCCGGGCAGTGCCGAGGGACAATGTAGTCATTGCCTGGAAGGGTTGGGAGGGAGGGAGGATGGGAAGTCACCTTGGGTTGACCCCTCTCCTCTAGTTTTGGCTTTTAAGTTGGCAAGATAGCTGGTGCCTGTGGGAGGAGGACCTGCAGGGATGGTGACTCCCATTTCACAGGTAAGGAAGCTGAGGCCCAGATTCAGAAGATAAGCTGCCTTGAGTCATCCGGCTGAGCTTGGAACTTGGCTTTCTAGGACCTCTTTCACATGACCCAAGCTCCATTTACCAACATGACTCACAAGATCGATGACATTCAAAGGTCACCTGATAGGCACCAAAGCATCAAGGTTAAAGGACCAGATTCTGGAACTGCACTGCCCTGCTTAAATGGCTCTGCCCCTGATAGCTGGTTATAGTTGGATAAGTTACTTAACCTCTCTGTGCCTCAGTTTTCTTATCTATAAGATGAGGATAAATAATCGAGCTTCCCTCATAGCATTGTTATATTAAAATAGGTAGTGTTTGCAAAGCAGTGAGCACAGTCCCTGGCACACAGTGTGTGCTGTACAAGCGTTTAAAATAATAACTATGCCATGAAGGCACAGGTGACGCGGGCTGGGGCTTTGTGCCATTCTTAACCACCTCTTGCTCCTACTCCAGAAAGAACATCAGAATGCACAGGTAGGCCAGGCGCGGTGGCTCACACCTGTAATCCCAGCACTTTGGGAGACTGAGGCGGGTGGATTATTTGAGGCCAGGAGTTTGAGACCAGCCTGGTCAACATGGTGAAACCCTGTCTCTACTAAAAATACAAAAATTAGCTGGGTGTGGTGGTGCACGCCTGTGGTCCCAGCAACTCTGGAGGGTGAGGCAGGAGAATTGCTTGAACGTGGCGGGTGGAGGCTGAAGTGAGCCGAGATCACATCATTGCACTCCAGCCTGAGTGACAGAGCAAGACTCTGTCAAAAGAAAAAAGGATGCACAGGTAATTCCAGGGATAACCCTGATCGTGCTCTGACTTCAATGCTGGGAATTTGGTGACTTGCATCCACATTTCCTTGCATCTGAGTGGGGTACCCAGTTGAAAACTGAGTCCTGGAGCCCTCTAATGCAAGCCTGAGGACAGGGCCACTCCTGACTAGTCTCCCTCACCCTTGCATGCCACCATGTGAATCTCCTTGCCTGGGTGAGTGCCATGCTAGGCATACCCTCCCTGGAGCCCTGGCCAGGGCAGGCAGCCGCCTCACCTAGGAGCAGCACGTCCTTGAACACCATGGATCTCTTGGTGGCTCCGAGCAGCAGGTGCTCGCCAGCATGGGCTCTGAGCAGGGCCACCTGAAAGAGAGAAGGAACAGTGTTTGCCATCTGTACCCTTGGGAAGGCTGCCCGTAGCCAACTCAGTGACGCTGGGCAAGTCAGCTTAATGCTCCCCTCTGCCTCTACCTGCCTGAACTGTGAAATGGGCATCATAAAACTACTACCCATAAAACTAGAAACCTGGAAGGGGAAAGAACATGTGCTCAGAGCTGAGAGACCTCGCGCTGACTCTGTCCTTGAACTGCTGTGTCCTTGGGCAAGAAACTGCTTCGTGCTGGGCCTCTTCTGTGTGCCTGATGAAACTGTAAGCAACATTCTGTGTGCTTTTTTTTTCTTTTTTGAGATTCTCAAAAAGGTCTATGATCCCAAAAAGTTCCAAAACTGTGGGTCCCAAATTCCCACCCATGGACCAGCTATGGAGAATTATGAAGGGTGCTTTGTAAAAATACAGATTCTATTTTTTTTTTTTTTTTTGAGACAGAGTCTCACTCTGTCACCCAGGCTGGAGTGCAGTGGCATGATCTCGGCTCACTGCAGCTTCCGCCTCCCAGGTTCAAGTGATTCTCGTGCCTCAGCCTCCAGAGTAGCTGAGACTACAGGCGTGCACCACCATGCCTGGCTAATTTTATTTTTAGTAGAGACGGGGTTTCACCATATTGCCAGGCTGATCTCGAACTCCTGACCTCAGGTGATCAGCCCAACTCAGCCTCCCAAAGTGCTGAGATTACAGGTGTGAACCACTGCGCCCGGCCTGAAAATACAGATTCTTAGGCCCTGAGATTCTGATCCTGATTTTGTATGTTTAGGGTGGGCCCAGGGATCTGTGTTTAAAAAGCTCCATAGTTGACTCTGAAGTGCAATTCTGTTTGGGAAATCATTGGTCTGGCAGATCCCTCCAGGGATCGACATTGCAGGACTCCAGGATTCTGAGAGGGCATTACAAGAACTTGGATGTGGATGTTAGGTCTCAGGGCTGGTCCTTCTCAGAGCAAATGTATGAGCACTGGCCCCTGGCAGAGAATCAGCTTGATGAAACCATTCTCTGCAGGGGGTACAAGGCAAGACTTCTAAGACTGGAGTCATAGGTAGGGGCCCAGCAAGCTCACAGAAGGACATAGCCAGCCCACTGAGAGCCATCTGCTTTAGTGCTTGCCTGAGGACCAAAGGATGGCTTGAAACAAAACAGCACCAGGCTGGTAGCCTCAAGGATCTCATCTTCTCATCTTCAAGGTTGGGTTAGGGAGTTTGGAGGTTCCATAGCAAGCCAAACTAGAAGGTTAAAATCCTTTGTTTGTTCATTAATTTGATTGTTCATTCTTTCAGTTATCAAATCCTAAATGCCTACTAAATGCCAGACACTTTTTAAGACAATGGAGGCACAATGTTTAAAAACGAGAGACAAGGTCTCTAATCTCATCGAACTAACATTTATAGGAGAGAGGATGAACAGATAGTAGAGAACAAATAAGTACAGAGGACACAGGGTGATCACAGCATAAAGGAAAGAAGGAAGGAGAAAAGGTGGGAGGAAGGGAAGGAGGGAGGGAGGGGAGTGGAAAGGATGGTGAGAGCAATGGGGCAAGAATGGCTACGTTAGATGGGGAGGTCAGAGAAGGCCTCTAAGGAGGTGAAATTGTTGTTAGAGGAAAGAAGGCATTTGTCTGAAGATATTTGGCACAAAATAAGCCTTCAATAAATATTTGAATGAAGGAAGGAAAGGGGAAATGAATGAATGAATGAGCAAACATCTTGACTTCCTCTCTAGCTCTAGCTGCTCCTGGGCAGCCACTTGTCCTTGCCCCTTCTATTCCCCATGGATAGAAACCTGTGAGGAAAACAGAAAAAGAGGAAACTGCCTGGGAGGGAAAATCCACTTTCCATGACCAGTATGGAGGGAGGCCGAGGATGCTGATTGCCAAGCGCCTCCTGCGCACTGGGCACTGTGCAAGTCTTTCATCAGTCACTCCAGTGGCCTTCACATCGCGAAGCGGAAGACCTGGATTTGAATCCCAGTTCTGTCGCTAACTTGCTCTGTGACTTCAGGCAAATTTCTGTCTCTCTCTAAGCCCCAATCTCTTTCTGCAATTGTATCCAGGCCCAAGAAGCACACCAACTGGGAATCTAGTTTCTGGGGCAATGTCAACAAAATTGGGAAGCCCTTTGGAGGACAATGCCCCCGACTTTCCCAGGGATGCCCCACCTGCATTGGGCAAGCTGGGCTCCTCATATACCAGGAATGGGGAGCTGGGAACCCTTCTGATCCCAGGTTCAACCCCCTGATATGGCAGCTGTTCTGGGGGGTGGGCCGGGAGGTCGGGGTGGTGTGTTAATGATTGTCCTGTGTTATTGGCCACCCATCATTGCTCTCTGAGAATGCTCTGAGCCCCAGCCAGGGAGGTTTGGGTGGGAAATCGAGGTTAACAATTGCTCAGGTTGGGGGTATCTTGTTGCCCTGCTAAGCCCCTGGGAAGGAACAGGAGGGATTAAACATTAATGTAGAGACTCCAGCAGAGGGGACTGGGGCCAGAGCACAAGGAACAGGGGAGAGGGTAGGGGCGGATTGTCCAAGATCCTTGCCCTGTCGACTCTGCTAATGGAAGGAGGAACCATGGAAGAGGGCCCCGGGTCCAGCCCCTGTATGAGGCTGGGGACAAGCCAAACCAGCGTTTTCACAGTGTCCCAATGTGCAGTATTAATAGGTGTTCCAGGAGAATCTTGCCGAAGGAGTTTGAGAAGCCTCGGCCTCTGCAAAGTCAAACAACTGCCTGGACGAGACTTCTCAGAAGCTTTCACAGACTCACATGCATTGTCAGTGTCTTATGCAAAGGTGCGAAACGGGTAAGCGAATGCACCAGAGTCTGTCTCCGAAGCTGAGAAGGTGGCCCAGCCCAGCTCCTCTTCCCCAGATGGGTAACATCTCTTTGGAGGCCCAGGGGTGCTCTGGGCAGGAGCTTCATAGGTGGCATCTCCGAAATTCATCTGTCCTCAGACACACGCCACCTTCCTTCAACCCTTTCTTCCCCCTAGGGACATTTCAGTATTCCAAAAAAATGTACGGTGGGAAATATGATGCTCAGTTCAATTGTTTTGGTGGGAAACACGATGCTGAGTTCAATCGTTTTGGTGGGAAACAAGGAAGAAACTAATGTTTAGGGAGACCAGCTCTGGTCTGGCCACTGTGCAGCTTGCCCCATCACCTGATTTTTGTACTTTTCAGACACCAATGTCCTCAATCCTCCCAACCACACTCTAAAGTGGATATTATCATTTCCACTTTACAGATAAGAGAACACTGAGGCTCAGAGAGAGGAACTCATTTGCCCAGGATTAGGCAGACAACCAGTCTTAGAGCCATAGCTTAAGCCAAAATCTCCTGATCCCTGTCCTAGGGTCCCTGTCAACATCCCCCTGGGAGAGCCTCAGGTACAATGGTCAGGAGCTTGGACTTTGGAGCTTCCTGCCAGGTTCTAATCCCAGCTATGCTGGATAGTAGCTATGTGACCTTGAGCAGGTTACTTAACCTCTCTGTGCCCCAATCTCCTCACCTATGAGATGGCAGTAATAATAGTACCTTAGTACCTACCTCATAGAGTTGTTGGAGGAGCTAACTGAGTTAATATTTGTAAGGTGATTTAAAGTTTCAGACACGTGTGTGCACTACATATTTTGTTAAATAAAATAAAATCAAGCCAGTCCACGGCTATATCCCAGGTGGGCCAGCAGCCCCCTGGCTGCCCCGCCCACTGCCCACTACTGCCCACCATCCACGCCCATCCTCACCTGGTCGTCCAGGGGGAGCTCGCAGAAAGCTGGGATGTACTTGGCCCACTCAACGAGAACCAGCAGCTGCTCCTTCATGGACTCACACACATCTGCGATGCTGGCAATCTTCTTCGCCCGAATGTCGCCGTTGATCCCGGAGACGGGGGAGGTGATCTTCGAGAGATACAGGGAAGAAAATGCTGGAGATGTCCGGGCCCTCCCGCACTCTCTGTCCCCTGCACAGAGCCCCCTCCCTGGAATCAGATGTGGGGAGGGGGCTGGATAGTGGGTGCCCTCCAGCTCTGAAGGAAGCTCAGGGTAAAAACGGAGGGAGGGAGGAGGCAGGGATGAGGGAGAAGGGCTCCCTCTGTGCCTTCACCTGTTACCTGCCCCCTGCCCCCTCCTCTGTCAGCTTTAGAGCCCCAAGGAGTCTGTCAGCCTTAGAGGAGAAGCAGGGCAAAAAATCATCATCCTTTTCTGACAATGAGGCAACCATGGCTCAGAGAGGTGCTGTGACTTGCCCAAGGTCACTCAGCAAGGGAAGGGCTGGGCCCCACTTTGCCACCTCTCTCCACTGAGCCACTGCTCTGTTCTCTCGGAGCTGAGCTGATCGCAGGCCCTCAGTGAAGGTGAAGACTCTGCTTGGCCTGTGGGATGCAGGCAGTAGGATGAATTAGAAAGTGCCCCAGGGCGCCAGGTTCGATTCCTGCCCTTGCTGCAAACTGGGCCATGTGAAACCGGACTCAGTGTCCCTTCTGTAATATCTGAGGCCCCTCCCGTCAGCTGCTCCAGGGCCTGGCTGGGGAGAATGGAGGTGGAGGAGGTGAGCTCCTCTGTAGTGTGGGGGATCCCTGGGTGGGTGGCAGGATCACCCCGGTACCTGTCGGGACAGGACCTCCGCCTGCAGGAGCGCATTGATGGAGGGCAGGCTGCTGTCCTCATAGCTTGACCTTCGAGTGCTGATCCGGTCCCGCTCATTCTGGACGGCTGTGAGGAGGCACAGAGAGGTGAGGAGGGAGAACAGGGATGGAGTAGGGGGTGGGGGTGTCTGTGACTGATGAGGAGTGGGAGCAGGAGGTGGGGGGTGTCCAGAGAACAGGCCCACATCAGCATGTGGAATGAGGGGAGATGGCCTCTAACTCAGCTGGTGGAAGAACTTTCCACATATCACAACTGCCCCCAACACAATGGAGAGGCTATAAGAGTGATCCACCCATCAGCAGGGGCGCGCAAGACAGTGAAGACTCGGCTATGGGTTTAAAATTGGTCTTGAGCATTGAGGAGGGGATCTGACTAGCTTAAAGATGTTCAAGCTCTGGTCTACAAAAGGGTCCCTTTCTTTCCAAATGAAAGTGAGTAAAGCAAGCAAAACAAATTACTCTGGGTGACAAGGAGATGGCCTGGGGATTCCTGAACAAGAGGATCTGGGGGCTCCAACTGCCTTGATGGTTTTGTCCATCAGCAGGAGCTGCATGTACTCCAGACTAACCTCAGCATCAGCAAGGCCAGGCGCTGTCTCCCTCCCTCCCACTGCTGCTCTGTTCCAGGCACTGAGGGATCTGGAGCCTACGCCCACCGGGGCCCCAGGCTCCACTGCCTGCTCCCATCTGGGTCAGTCCTGGCCTGAGATAGAAGATGATCCTTCCACCATCCCGACAGTGGATGGGATAGCCCTTGGAGTCCAAGAGGCCTCACTGTGGAATGAGGCTTGGCTGATTCAGAAAGGAGGGAGGTTGAAGCTGCACCAGACCCGGCTTCCTGTCTGGAACCTGCCACTCTGTGTGCCGGTGGCAATCGCAGCCTCTCTCTGGGGCTCAGTTTCCCTACCCGTAGGCATTTCCCTGCCAGCCGGCTCCCTGCACTCTTTCTCGTCTCAGGGACTGGCATCAAGCCTGGCCACCTTCCTTGGCTTCCCCTCACACCCCAGTGCTGTCGTGATCCTGACAAACAGACCTGCTGCTCCCTCCCTGCTCCCAGGCCCGCTGTCTCTCCTGGATTAGATCAGCCTCCTCCTGGGCTCTGCTTCTGCCTTGCGCCTGCAGTCTGTGTTCCTCTCAGAGACAGAGGGATCCGTTCAAGTCATGTCGCCTGCTGCTCAAAACCAGTGCCTTCCAACCTCACAAGTCCCCAGGGCCCTTCCTCTCCTCTCGGATCGCACCTTTTACCGGCTTCCCCCTACACACTCTGTCCGCGAAAACCCGCCTCCCCACCTGGACGCATCCGCACGCTTGTAGGCTGCTGTGGTCACTGCCTGGGGTTCCCTTTCCTGCACAGCGCAGCAGCATCTTCATTTCACTCCTGCCTCTGCACAAATGTCGCCTTTCAGACACCCTCTCCAGCCACCCTGTCTAACACAACATGACTCCCACCCTGGCCCTGCCCCCCATGCTTTATTTTTCTTCAAGTCACTTATTGTAGAATTATTTGTTACTTCCTTTACTATCTGTCTCTCTCTGAGAAGGAAAGCTTCAGAAGGCCAAAACTCCATCCCTCTAGTTCACTGCTGTAGTCCCAGCCACCAGAACAGGGCCTGGTTCACAGTAGGTACTCAATGAATATTTGTGCAGTGAGAGAACGAAGGCATTGGAAGAGACAAGCTCTAATTCTTTTTCTTTTTTTTTTTCGAGATGGGGTCTCATTTTGTTGCCCAGGCTGGACTGCAGTGGTGCAATCATAGCTCACTGCAGCCTCAACCTCCTGGGCTCAAGCGATCCTCCTGCCTCAGCCTCCCGAATAGCTGGGATTATAGGCGTGTGCCACCACGCCTGGCTAAATTTTTTTTTTTTTTTGAGAGACGGGGTCTCATTAGGTTGCCCAGGCTGGTCTCGAAAACCTGGCTTTAAGTGATCCACTCAGCCTCACAAAATGCTGGGATTACAGGTGCGAGGCACCACACCTGGTCATAAACTCTAATTCTTATAAGAACCCTATTTCTCCAGGGAACATTGACACCCCAGCTATTCAACTTTCTCTTGATGTTGACACATTGTTAAAATCAGAGAATAAAAGTCAAATCCTTTGCACTTGAGCCCGGGAGTCAGTGGATAGAACAGAAGTCCAGAGGCAAGCAACCTCCTCTCAGACCACCATGTGGACGGGGCCAGCTCAGAGCACGGCTTCCCTGACCGGGCCGTCCACCCCACCCGCCCACACCCCTCCCACGGCAGCCTCCTGCCAGCACCCGCACCCACCCATCAGGGCGCCGAGTGGCCGGCGGGCGGAATGAAAGGGCTGCTGTCAGCAGCTGCGGATAGGGCTCCTCAAGGTTAGGCGGGCGTTATCAGTGCCCGGCGCGAGCTCAGTCACGGAATGATGTTTTCCAAATGTTTGCTCAGTATTAGCAGGGTCGGGGACCTAATGTAACTTCTATTGAATATTAACCGACCTGGGCAGAGGCGGAGAGGTGATGAGCCTGTCTTCCCAGGGAACTCCTGGGTAGGGGGCTGTGGGGAGCAGGGCAGGGGCTTCCGAGGAAGGCCTCTTCAGATGGCCCCTGGCCCATCACCTACGCTCACCTCCTGCAACTCTGGGTCCGCTTTCTGGGCTGGGTTTTTGATGCCAGGAGCCGAATATTTGTCCTGGGCCTGACAGCTTAGGCCAAGGCAGGTGTCTGTCTCCCTGGCTTTCGGTTGCAGGAAAGAATTCTTGACCTGCTGTTGGCCCACTGACCCCCAGGGTTCTCCCTGGATTCTTTGGCCTTCCAGGGAGCCCCTTCCAGCCATGGTGGACTATCCTGTGGCAGAGACTTATAGGCCCATGAGACCTGAAGCCCCTCTCTGTGGTCGAGAGAAAGTTTCAGCCATCTAGATCAAGAAATGTGCCTCCCAAGCTGATCACTGCAAGTTTCACTCCAGGGAGCTTGGTGTCTGCTCAGCTCTGGGGAGCCTGAGTTCTAGACCTGACTCCACCCCTGACCCGTCACATCACCTCTCTAGCCTCAGTGTCCTCTTCTGTAAAGTGGGGAGCAGGTAGATTTGATGACCTCTTATAGACTCAGCTGGTCTTGAAATCCTACCTTTCCAGCTCACACTTTCTGGTTCTCAGGGACTATTTTAGGGTTTCAGTCCTCAAATTCTCCTAAGGTCATCAAGAAAAAGAAATAAAAACTTGTCCCAACTCTCCTGGCCAGTGAGACTTCCACCGAGACTTTCTTTTGGCTTTGGGAGCTTCCCAGCAGGCTGAGGAGGGGTGGTGGGGCCTAGAAGACAGGCACAGCTAGGAATACCCTCATTTCCTATGGCTTGACCACAGTGGCAACTGAACACTTTGTCACTCTGGCCCGTTCTCAAAACAACCAAGTGACTGCATGTGTCATGATCTTCCAGGTAACCCAGGCATGTAAACAAACACTAGCATCGACTAACCCACGCTCACTCGCCATCAGCCAACTCTCCTATCCTCCGGGCAGCATGTCCGTTTCCCTGGGCCAGGAAGCAAGCAGCTATTTTCAAGGCTGAGCTAAGGCTGAATGGTCTGGGGCTCTCATCCCCCTTCCAGGAGCCTAGTAAGGGGTTTGCTGGCTTTGCAGCAGCTCAAGAAAGGGCCAGGGGCCGGGCGCAGTGGCTCATGCCTATAATCCCAGCACTTTGGGAGGCCGAGGCGGATCACCTGAGGTCAGGGGTTCCAGACCAGCCTGGCCAATATGGTGAAACCCTGTCTCTACTAAAAATACAAAATTAGCCAGGTGTGGTGGCACATGCCTGTAATCCCAGCTACTTGGGAGGCTGAGGCAGGAGAATCACTCACACCCAGGAGGTGGAGGTTGCAGTGAGCCGAGATACTGCCATTGCACTCCAGCCTGGGCAACAAGAGCGAAATTCCATCTAAAAAAAAAAAAAAAAGAAGGGACCAGGGAACAAACACACCCATCCTAGTGGGCAGTGTGACTTGTGCAGGTAGGTCAGGGAGTGAGGAGCGAGACTCATAGGGCTGAAGGGTTCATTATCCAATGTCCTCATTTTATAGATGGGAAAACTAGAGCCCAGAAGAGACAGAAATGTCCCTAAATTACACAAGTGAAAATGACTCTGGATGTCTAATAAAAGACATTTATAACAACTGACCACACGCAGGACCAGGCCACACGCAGTGGAGGTGGGTAGCCATCCACTCAGGAGGGCTGCCAACCCCTCTCCCATCTGCCTGTCACAGACCTGAACTTTCACTGTGAGAGAGCTGTTCTCTCAAACACAGTGCCCTCTGGATGACACCTATGAGGAATCATAGTGCCTAAAATCTTAGGCTTTTGGGATAATGGAATCACTGACTAATACAACCACAGAAATGTTGGAACCTTAGACTGTAGTTCTCAATCTTTTTCTTGCCTCCAACTGTTCACACATGCATCAGGTTCCCATTCATAATCTTTCCCAGTCCACAAAATGGAAGTTGAAGTGGATGAGACAGGCTTAACCCCATTGAAAACTGGGTTTGGGAGAGGAGGGAGTATTTGCAGCTTAAAAAGCCCCTCTTGCCCTTGGAGAACCACTGATATCTAGATGTTAGAATTGCAGCGTTCAGAGCAGGCCTTGGGGACCACCCACTCCTGCATCGGGATCAGCAAGCCCAGATTTTCCAAGACAGCTCATGAGCCCAGACTAAGGTCCCATAAGGATGAGACATAGAAGATATTTCCAAGGGAGGGGGCAGAGAAAACAGGGGGCCAGGAGCAGATACAGGGGAAAGAGAGTCTACCAAAGCCTCCCCTCCCCTCCTTCTCAGTGGGCCCTGGAGCAAGCTGGGTCCTACGTTCCTGCTTCTGGGGTGTGCTGGGGTGATGGGGGTGAGGGGTGTTTGTACCGAACTAGCAGGACTAGACCAAGGTTTGGCTGGTACGGCACAACTGTGGGCTAGAAGGGAAGGTCTGGGACTAGTCGCAGAGCTGGGAAAGGTTGAGTTTAGAGGAGCAGGAAATGAAGAGATTCGAAAATGAACTCGTTACTTTTTTATTTTTTTTGAGAGAGTCTCGCTGTCTTGCCCAGTCTGGAGTGCAGTGGCATGATCTCAGCTCACTGCAACCGCCTCCTCTTGGGTTCAAGCAATTCTCCTGCCTCAGCCTTCCGAGTAGCTAGGACTACAGGCATGCACCACCACGCCCAGCTAATTTTTTTGTATTTTTAGTAGAGACGGGGTTTTACCATGTTGGTCAGGATGGTCTCGAACTCTTGACCTCAAATGATTTGCCTGCCTCGGCCTCCCAAAGTGCTGGGATTACAGGCCTGATTCACTGCGCCTGGCCTCAAGTTACTTTAAAGCAGTTAAAAGATTTTTGCTTCCCTTGCTTGGGCTGAAAACAATTTTAAATGTCCCTGGTATCTGGAGAGCATAAAATAATAGACAGTGCTGAAGTGTGGTCCAAATAGCAGAAGCTCTGGGACTTCAGATCTTCCAAGGATCAGTTGTGGGGCCCTAGGCAAGTTGCTTAACCATTGTGGGCCTCAGTTCCTTCATCCACAAAAAGGGAGGAATTGTAATAGGTTCAATGGGCTGGGCTCATTTCATTTTCACAACATTTTCCCATATAGGGTTGTCATGAAAATGAAATGAACCCAACCTACTGAAGTGTGGAAAAAGCACAGCCCAGTGACTGATACCTGCTGGTAGCAGGAAGCCTGGCAAGACCTTAATAAATGTTGTGCTCTGGTCTTCTCCTCCTTTGTCCAGGATGGGTCTGGGGTCTTGTTCCCATTTTCTAGAATGTGAAGACTTTGGAGATCACGTGATACCCACGAATGAATACTAAGGGAACTGGGGCATTTGTCCCTGGGACCGGAAGCTCAGGCATCGGGCTCCTCTGGCTGTCCCTTTTGTAAAGTTGGGATAGTGAGTACTCAGATGTTTGCAATATCATTCTCTATGCTTGTCCTAACGTTCGAAATATTATATTAAACACACACACACACACACACACACACACACACACAACGTGGCTGCTTTGTGGTGGCGCAGACAGGCAGGCAGGGGTGGTGGTTGCTGGGAGCCTGAGGAGCCAAGAGTGGGAGCTTATCTCTCTGAAT
Organism: Homo sapiens; assembly: GCF_000001405.40. NCBI lineage: Eukaryota > Metazoa > Chordata > Mammalia > Primates > Hominidae > Homo > Homo sapiens. Next base: position 44,407,664 of record NC_000020.11, on the reverse strand, counting down.
CTTTCTCAAGACCAAGCCCAGCCGCTCCCTATGGTCAGATTTCCAGGCCCTCCCTCTTCTCAGCCATTAGCCAGTCACCCTGGGGCCTGCCACTGAGTCATAAAGTGTGGCTACAGTTGTAAATGACTGTCGGGGAGCTGTGGGTGCAGGTGGGGCAGTGGTGGTGGGGCGGGGAGGGCCGAGGCTCACCTTCCTTCTTCATGCCAGCCCGGAAGCATTTCTTGAGCCTGCAGTAGCGGCACTGGTTCCTCTTGTCTTTGTCCACCACGCACTGCCGGCTAAATCTGGGGAGGGCTTTGGATGGTTGGATGGAGAAGACACAACTTCCTCCTCTTAGGACAGAACTAGGGCCCTGGCTATCCAGTTGACCCCCCAACCTCAGTGCTCTCATCTCTTCATCCCGGGAGTTCTCTCTTGAACCCACCAGGAGCTGGAAAGGTGCTATGAACTCTCTAAGAGCCCAGTCCTGTCCTGCTAAACATGGGAAAACTGAGGCTCAGAGAGGCAACATGTGGTCCTGGGTCGCTCTGCTGGTTGGTGTTAGAGCTGAGTTGGGAACCTTGACCTCTGGAGTACCAGAGCCCTGCTATTTCCACCACATCCTATAAAAGCTCAGAACCCATAGCAGGCTCCTGGTTATGGCTCAGAGTTAATACTCGGTTCACATAAGCCTCTCTCTGGAGGGGGATAGGAAGTAGAGGCAGTGCCACACCGTGGTGATGGGTGGGGCCCTGAATGTTAACCCTGGCTCTGCCAGTGATTCAAGCTGGTTGACCTTGGGCAAATGCCTAGCCCTCCAAGCCACAGCTTCCTCCTCTATAAAATGGGAATAACAACAGTAACCATCTCACAGGGGTGTTGACAGGTGAAATGAAGTCATGCGCCGATGGGGCACAGTCTTTGTACATGACAAGTGCTCGCAATTGACAGCTGCTATGATTTTATTATTGTCATTACCCAGAACAGGAGATGCTTTCGAAAGAGGGCTCTCCAAGGCCTTGGGAAGACTTTGGGGTTGGTGGAAGCCCCTGGGGTAGGTGGAACGGCCTGGGGTCAATCTCCTATTTGTCCCAAAAACAGCACCAGACTGGAAGACGGGCTCATCTACTGAGGCTTCAGGAGAGGCCCCATGGAATGGGAAAAACAACAATGGGCTCAAGGGGATGGGTAAATACACACAAAGACTTAGTATTGTGCCTGGCATATGATAAGAGCTCAATAAACGGCAGCCAGTAGCTTGATGATCAGTAAATGTGGTTCCTAGAATAGATGCTCTTCTTGGATTCACAAAGTCTTTTACAAAACCAGAAGAGCCTTGAAGGCCCTGAAGGGCAGCTGTCTCTGGGACCTACCCACTCAGGGAGAAGACAGACCTTGGGGCCATGAGCCCAAGTGTGCCCATTTCCCAGCTGAAGAAATTGAGGCTCCTCACCTGCAGGAGTACATGTGGTTCTTCCGCACGCTCCTCCGGAAGAAGCCCTTGCAGCCGTCACAGCTCGAGGCACCGTAGTGTTTGCCCGTGGCCCGGTCCCCGCAGATGGCACACAGGGCGCTGACACCCAGGCTGTTGGGCGCGTTGAGGTTGGTGCCTTCTGATGGGGACGTGTCTGCGCCAGGAGAGAAGGGAGTGAGGCTTCAGGAAGAACAGAATGTCAGGCATCTAAGGGAGCCTTGCGGGGATCTCTCCAGGGCTTCGGCCTCAGCCAGATCTGGGGGCTGTTCCCACTCCATCACCTCCCCACTCAGTGACCTCCTGACTTTTTGGAGCTTCAGTTTCACATCTGTAAACTGGGGCTGGTTGTGACTTCACAGACTTGTTTCTGAGGGTCTGCGTCTTCCTGTGGTGGAGGCCACGAGCCCCAGCTTTCTCTAGGAAGGCATGAAAACCTGGCCACCTTCTGGGGTGGGAGCCGGCCTCCTAACTCGCAAGGGGGCTGTGGAAGGGAGAAACATTCCCCTGCATTTTCCCCAGAACCAGGTCCTGTCCCTCAGTTCTTGCCAAGGGACCAGGGCTGGGTGGATCTCAGCTTGTGTGCCCAGGGGCCCCGCAAATTCTCTGAGGAACGAGAAAGACTTGGGCCGAGAACAGTCACACTCATGTGGCCTCCTAGGAGGGTCTGGACACATCTCCCATCCCTCCCATCCCACAGGCAAAAGCTACTGCATCTACACAAATGTGAGGGGGGCCGTAGAGGCAGGTGGAAAGAGGATCTTGGGCTGGGTGCCAGGAGTCCTGGGCACTACTGCTGATGCTGCCACTAACTCGCCTGTAAACTTGGGCAACTTCGCTTTCCCTGCTTCAATTTCTTCTGGGCCTCATTTTCTCTAACCATAAAAGGCAGCAGTTTGACTGGTCTGTTTCCAAATTTAAAAAATTTAAAAAATTTAAAAAATTTGTTTCCAAATTTAAAAAAATAGCAGCAGCTGAACCCCCTTTATTTGTCAGCAAATCTTTCAGCAAAGATAGACCCCTTTGAAGAAGATGACAAATGCAATGGGTCAGCCCCCGGGAAAATGCAAGCGTGTGTGCCACACAGTCCACACACACGCACACACGCTACGCACAAGCACACACACGCACCACACAGTCCACACACACGCACCACACAGTCCACACACAAGCACACACACGCACCACACAGTCCACACACACGCACACACCACACACAAGCACACACACACCTTACACACCACAGTCCACACACACCACACAGTTCCCACACACGCACACACACCACACACAAGCACACACACACCACACACACCACAGTTCACACACACCAAGCAGTCACACACACGCGCACACACACCACACAGTCACGCACACACACACCACAGTTCACACACACCACACAGTCCACACACCACACAGACACACGCACACACACACATATATACACACATGTGTACACATACAGTACACACACATGAACACAGAGTCCACACATAAGCACACACACGCTCCACACACATGCACACACATACACACAGTCCACACATGCACACAGTCCACATACATTGCACACACTTGCACATAGTCCACACACATGCATACATACAAACACATCAACACACACATATACAAATGTGTGCACACATACAGTCCACACATATACATACACATACACACAGTCCACACACACATGCTCACATGCACAAACATACACACATACACAGACACACACACACACACGTGTATTCATAGAAATCCTGAATCCAACCTTGGATTCCTCAGGGGCATCCAGTTAAGACCCAGAGAGGGCCATGCACTGTAGGTAACAGCACAGCCTCTGAAGTCCTTCTGCCCAGGGTTCAATTCCAGCTTGCCCACTTTTTAGCCGTGTGACATTGACTGTGTTCGTTTACTTCTCTATGCTTTTGTTTCCTCACTTGTAAAATGGGGAACGTGATATTCCCCTAGGTTCGTTATGGGGATTCGGTGAATTCTCATATGTGTATGTGAAGTGCTTGGCACATAGTAAGCACTATATCAGTGTTCATGAAATAAAAACTTTTCCACATAGGAAAACTCTCGGAGCAGAGGACTTCCAGGCTCCTTGCACAAGCAGACACTGCCGCATCTCATTTCTGCCATCGCAGACTCCCAGGTGTCCCCAGGAGTGCAGCCCCCTCCACTTGGTGAATTATTCCTGGAGATGGGGATAATTGTTAAGCCACGTGGGTGCCCTTTCTCCCTCGGCCTCTCCTCCCCCGACCCCCGGGGAGAGCTGACCCCCACAGCTCCTGGCCATTCAGCAGGAGGCTGGGGAAGTAGCTCCCACCTCTGAGGCAGGATGGGCTGGGGGCTGTCAGCTCTATCATCTCCCCTCTGAGGTCAGCCGAGCACCTCTATTCCACAGATGAGGACACTGAGGCTTAGAGAGGAAAAGTGGCTTCCTGGTGTCATCGCACTGCTTCCCGTGAAGCAGAGCCATGGGTTTATGGTCCAGGCTTGCTGGGCTACTCCAGCCAGTGCCACACATGTTGAGGTGTCTGCTGGGCCTCTAATGAACAAGGAGCCACCCAGGGCTGCTGCTCCATTGGGGTGGGGAGAGGACGGGGGAGAAATATCCTTGGAGCCTTTCAGACACCAGCCCAGGATGTACTCAAAACACTTCAGAGGACAACTTCACATAACCCCAATTCAGACCACTTCAAACTCCAGTGAGGAATGTGGGGACCCTGCTTACAGATGCTCAGAGCCCTTGAGATGACCCATGGTGGGGCCAGGCCCTTTACCAGGGCTAAGCACCCAGGCACCTCATCTTATTTATCCTCTGGCCAGCCCTGGGAGACAGACACTATTATTTATTCCCATTTTATAGGTGAGGAAACTGAGGCTCAGAGAGGAAATTGCCTTGCCACATTCACACAGGTTGGAAGGATCTATGCCGGATTTGAGCCCAGATCTTTCTGGTTCCAGAGCTGGAGGTGGTCTTGTCTTTGGGACTCCCAGTTCAGGGGCTTGGCCTCTGCCTCAGGAGCACACAGTTCCTGGGCTTGGAAAAAGTGATGGGGGCGGGGAGCAGCCCAGGGCAGGGCAGTGGTCCTCGTGGGGCCACACAACACTCCACCTAGTGCAGCAGCAGCTTGTTTGCTATCTCTGGTGTGTTTTTGCCTTGCGCTCCTGGCGTGGTCCTCAGACAGGCCTAAAAGCCGTCCAGCCAGCAGGCCTGGGGGAATGAAGCCTGTTTTGTAGAAGATACAGAAGCCAGGATAGGGGAGGTGACATGCCCAAGGTCACACGTGACTGGACGGCAGGGGCAGGTGAGCACCTGCTGAGCTGACAACAAGCAGTGCCCAGCAGCTGCCTCCTCACCCTAGCTGAGCTGACCACAAGATTCCAGACCTCAGCTGGAGCTGCAGCCTCATACTGGCTGAGTGGCTCCAAGACACAGAAGGAAGCAGGGTGGCAGGCTGACCTCAGCCAGCTGCCTGCCCCCTCTCCTCTGAGGCTGGCCTGGGACCGATGGGGCTCTTCCCTCCAGGAGGGGTTTCCGGGCCTCCTCTTTTCCCCTACCTCCCTGTGGAGAACTGTCCACCCCTCCAGATATGCTCCAGTGATGTCGGAGGGGATGCCTCAATCTGGCGAGACGCAGCGGCAACAAAATCTGCTCAGAGACAAACGGACATGTTGCTGATATGAATCTCACTTGGTGAGTGGCAACAACAGAGTCCTGCATTTGGGTCTGTGCAGTCGTGCACACCAGAGACCGCTGACCCCCGCCCGCAGCACAGGGAACTGCATATATACACAGCAGGTACAAATATGGGCACACGACAAAACGCCCATACAGGATAAAGATGCAGGAAGAACAGGGCACTCCAACAGGTCCGCATGCACAAACGCATGTGCTCTATGACCCGCACACACAGCACACATGTACAAACATCCACAGACACAAGTACACACACATACACACTTACATACATAAGCAAGATCAACACGGGCAACTCCTAAGACACAAACACAGACCCACTCAATGAATACAAAGGAAAATAGACCCAGAACTCACACACAGAGACAAATGAACACACATATGCAAATGGGTTCCTGAAGGCATCACCCCACCCATACAACCTACATGGAAACTCACTATCACACACGAACGCACACACAACACACACAGTGCTGAGTTGGCTTCGTAGTTAGCAAAACTTCCCTGAGAGCTCCATTTTCCCTAAGTGCCAATTTCATTTCCCTAGGAAAGTCCCAAAGACACCGAGAAATGCGGTTATGTCTCCAACCACCATCTCCAGGGATACAACATCCCTTGCCGTCTCTCTGAACCTAGGCCCAAGGGGTTCACGAAGGGGCCGTGCTGGGCTGAATCGCTGGAGCTGGGCACCAAGGGGGAGCTCACCATCACGTCACTGTGCCAAGCGCCAAGCAGAGCCACTGTGAGGCAGTGAGGACTGGAAGGGCCTGGGAGGAATAGCCGGGATCGACTTTTGCTGGAAATTGGCCCTTGCAGGCCTCCCTTCACCCAGAATGCCTGTGATCACTGTGCCTGGGCACATGGGCTTCACTTGGCAACACCTGTGCTGGCCTGTAGGACCAACCTACCATTTTGTATCATTCTCCTCCCACCCCAAAGTTGAGTGCCAAAGATCTGCTCCTGGACCCAGGCACACCTGCCCCCACTGGCACACCTGGGCACATCTGCCCCCACCTACCATTGCCCATCGTCAACACCTGCACATTCTCAAATTCCAGGGTGGTGTAGGCTGGGTCCAGTGCAGCACTGTAGTCGGCCATGTCCATGTCGACGAGGGTTTTGGAGAGTCGCATTCTCCCTGCCTCCACGCCGCGGCCACCTGCCCTACCCTGGGCGCCCACCCCGAAGGCCCCCGCCCTCCGCCCTCCCACTGCCTCCTCCCAGTGCCCTCTCTGCCTTCCTTTCAAACCGTCCTCTGGGAAGATCTGCTGGGAGTCTTGGCCTAGCCTCTGTGAAGGGGTGGAGGCTCTGCCGGGGAGGGGTGGGGGTTAATGGTTAATCGGTCCCCCGCCGGTGGATAGGCTGGGCGGGGCTGCAGGGATTTGGCTGTTTGTTGGTTTCTGGCTGACACCCGGGGTGCTAATTACAACTGCTGGGGCCCTAACTCACCGATGTTCAGTTATCAATTGTACAAGGCAGGCATCATGACTCACGGGCACTCATTTGACCCTTGACTCACCCACCCCTCCAAGCCATTGTCACCCCAAGTCAGGCATTCTAACTGATACTATCAGGCACTGACAGCCTACCTCCGAGATCCCCTAATTCAATAACTTCCCAAATCATTGACTTCTACCCTCAATGCTTTTGCAGAGATAAGGCTGCCCCATGGCCCACGATTTAGAAACCTAAATCCCAGGCCCCAGATGCCAATCTTCTGGATCCTTGTTCTGGGAGCTCCCTTCCAGTTCCCCCGCAGTTTCCCGGTTCCCCTGGGAGCAGAATGGACTGGAAGTTTGGGAGGGCCAGATTCACCTCCAATTCCCCGCTCCTGCTCCCTGTGATCCCACCCTGCCCCTCTCCGTCTCCCACAGCTCCCAGTGTTTCTGGCCCAGGCTGGCTCCATCTCGGATTTTCCCATCACATTCTCCTGTTTCCCTCACCCCCACCCCCTCCCGGAGCAGGCAGAGACCTGGATTTACATTCAGGCACCTACCGTCTACTAACTGGGACCTTGGGTAAATGATTCTCCTCTCCGAGCCTCAGTTTCCTTTTCTGTAAAATGTACAATCAACTTCAAAGGGTGGTTTGAGAAGGAAATGAGATGGCATAAATCAAGCACCAAGTGGGGCCTGGTAGACGTCCATCCTCTTCCCCCTCCTCCCTCTCCCTGTTTCGTATCCCCCTTGCCATCCCCCTGTTTCTCTCCACCCGTCTCCTACCTTCAGAGTGGGCTTTGTGGGGGTATCGCCAGTGCAGTCACAGGCAACCCAACCCTTAGAAAGTCCTGGTTCCTGGTTCAGTGCTCTGCTGTGGTTGTCCTAAAATTCATCATGACTTTTGAACAAGGGATTGTGCATTTTTGTTTTGGACGGGGCCCTGAAAATTACACAGCTGGTCCTGGCTGTCTGAAGCTCATGGTGCACTCTGTTCTTCTCACTCCCTCCAGCCCTCATTGCCTTCTGTGCAGACATTTTCAAGGGCTGCCAATCAATCTGGGGAAGTAAAGTCTTGATGTAGAAGGCAGAGAGTGAGGGCAGAGGAAGAAAAGCCTGAGACTTGGGAGGCCTGGGAGCCTGTCCTCCACTGCTGGCTGGAAGGGCAGGTTGGAGGGCCTCGGTGACACCTGTGAGCAAGAGTGGGCGAATTAGTGGGAGCACCAATTAATGAGTGAGTGTGTGGGGGAATTGATGAGTGGGTGAATTAGGAGTGAGTGAATTAGAGACAGGGAGAATTAATGAGTGAGTTGAGTGAATGCATGAATGAGTGAGTGAATGAACGAATGAGGGTAAATTACTGAGTAAGTGAGCAAATGGGTGGGTGAATTAATGAGTGAATGGGTGGGTGAATTAATGAGTGAGTGAATGAGTGAATGTGTGGGTGGATTAATGAGTGAGCAAATCGGGAGTCAGGGCATGTGTGTTCGAGTGGTATGAGGAGGCATCTTCATGTTCTTTCCACTGCTAGAAGCCCTTTCTCTGCCCTGCTTAGCTTTATTCTGTCCACTTGATCTGACCTCTGAAGCTGAGATGACTGGGGAGTGCTATTGCCTGTAGGGAAAGGGGAGAGGGAGCAACTGTTGTGGAGGACAAGAGAGGCTAGATTTGATGTCAGGAGACCTGGGGTTAGGAACTAGCTCAGTCACTATTCCGATAACTTTATTTACATCGTCTCTTCTCAGGGCTTCAATTTCTCCCTCTGTAAAATAGAAAGATGATCCTGGCTCAGTTTTCTGTTAGCCAGGACAAGACTCTGAGGGAGGGAGCAAGAGGCAGCCCCCTGCAACCCACACTATGAGACTTGATAAGGGGCTGAAAGAGACCAAATACCGGCGGGTTCCTCCCATGCCTACCTCAGGAGTATCTGACCTGGCTCCACCGGCCTTGGGGGCAGTGCAGAGGTGGGAAGAAACAGAAGATCCGACCAAGGGGTAAACACAGAAGAGATGTGGAGGGCAGCTCCGGGAGGAGCCTCCAAGGGCTGAGCCCAGGCCTCTGCCACCTGCCTGGCACCTATGGCAGGCCACAGGCACAGCTACTCCCCACACAATCCAGGAATACATGGCCTCTTCCACTCTGAGGCACAGTTCCACATTGCTTAACGGGGAATGTGATCAATGTCATGTCAGAATTTCATTGGCAACAAAAATAACAATGCATTTTTCCATAGATGACATCTTAGATTCAATTAAATAAGGTCTACGATCAACCAAGATCAACCACACCATGCCACAGCCATGACCCGTTATATCCAAGAGCTACTAGGTGGACACTGCAAATGAAGAGCTATTAGATACATGAATCATGACATACCTGACTTACCAAATGCACAATCTGCATGACTGCCTAGGAGGCACATTCTAGATTCACATCCCACCACATTATAACCTACCCCATAAGTAAATCTATCCACTCATCACTGTAAATTGCATAATCTATTACATACATGATTCATTCCACCCTTAGCCAACGCCAAACAGTATCTCCTAGATACACATTCCTCATATAAATGACGCACCACCTATAAGATCTGCTGGCTCTGTGACCTCAGGCAAGCTATTATTTCTTTTGTTCTTGTTGTTCATTGTTACTACATAGTTTATTTAAACCAAGCTATGATAATACAGCTGCCCAGAATCTTTGTGGATTACAGATGCAAAGTAACTGGAGACGTGTCCTTGCACCTATAGTTCAGTAATAGACAGAAAGTTTGTTACATTTACTAAGTACAGAGAACTGAATACACATGACATTGTACATCCATCTTTTTGCTTTGTATTTCCATTTTAAACATATGTATGTTACAACTTTACATTTTAAATATGACTCCATGTATTTTGTGACAATGGCTAAGAACGCAATGATCCCATGCCCCTGAAATAAGCACACTTTGGTCTGCAATGCAGAATGTTTTCATTGGGGTACCAAACAAACCCTTAACACATAACAGACAAAAACTCCTTAAAAATCAGATTTAATACAATGTTCTTCATGTTAGATAAGGAGAAAGAACGGGAGGTGGAAAAGGAAAACATTGGGGTACTTTAAATGTACAGTGTCTTGAGACCTTGAAAGTTTCAGGCCAGGCACAGGGGCTCACACCTGTAATCCTAGCATCTTGGGAGGCCGAGGCAGGCAGATCACCTGAGGTCAGGAGTTCAAGACCAGCCTGGCCAACATGGAGAAACCCTGTCTCTACTAAAAATACAAAAATCAAAAATTAGCTAGGCATGGTGGCATGCCCCTGCAGTCCAGGCTACTTGGGAGGCTGAGGCAGGAGAATCACTTGAACCTGGGAGGTGGAAGCTGCAGTGAGCCGAGATTGTTCCACTGCACCTGGGTGACAGAGCAAGACTCTGTCTAAAAAAAAAAAAAGAATGTTTTCTTCAGGGGATGAAGAGACGTTGGTTCATGGGTACAAAAATAAGTGAGATAGAAGGAATAAGATCTAGTTCTTATAGCACAGTAGAGCGATTATAGTTAACAATCATTTACTTTATATTTCAAAATAGCCAGAAGAGAAGATCTGAAATGTACCCAACACAAAGAAATGATAAATGTTTGAGGTGATGGATATCCTAAATACTTTGCATGGTATGCATGTATCAAAATACATGTGCTCCATATATATGTACAATTATTATGTATCAATTATAAAAAGTTTCATTCCCTTCCTCCAAGGGATTTTTTTTTTAACTAGTGGAAAAAAGAAAGCAACTTCATAACGCCCTCCAGTGAGGAAGAACATTATCCTGACAATGCTTAGGTGCTTTCATATGAGCACATAATAAATACAGGAAGTCACAGAGCAAATGTCACAGTATTGGTTTGGTTTTTATTTCTATGCTTATAAAAAATATTAAGCTTCTTTCTGTGGACTGAGTGGGTGTTAGCCTGTGGGTATTGGTCTCTGGTGCCTGTATACCAGTGACTATTTATATTCCAAGCCCAGGGCCAGCTGTCTGCACAAGGCAAGTTTTTATTTCGAAGCCTTGGTTACTCCTTCTGTACAAGGGGTCTAACTTGTCGTTTGTCGTGAAGATTAAATGAGAGAGTAGATAAGCTTCTTAGCCTCTCTTCCCCTGACCTCTCTTTAGGGGAATAAACCACAGACCTTGTGGGTCAGATAGATCTAGGTTAAAATCCAGGCAGTGCCAATGTACCAAACTCTGTGACCTCAACTTCTACTTTTCTCAGCCTTAGTTTAAGCATCAGAAAAATTGGGTTGATACCTTCTTTGTAGGGATGGTTCAAGCATTAAATGACCACGTGTAGGCATACAGTACAATAGTAGCAATCACTGTCATTGGTCATTGATTGCATGACACACTGGCCACATAATCAGTTGGAATCAGGACCCCTGCTCAGGACAGCTCCAGGTACCACACACCCAGCCATGAACAAGCACTAGCCTCAATGCCATCAATTTAGCAGCTGTTCTTTACCTCTGCTCACTTGCTGTCGGGCCCCAGCTCAAGAGGCAGCAGATTCCAGGGGATAGCAGAGGACCTCAGAGCCCACAGAGAGACCCAGTTGAGACGGGAAGGGATTGCCCTGGGCAACCTGCAGTTGGGGAGGCATGTGTAGGGAGCTTGTGCCTCTGCTGTGGACGGTGGTAAGGGAGCTGCCACTACGAACCACATTGTTTCTCTTTTACATTATAATAAGGTCTAATGTTTACAGAGAAATTTTGTGCTAGCCCTGGTGCTAAAAACCTTCTAGCCTTCTCATATTATCTGCCTGTTGAGATAGGGGCTATTGTCATCCCCATTTTAAAGATGATGAAATTGAGGCTCAGAGAGGTGAAGTGACTTGCCCAAAGCCACACAGCTCGTAAGGGAGGGGCTGTTGTTTGAACCCGAGTCTGCCTCCAGAGCTTGAGGGCTTCACCCCTCTACGCATTGCCTGCATCATGACTCCTGGAATCCCTGAAAGGACTTCGGAATTCTAAGGCACTGGAGCTGGTGGTTTCACTGCCTCAGTCTTGCAGGGGAACTCAAGGACCTGAGAAGTAAAGCACCTTATCCCGGGGTATAGGCAGGGGCAGGGGCATCCTCCACACGCCTGGCCACCCCAGGGCTGCTTGGCATCTTCACTTCCCCTTGGCGCTCACCACACCATTATCTCCTATCTTTTCTTCCCCACCCACCACTCCGGGAGAGGTGCAGAGAAAACTGGGACTTATCAAGACAAAGAACAAAAGTCGTGGAGGAAAGAAGCCAAGAGCCATCTCTACTCTGGGGTAGGGCCCTTCAGTTTTGCCCCTTTGAAATTTCAAATTCCAGTTTGTGGACAAAGTCCTAACTATCTCACAATATAGGTCCCCAACCACTGACCAAACTCCAGTCCAGGCAGCCACCAGCTGGCCTGGTCTTGCTGCTTCCTTTAGCGGCTTCCAAGGTCCAGGGACAGGGGGTCTGGGCCACCAAGAGGCTCTGCTAGGCTGTCCCTGCAGCCACAGCCACCCCACTGGACCCCTGCCTCCCATCTGAGAGGACAGCCCTCTTCCTGGAGCTGGGATCTGACACTTGCTGATACCAACGGCAGATACCAGGTAGGTCCCCTCCCTTTCTCTTCCTTGAGCTCCTAAAATGCCACTCATACCACCCTCTGCACTCGGCAAAGGCCACTGTGGCTTAATCAAATCAGGCACCCACAAAGCTTCAAGACTGGAAAAGATGCCTTGGCTAACCCACCCATTTAGTGGACGGAAACACTGAGGCCGTCAGGGGAGTGGCAGCTGGCCACAGACTGAACCATAGACTTGGGGCCCAGACCTGGGGCCCCTCACGGAGCCTCAGAGGGTGAAAGGGACTTGCTCAAGTCCACGCAGCGGTGGTGGGTGAGCTTTGTCTTAACAACGAGCACTTTCTACTTCATCACAGACCATGAGTGGCATTGTGTTTGTTCACCCGATGATGGGTGGCCACTGGCTTGTTCACCCGATGATGGGTGGCCACTGGCTTGTCACAGGAGTATTTCCGAGAGGAAGATGAGGGAGCTTGGGGCTGAAGGCCAGTGGGTTTGGAAGGAAGCAACATTCATGTGGTTAACTGATAACTGGGCCCCATCCCTGGGCCTCCTTCCTCCCTCCCTGTCCTTAGCCTGATTAAGACCAACTTACCCAGCTGCTAATCATTGCTGAGCCTGTTGATTTTGCCTTAAAAAATTAACTGGGCATGAGTTTGCGGTTTTCCTCACCCCTAACCCTGAAAAGGCCTGGGTGGGCAGGAGGCCTCCAGGGTTATGCAAGAGGCCGCTGGCCTCCCAACGCATAGCCCACGGCCACCTCGGCTGCTCTCCAAAGAAGAGGCTTTGCTCAAGAGTCAACAGTCTGCTTGTTCCCCCTGTGCTGGGTCCTGAGCAAATTTGCTCTGTTACCAAAGAGAGATAAAGGCAGCTGGGGGAGAGCTTTCCAAACAGGGATGGGAAGCGGCAGCTTTGAGCTTGGGGTTCTAGAACTCTGCAGTGTCAGAGCCAGGAGAATCTTTAGGAGGATGTGGGCTGGGGTTTTTCAAGCTGGGTTCCGAGGCTCCCAGGAGCCAAGGGTATGCATCCACAGGCCCAGCTTCAACCAGCGACTCCCTTTTACATGTAGTCTTAATATTTTATTTGAGGGTTGGAAAACCACTGATTCAGCCCCATCCCCTCATTGCACAGATGGGGAGATGGAGATCAGAGGGGGAAGTGACTTGTCCAAGGACAGAAGGTCACCTCGGGTATTCAGGGGCTCCAGCCAGCATGGGAATGAATGGTGGGCTCTCTGTGGACCCGGGCAATGTCTTGAAAGACATTGGTGAACAAGACGGCTCTGCAAACGCCTTGCCATGCCGTTCTCCCCCTCCTCCCAGGGCTGGCTGGAAGCAGAGAGGTGCCTGAGAGCCATTGGAAGACCCAAGTCAGGGGAATGCACCTGGCTCTGTGTCCCATGGGCCCTGTGAGGATATGACCAGCAGCCAGGCACTGCAAACCGGAGACTACGTTATAATCCATCTCAGCCACGTCCTGTCTCTGGAGGCATCAGCACTTTGGGAGGCTGAGATGGGAGGATTACTTGAGCCCAAGAGTTTGAGACCAGCCTGGGCAACATAGTGAGACCCTGTGTCTATTTTTTAAAAAGATTTTTTAAAATTAAAGACAGATGCCCAGTCCCTATCACAAAAAAAGATGTAGAGCCCTGCCCTGACTCTCTCCACCTCTCTGAGCCTCAGTTTCTTCACCTGTAAATTGGGAATTATAATACTTAACTTCCAGGGTTGTCATGAAAATGAAATGAAGCAAAATATACACATTGATCATCATGGCCACTGGATATGCAGCTGTTTTAGGAGCTTTGCATGTGTTACTTCCTTGATCCTCCCAGCCACTCTGGGAGGTAGGCAATGTTTTCACCAATTTTTTACACACCAGAGGCACAGGGAGGTTGAGCCATATACCCATGCTCACACAGCTGATGAGAAACAAGAAGTGGAATTGGAACTTGGGCAGTCTGTCTCTAGAGTCTGTGCCTCTAACTCCAGGGCTACCCTTCCCTTCCAGGGATGCCAGTGAGAGATGGCCAGGAGAAGGGCAGAGAGCAGGGCACTGTGGGAGATGCTGACTGTAAGGCTCCGGAGGTAGGGCAGAGAGTATGGTCTGGAGAATGATCAGGAAGGAAGCCAGGAGGACTTGGATCTGTGTGGGTGGAGCTTCTCCGCAGGCTGCCTCCTGCCAGGTGGCTTATGACATCTGGGCTGAGGGTGTTGCTGTCCTCCTGTTTATGTTCATCCCTCCTGTTTATGTTCCTGAATTTATCTGCAGGGGTGACCTTGGGAATTAGATGCGGCCTTCCCGGCCCTTGTGGGGCCTGAAGGCTGATGGGAGCCCCTGCCTGACCCAGACTCTGGTTTGGGGAGTGAGGGCTGAGCCCACATCCCAGAAGCCACCCTTGGTCTCCCCATACTCTTGTTCTGAGGGGCCCCAGGGATTTGCCAGGTCACTAAGGTGAAGTGTTTGGAAGTCCTGAGGCTCAGATCAGAGTTACTGCCCTGTACAGTTGTGCAGGTTGCTCACTGCACAAAGGTTCTCCAGCCAAGAGGGCAGGTAGGGATGGAAACCCAGCCCTTGTTCCACTTGCCAAGCGAAGTGCCCATGGAGCTCTGCCTGCCCAGAGTGGGGTGCCTTTTTCTTATTTGCCCTAGGGCTTCATGTAAGCTGCTGGGTGTCCTGCCCCAGCTCTGGTTCCAGCCACTGTGTGTCCTTGGGCAAGGTCATTTCCCTCCCTGGCCTTGGTTTCCCATTGGAGAAGTTTTGTCTAACAAAGCAGAGACTCATCTCTGAAGATGAAATAGAATCATCTGAAACCTTTAAAATATACAGATGTTGGCCGAACATGGTGGCTTACACCTATAATCCTAGCACTTTGGGAGGCTGAGATGGGAGGTTTACTTGAACCCAGGAGTTTGAGACCAGCCTGGGCAACATAGTGAGACCCTATGTCTATTTTTTAAAAAGATTTTTTAAAATTAAAGACAGATGCCCAGTCCCTATCACAGATCAATGATCGAATCTTGGGGTAGGGGTGGGGAGGTGCCAGGCGTCTATATTTTTGTGCAGCCAATATTGAGACCCACTGTAGGGGGGCTTCAAATTTGAACCTGGAAAGCCTTCGATGGCATCAAGTTCTATCACTTACTACAACTTACTAGTCAAAACCTCAGCGAGGCTCAGTTTTCCCATCTGTAAAGAGGGAATGATGATCGTTTCCTCACAAAATCAAAATGCCAATTAAATGAGATAATGTTCAGACAGTGCTTGGCACCATGTTCCCCAAGTAGGGAGCTCCTGATTCTTGCTACCAAGACTATTATTGTTGTTATGGGCAATTTGACGTTGACAAAATAAAGGGCCTTTCTAGGTCAAGGATTCGGTGACTTGAAGACAGGCCTCCTCTGTTGCTTTGAGTCAATTTCTAGTACCTGGGCCTAAATCTTGACTGCACACCGGTCATATTATTGAGGTATGTGTTATTATTATTATTTAATATTTTACTTAATTTGTGAACATCTTTACATTTAGTTTTGAATTGGTGCTACATTCGCATGGTTCAGAATCAAAACATAAAAGGTGTAAATTGAGAAGTCTTGCTTCCAGCTGTCTCCTGTTCACCTGTTCTCCTTGACTTCCTCACTATGGGGAACCACATCCCTTACAGATGTATCTGCCAAGGTTTCTTTATACAGACCAGATAGCATGTAAGATCATACATGAGTAGCCTCTGCTCTTACACTGTTCTGTATCTTGTTTGGTTCATTTAATATCACAACCTGGAGATGCTTCCATAGCAGCTGAGAGCAAGCTTTGAGGATGGAAGGGTTCTCGTCTCCCATCACAGGTGAGGAAACTGAGGCTCAGAGAAGAAACATCATTTTCCCAGTGAGCCAAGGCAATGGTGTTAGAACTATCTCTACCTGGCTCCAGAGCTTGTGTTTATGCCCCTGCACCGATACGGCCTTCCATGAAGCCCGGCCCAGAAAGCTTTGGAGTCTGGTTACATCTCTGCCATGCAGGCCTGGCCTTCCCAGGACAAGAGGTGAGGAGGGGGGCTGTCGGGGTCCTCACTGTGTCTGGACTCAGAAATCCCAAAGAGAGGATGAAGTGTAGAACAAAGAATGTCCCAAGTCATCCAGATAGGGACCCAGTGGGAAGGTGTCCCCTGGATGGAATAGTGGGGGCCTGGTGGCTGTGCCCGTCAGCACTGGAGAACCTGCCAGGAACTCTCTGCCAGCCTCAGGTGGTGCGGGTGGCAGGGGAAGTCAGGAGGAGGATGAGAGGCAGGGAGGGAAGCATGGCCGATGAGACAAGCTCTGGGTGAGGGGATGGAGGGGACCCCATGCCTGGAGCTCAGGAAGGAGGATTTGGAGTTCAAGGCAGAAGTGGCAATGAGATTTTAACCGATTGTTTTCTGCTCAGGGAACTTCAGGGTTCCCTCTGGATTCTTGACCTGCTTCAGTTTGCTGACTCACTGGCTTTGGGCAAGTCATTTTCCCTCTCCGTGCCTCAGTTTCCCCAACTGCAAAATGAGAGAGATAAGAGATCTGGTCTTTAGGCAGCCTTGGACTACCCCTAATACTCTACGGGGCTCCTCTCACCTTGTTGAGGTCGTCTGGATTCTCCTTCTCTGATTGGAACGTCATTCACCCATCAGGGCCATGGACGTTCCTGGGTTAGGGGATGAGGGTACAAATCCTCCACACTGCTCCCAGTCTGGAATCCTCCCCCTTGGTTCTGTGTCTCTCTCCTACCATCCCATCCTTCCTTCCAGGCAGATGTGGAGTCAGGACCATACCTGGTGGGTCCTGGGGGAAGCCCTGGCCCCAGTCCGACATCCTCCTCCTGCTGCTATGGGGTCCCGCACAGTGCACAACCTCTTCATCCTTGAGGGAGCTCCTGCTGGCCCCTCTCAGCACCCCAGACCCTGCGAGGGCCGCTGGGCAGAGTTAATCCCTTAATACTGGTCACAATGAGATTTCAGGGATGGTGGGAGGCGGTCTCCATGGAAACTGCAGACCTGTCCAGGATCCATGCAAGGAATTAGCCCCAGGGCTCTGCAAGGGGCTCCTAGAGAGCCAACCCCAATAGGAATGGGAGACACAGTGGTCTGGACTCCTGGGTCCTGCTCTGGCCCTCCTGTTGTCTCTCTGGAGGGCTTGGAAAAAACCATAACTCTTGCATTGCTTCAGTATTCTGCTCAACTGGACAGAGCCATATTCACAGGGAGAGCCCTATCACCTTTCTGAGCGTGTTTCTCCATCCCCCTATTGGCATTGTAATCCTTAACCCAGTGGCTTTTCTAGAAGAGTGCAGGCTTCAGAGTCTGCCAGACCTGAGCTTGAAGCTCAGCTTTTCCCTCCACGACTGTAAACTTAGCCGAGGCATTTCACTTCTCTGAGCCTCAGCTTCCTCATCTGTATGATGGGCACAATAATAGCAACATGGCATCCCTCTTGTGCTGGCTGGTGGGTAGTAACATCCAGTGAATGTGAGTCTCCTTCTCACCTTTTCCTGACTGCCACGCCCACACTGCACATTTGCCCTCCCCAGCCCCCTGCAGCTTCCAGAACCCCGTGGTCTCAAGCAGAGAGCTGTCGCACTTCCTTCTTTGCCTTCTCATCCTCCAAGTCCCATCTTAGTCATCTTCCTCCGGGAAACAGAACGCCGGGGTCCTCCTCTGTCCCCCCATAGCCCCCAAAGCTTTACATCATCATCGTTTAGTCAGATGGTAATTAGACTGGTTGTGTGCCTCCTCCACTGGACTGTGTCCCATCTACCATTGTATTCCCAGGACCCACTTGATATAAATAGGCTGGATGAATAACTGAGTGAATAAAGGATGGAAATCGTCCATCGAAACAGTCAACATTTATTCAGCACCTTCTGCGTGCATCGTTGTGGGTGGTGGAGATGCAGCAGGGAAGACCATGGGCAAAATATCCCCCTCAGAGGGGTGCAGATGAGCAAATAAAAATACAGGATGCCCAGTCAAATGTGAATTTAAGATACACAAGAAATACTTCGTTAGTATGAGCGTGTCCCAAATAATGCATGGGACCTGCTTATACTTTTAAACTGTGGTGTTCATCTGACACTCATATGAAACTGGGTGTCCTGTGTTGTGTCGGGCAACCCTACACCCTCCCTCACAGAGCTTGCGTTTTGGTGGAGAGGCGGGTTGCAGACATAAGCAAGTAAATACATGAAAAACGAAGTCAATTACAAACAGTGGTTAAGTGCAGTGAAGACGCACAGCGCGATGTGATAGCACCTGGGGATGGGCAGGACGATCCCCTGAGCTAGTGGCCTTTGCCTGCACAGGTCATTTTAGCTCCAATGAGATGCCACTTTGCAAAAGTTCTTTGAGGATCTTAAAGGGCACGGTGGAGGCTGCTAAACTTGAGAGAAGGACTCTGAGGAGGGCAAGGGGCGCACCTGAGGGAGTGGGGCTGCTAAGTCTCACTTGATAGACTCCACAGTTTTGCAACTTGGATCTGGGCCTTCACAAACCTTCGCGAACCCGCAGCCCCACCCCTCGGGTCAGCCAATGTCTTCTGTGGGGCTGGGAGCCAGGGGAAGAGGCCAAAGGAACTGTGCAGAGAAGCGTGGCCACCCGGGCCGCAGCTGGGAGCCCTGACACCCTTTGCCGCCCCACCTCATCCCGCGGTTGCCCCAGGGCGCAGGGCAGGGCAGGCACCGCGCTGGGCCGGAGGGCGTCCCGGAGGAGGCGGCCAAGACTCTCCGCAGTGCTGCGCTTTGCGCTTCCTGGGCTCCTCCTCGTGGCCAACGCAGGAACTGGTGTTCAGAAACTTAGATAGCCTTAGGGACTTCACCAATCACAGCAATCCCGCCAATCACAGGCCCAGACGCACTATGTCTCTCCAAATCCAGAGGAGGCCTGCTCGGTTCGATCACCAATCACAGCTCGTTGGATTTAGTTACCTAAAAGAACATCTCCCCATCACACACCAGCACATGGCCACGGCAGCAATCAGAACGTAAGATTTTAAAACCAGTTCCCAGGGTAGCAGCCGCTGCCCTTCCACCACCTACTAAACTTCTGTTCCCAGCACCTTGTTCCAATGTACGGGGGTGGGGGGGGTCTTTGAGGAAGGTTCCAGGCTTTGTGCTGCTTCCATGTGGAAGCAGATGTTAGCATGTATGGGGCATGTATAATGATATTACTATCAGTAAATGTCATACCCATTATGAAAATTAAGATAGGCAGGGCGTGATGGTGCATGCCTGTAACTCCAGCTTTAGGTGGCCAAGGTGGGAGGATCGCTGGATCCCAGGAGTTGGAGGCTGCAGTGAGCCACGATGGCGCCACTGCACTCCAGCCTGGGTGATAGAGTGAGACTCTGTCTCAATTTAAAAAAAAAAATTAATGTGTGGATATAGGAGTGTGGAAAAATTATAACCTTTGGGTTAGACACACCTGGAGCCCATATACTATCTTTGTGAAGTAGGACGACTCACCTCCCCTTCCTCAGTCGTCAAAAGAGAATGATAGTCATATCTACATGTCATATATCATCACCCACCTTCTCTCAATTATTCAAGCCAACATCTTGCAAGTCACAATCTTTGTGTTGTGTTTCTCATGCCTTCCAGTTCATCAGAAAATCCAGTTCTTGCCACCCTCCAAACAGAATCTAGATTTTCCATCTTTCCATCTCCACCCCAGCCAACCTTATGCATCATCTCTGGAGGTCTGCAAAAGTCTTTTCACTTCTTCCCTTTTTTTTTTTTTAAACCTGCCAGGGTTGGGGAGGGGATCTCCCCCGCTCCACCGCCCCCCCCGCCTCCCCCCCCCCCCGCCTGCCTCCACCCCACCCCTTCACTTTTTCTCCTGTGGCTTCCCTACCCCCTACTCTTCACTCAGGGGCCAAGGGTGATCTTGTACAAATGTACATTGGCTCAGATCCTCTTCTACTTAAATTTTTATGACTTCCTATGCATTTATAACAAAACTCATACAACTCCCACTTAACACTGTGAGGCCATGCACGCCCTTGTTTTTATATCCCTCCGTGTCCAACCTCATTTCATTCCACTTGCCCCCACCCCTATCAGCAGCAGGCATACTAGCCATTTTAAAGTTTTTCTTTCCTGTCTTGGGGGCCTTTGCATATACTTTCCCCTCTGCCTGGAATACTTCTTTTTTTTTTTTTTTTTTTTTTTTTAAGATGAAGTTTCGCTCTTGTCACTCAGGCTGGAGAGCAATGGCACGATCTCGGCTTGCTGCAACCTCCGCCTCCCAGGTTCAAGCAATTCTCCTGCCTCAGCCTCCTGAGTAGCTGGGATCCACACCCAGCTAATTTTTTAATTTTTAGTAGAGACGGGGTTTCGCCATGTTGGCCAGGCTGATCTCAAACTCCTGACCTCAGGTGATCCACCCACCTCGGCCTCCCAGAGTGCTGGGATTACAGGCATGAGCCACCACACCTGGCCTGGAATACATTTTAGTAAGTGTTTAATGGATAGTTGTTGGATGAATGACTGAAAAGGTCTTTCAAGAGGAACTGATAGTGATGTAAACTTCAAGTGCTCGGTGCGTAACAGGTATTCAATGAAAAGGATTCTATGCATATAGTAGAAATTTTGGAAAATAAAATAAAAATTGAAGATTTAAAAATCGTATGTGCTCCAACATTTAGAAAGGTTCAAACTCTTAATGGCTAACCAGGGTTTCTTGACCTAAGCACTAATGACATTTGGGCTAGAGAATTCTTTGTCGTGGGGACTGTCCTGTACATTGTCCCTGGCAGCATGTCTGGCCTCTAGCCACTAGATGTCAGCAGCACTTTTCCCTACCCTCAAGGTGTGATAATCAAAACTATCTCCAGACATTTATAAATGTCCCTTGGGGGTTGAAATTATCTCCACTGAGAACCACTGTGCTGGGCTTCTACCCTTACAAGAAATTTTCTCTCAGTCATTCAATGCTTCTCAAATCTTGGTGTCCATAAGAATCATCTGGGGCCATTATTAAAAATTCAGATGGCAGCTGGGCGAGGTGGCTTACACCTGTAATCCCAGCACTTCGGGAGGCTGAGGCAGGTGGACCACTTGAGTTCAGGAGTTCGAGACCAGCCTGCCAAACATGGTGAGACCTCGTCTCTACTAAAAATACAAAATTAGCCGAGCGTGGTAGCACATGCCTGTAATCCCAGCTACTTGGGAGGCTGAGACAGGAAAATCACTTAAACCCATGAGGCAGAGGTTGTGGTGAGCCGGGATCGTGCCATTGCACTCCAGCCTGGTTAACAAGAGCAAAACTCTGTCTCAAAAAAAAAAAAAAAAAAAAAAAAATCAGATGGTGGCTGGGCACGGTGGCTCACGCCTGTAATCCCAGCACTTTGGGAGGTGGGTGGATCACCTGAGTTCAGGAGTTCAAGACCAGCCTGGCCAACATGGTGAAACCCTGTCTCTATTAAAAAAAAAATTAGCCAGGCGTGATGGTGCATGCCTGTAATCCCAGCTACTCGGGAGGCTGAAGCAGGAGAATCGCTTGAACCTGGGAGGTGGAGGTTCCAGTGAGTGAAGATCGTGCCACTGCACTCCAGCCTGGGCGCCAGAGCGAGACCCTGCCTTAAAAAAAACAACAAAAAAAATCAGATGCCTGGGGTCCTACCTCCAGGTGCCAGGACCAACAGTGGGCCTAGTCATCAGATTAAAAAAAAGAAAATATTTAATAAATAGAGGTGGGGCATGGTGGCTCATGCCTGTAATCCCAACACTTTGGGAGGCCAAGGCAGGTGGATCACTGGAGACTAAGAATTCAAGACCAGCCTGGCCAACATGGTGAAACCTTGTCTCTACTAAAAGTACAAAAACTAGCTGGGTGTGGTGGTGCATGCCTGTAATTTCAGCTACTTGGGAGGCTGGGGCAGGAGAATTGCTTGAACCTGGGAGGCGGAGGTTGCAGTGAGAAGAGATCAGGCCACTACACTCCAGCCTGGGCGACAGAGTGAGAGTCCATAAATTAATAAACAAACAAATTAATTAATTAAAAAATAGAGACGGGGGGAGGTGTCTTGCTATGTTGTCCAGGCTTGTCTTGAACCCCAGCCTCAAGCAAATCAGCCTCCCAAAGTGCTGGGATTAAAGGCAGGAGCCATGGAGCACCTGGCCCAAGTGTTTAATGAGCTTCTGGGCACTTCTGATACCAGGTGCCCTCAGACCGCACTTTGAAAACTCCTCAAGGAGGCCTCTCAATCACCTGATCACCAAACCCTGTGTGAGGCTCCCTACCCACCTGGACCCTCTCCTTGAATTCCTCTCCTTTCCAATTATTACCCTTCCCTAGATAGCAAGTGGTGACAGAACCAAACCCTAGCTCAGCCAAAGCCCAAATTGCCTCATCTCCCTTCAGGGAATAGGCAAAAAAAAAAAAAAAAAAAAAAAAAAAAGATCACAGAGTTCAGCTGAAACCACTTAGGAAATATCAGCATCCCCACCTCCCCACCCAAAAGGACTCCTGAGTGGCAGCCTGAGAGGTGTGTCTGCTCATCAGAATAATGTTGTCAGACTGTGTTCTTTCTGGGGGATCATCACACTCCCTTTTCTGGGAACAAATGTTGGCCACTTGGTGGGATGGGCCATCATGATCTACGTCAGACAAATTCAGTGAGTCATGACTCAGCCTATCTCTCTAGACCCATCTTTTATGCCCCCTTACTTATAGTCTCTCTGAGGGCTGTTCTCAACTATTCTATTTCTCTCCTTTCCGGCACATGATGGGGATTACATTTTCTTGCTTCCTTTGAAATGAGATGTGACCATGTTACTTGTTTCAGGTAACGAGATGTGAGCAGAAACAACCTGTGTCACACCTGGGCAGAAGCTTTAAAGGCCAGTGCTGCCCTTGTTGGGGAAGCAAGTATAGATATGAATCGTTCCACAACGCGGAGCGCCCCCTGCCGACCCATGCTGGGCGTGTACTATAGGTGAGCAATTAACTTTGCTGTTCAAACCATTGAGACTTAGGGGTTTTTTTGTGGTTGCAAGCTAACTTCACTTCACTTGACTGAACACAGTCTTTCCAAAGTTTCACTAATTTTTTAATGACCATTATGATTTTTTCATATCTGTAACATTTTTCTTACATCAACTCACTTCTTTTTACTTCAATTTATTTTAGAAAGAAATATTATTACTACCAAATGAAACAGTATCATAAGTAGAAAGCAATGAGAAAATAAACAGAATGAAAGAAATCCTGATATCAAATCCTGACTTAATACTATTTGCCTTTCAAAGCCTCTGGACCTTTGGTCTTTATTTAAAAAAAAAAAAAAAAAAAAAAAAAAGGAGCCAGGGGCCAGGCGTGATGGCTCACACCTGTAATCCCAGGAATTTGGGAGGCCGAGGTGGGAAGATCACCTGAGGTCAGGAGTTCGAGACCAGCCTGACCAATATGAGGAAACCCCATCTCTACTAAAAATACAAAAATTAGCCGGGTGTGGTGGCATGTGCCTGTAATCCCAGCTACTCAGGAGGCTGAGACAGGAGAATTGCTTGAACCTGGGAGGCGGAGGTTGCAGTGAGCCGAGATCGCTCCATTGCACTCCAGCCTGGGCAACAAGAGTGAAACTCCGTCTTAAAAAAAAAATGGGAGCCAGGTGCGGTGGCTCATGCCTGTAATCCCAGCAGTTTGGGGGGCTGAGGTGGGCAGATCACTTGAGGTCAGGAGTTCAAGACCACCCTAGCCAACATGGTGATATCCTGTCTCTACTTAAAATGCAAAAATTAGCTGGGCATGATGGCATGTGCCTGTAATATCCCAGCCTCTTGGGAGGCTGAGGCAGGAGAATCACTTGAACCCAGGAGGCGGAGGTTGCAGTGAGCTGAGATTGTACCACTGCACTCCAGCCTGGGGGAGAGAGTTGAGACTCCGTATTTAAAAAAAAAAAAAAAAAAGAGGTCCCCAAGAGTACTTCTCAATCTTTTGGATCCCCAAAGCTGTCTAAGATTGTCAGAATATTTGAAGGCAGCACAGTATTGAGGCTGAGTGTACCAATTCTGGAACTTGACATCCTGGGCTTAAATTCTGGTTCAGTCATGGACTAGCTGTGTGACCCTGGACAAGTTACTGAACTGCTCTGTGACTGTTTTCTTATTTGCAAAATAGTGACCATAATGATGTGTATGGCATTAGGTCGTGGTGGGGATTATTTGTGTTAATGTATAAAAAGGGCTTAGAAGTGTGCCTGGCACTTAGTGAGTGCTATGGAGGCATTACCTATAAAATGATGGCAGGATCCAGATCCAAATAGATTTGGTGAATTATTGTTTGTTTTTTTTGAGACAGGGTCTCTGTCACTCAGGCTGGAGTGCAGTGGCGCCATCACAGCTCACTGCAGCCTCCAAGTCTCCAGGCTCAGATGATCCTCCTACCTCAGCCTCCAGAGTAGCTGGGACTACATGTGTGGACCACCACCCCTGGCTAATTTTTCTATATTTTGTAGATATGGGATTTCACCATGTTGCCCAGGCTGGTCTGGAACTCTTGGGTTCAAGCAATCTGCCCCTTCTTAGTCTTCAAAGTGTTGGGATTACAGACGTGAGTCACCCCACCCAGCCTGGAGAAATGTTTGAACTCCATGGAGATAAGTAAAAAATCCTCTGCATTGGTTAAAAATAAATCACCTGGATGATTTATTTATTTAGTGTAGATGGGAAAAGCTACCTTAGCAGAAAGTGACATAGCAAAATTCTAGAGGTTTTACTTGGTGGCAGCTGCCCAAACCTCTAACCCAGTCGTATGTATCATTAGAGAGAATGTAGTTCCCAGGTCAGAGGAGCTAAGAGGTCCTTGGCATTCTACTCCTAAGGAGCATATATGGACAATTGTGTTTAGTTTTCATTTTAATATGAATACTTAAAATTTTCCTAGGATGGCAGAGGATGAGAAAGCTATGCCCCTTAGGCCGAGTGCAGCGGCATGGCTCATGCCTGTAATCCTGGCGCTTTGGGAGGCCAAGGCGGGCGGATCACGAGGTCAAGAGATCGAGATCATGTTGGCCAACATGGTGAAACTCCATCTCTACTAAAAATACAAAAATTAGCCTTGCGTAGTGGTACGCACCTGTAGTCCCAGCTACTTGGGAGGCTGAGGCAGGAGAATTGCTTGAACCTGGGAGGCGGAGGGTGCAGTGAGCCGAGATCTCGCCACCGCACTCTAGCCCGGCAGCAGAGCGAGAGTTCGTCTCAAAAAAAAAAAAGAAAGAAAGAAAGAAAGAAAGCTATGCCCCTTGAAGAATAATCAAAGATCCAAAAGAGTTTTGGGCTGGGTATTGGAGAAGAGGAGAGAAAGGTGGTGTAGCAGAGTGGTCAGGGCCATTGCCTTTGAAATATCAGTGGTGCCATTTACATAGCTGTTGGACCTTGCTAAAATCATAAGCTCTTCAAGCCTTATTTGCTTCATCTATAAAATAGGAATCAATGATAGGACCTTTTCATAGATTGCTTTGTGGAGTAAATGTGTTAAACCTTATAAACCTGGCAGGTAGCTGCCCAGCATATAGTTGCGTTATTTACTCAATTCAAAGTACTTTCCTGCCGGGTGCGGTGGCTCAGGCCTGTAATCCCAGCACTTTGGGAGGCTGAGGTGGGTGGATCACTTGAGGTCAGGAGTTCCAGACCAGCCTGACCAACATGGTGAAACCCTGTCTCTACTAAAAACACAAAAATTAGCCGGGCGTGGTGGCAGTCACCTGTAATCCCAGCTACTTGGGAGGCTGAGGCACAAGAATCACTTGAACCTGGGAGGCAGAGGTTGCAATGAGCTGAGATCGTGCCGCTGCACGCCATCCTGGGTGATAGATTGAGACTCAGTCTCAAAAAAAAGGCAACAAAGTACTTTCCTTTGGAAAAGAGTGCCCACTGGCTGGGTGAAGTGGCTCACGCCTGTAATCTCAGCACTTGTGGGGCTGAGGCAGGCAGATCAGTTGAAGCCAGGAGTTTGAGACCAGTTTCACGTGGCCAACATGGTGAAACCCCGTCTACTAAAAATACAAAAATAAGCCAGATGTGGTGTCATGTGCCTGTAGTCCCAGCTACTCAGGAGAGTGAGACAGGAGAATCATTTGAACCCTGGAGTTGGAGGTTGCAGTGAGCAGAGATCGTGCCACTGCACTCCAGCCTGGGTGACAGAGTAAAACTCTGTCTCAAAAAAAAAAAAAAAAAAAGCTCTCACTGATTCCTACAGCTTCAGAGAATGAACGAGGACCAAAATGTGGATGCTACAGGGAGGAAACTTGAGGCTCAAAATGGAGATCTTTCTATAAAATACAATTGTTCTACCACAGGAAAAGCTGCTTTATTAAGTAGTGAGTATTCCGTCATTGGAAGTATTAAGCCCAAGCTAAATGGTCAACTGTCAGGGAAGGATGGTGAGAGGATTCCAGTGGGTTAGAGGTCAAAGAGCGTCTACCAGGTGCAAAAGTCTTAATTAACAAAGTACTATCAAAACCAAATTCATGTTTGGGAAACTGTATATCCACATGCAAAAGAATGAAATCAGACTCTTTCCTTACACCATATACGAAAATTAACTAAAAATGAGTTTGACGGAAAAGTATAAAACCTTTGGAATAAAACATAAGGGAAAAGCTTCATGATATTAGATTTGGTGATGATTTCTTGGATATGACACCAAAAGCACAGGAAATTTTTAAAAATTAGATAAATTGGACTACATCAAAATTAGAAAAATTTGTGCACCAAAGGACACTTGACTGAGTGAAAAAGCAACTTACAGAATGGGAGAAAATATTTGCCAATCATATATCTGATAAGGGGTTAATGTCCGAAATATATAAAGAACTCTTACAACTCAATAACAACAACCAAAAACTTTAAAAATGGACAAAGAGGCCAGGTGTAGTGGCTCAAGTCTGTAATCTCACCACTTTGTGAGGCAGAGGCAGGAGGATTGCTTGAGCTCAGGAGTTTAAGACCAGCCTGGGCAACATAGTGAAACTTTGTCTCTACAGAAAAATTTAAAAATTAGCCAGGCATGCTGCACACCTGTAGTCCCAGCTTACTTGGGAGGCCGAGGTGGGAGGACCACTTGAGTCAAGGAGTTTGAGGCTGTGGTGAGCCACGATCCTGCTGCTGCACTCTAGCCTGGGTGACAGAGCAAGACCTGTCTCAAGAAAACAAAAAAATTGGCAAAGGACTTGAATAGGCATTTCTCCAAGGAAGATATACAAATAACCATTAAGCACATAAAAAGATACTTAACATCACTAATCATTAGGGAAGTGCAAATCAAAACTGCAATAAGAGGCTGGGCACAGTGGCTCATGCCTGTAATCCCAGCACTTTGGGAGGCCAGGGCAAGTGGATCACTTGAGGTCAGGAGTTTGAGACCAGCCTGGCCAACATGGCAAAATCCCAAATCTACTAAACAATATAAAAATTATCTGGGTGTGGGCCAGGCACAGTGGCTCACGCCTGTAATCCCAGCACTTTGGGAGGCCAAGGCGGGCGGATCACGAGGTCAGGAGTTCAAGACCAGCCTGGCCAGCATGGTGAAACCCCATCTCTACTAAAAATACAAAAATTAGCCGGGCATGGTGGCATGCATCTGTAATCCCAGCTACTCAGGAGGCTGAGGTAGGAGAATCGCTTGAACCTGGGAGGCAGAGGTTGCAGTGAGCCAAGATCGCGCCACTGCACCCCAGTCTGTGCCACACAGTGAGACTCTGTCTCAAAAAAAAAAAAAAAAAAAAAGGAAAAGAAAAATTATCCGGGTGTGATGGCACATGCCTGTAATCTCAGCTACCTGGGAGGCTGAAGCAGGAGAATCGCTTGAACCCTGGAGGAGAAGTTTGCAGTGAGCTGAGACTGCACTACTGCACTCCAGCCTGGGCGACAGAGCAAGACTATGTCTCCAAAAAAAACCAAGACAAACAAACAAACAAAACACACAATAAGAGACCACCTCACACCCATTAGGATGGATATTATAAAACAACAACAAAACAGACAATAGTAAGTGTTGGTGAAGATGTGGAGAAATTGTAACCCTTTTACGTTCCTATCACTGCTGGTGGGAACGTAAAATAGTGCAGCTTCTGTGGCAAGCAGTATGGCGGCTTCCTAAAAAATGAAAAATAGAACTATCATATGATCTAGCAATTGTACTCCCGAGTATATACCCAAAAGAACCAAAAGTAGCATCTGGAAGAGAGATTTGTATACTCAAGTTCATAGCAGCATTATTCATAATAGCCAAAAGGTACAGGCAACCCAAGTGTCAATCAATGGATGAATGGATCAATAAAATGTGGTATATGCATACAATGGAATATTATTCAGCCTTAAAAAGGATGGAAATTCTGACACATGCTACAACATGGATGGATCCTGAGGGCATTATGCTAGGGGAAAAGCTAGTCACAAAGAACAAATACTGTATGATTCCACTAGCCTACAGGAAAGTAGTCAAATTCACAGAGACAGAAAGTAGAAGGGGTTTGCCAGGGCCTGGGAAGAAAGGAGAACTATTTTCTTTTCTTTTCTTTTCTTTTTTTTTTTTTTTTGAGACGGGGTCTCTCTCTGTGGCCCAGGCTGGAGTGCAGTGGTGCGATCTCGGCTCACTGCAACCTCCACTTCCCGGGTTCAAGCGAGTCTCCTGCCTCAGCCTCCTGAGTACCTGGGATTACAGGCACGCACCACCACGCCCGGCTAATTTTTTTGTATTTTTAGTATTTATTTTGTATTTTTAGTAGAGACGAGGTTTCTCCATGTTAGCCTCCCAAGGGGAGCTATTTTCTAATGGGTACAGTTTCAGTGTGGGAAGATGAAAAAAGTTCAGGTGATGGATGGTGCTGATGGTTGTATTACAATGTGAATATATTTAATGTCTCTGAACTGTACGTTTAAAAATGGTCGGCTGGGCGTGGTGGCTCACACCTGTAATCCCAGCACTTTGGGAGGCTGAGGTGGATGGATCACCTTTGGTCAGGTGTTCAAGACCAGCCTGGGCAACATAGTGAAACCCTGTCTCTACTAAAAATACAAAAATCAGCTGGGTGCGGCGGTGCATGCCTGTAACCCCAGCTACTCGGGAGGCTGAGGCAGAAAAATCACTTGAACCTGGGAGGTGGAGGTTGTAGTGAGCCGAGATCACGCCACTGCACTCCAGCCGGGCGACAGAGTAAGACTCTGTTTCAAAAAAAAAAAAAAATACATGCATAAAAGATGTTTCTAAGAGTGCTAAAAAATGCCTACAAATTGATAAGGAAAGGTAAATAATACAATAGATAAATGGTCAAAGGATACAAACAAGCACACTCATAATGTAGGAAGCTCAAATGGCAAAAGAGCCTCTCCTTCTCTAGTAATAGAGGAAATGTAAATTTGAAAGTGAAGCATAATTTTACATTCAGTATCTTACAAAATCAAGTGCTGATGAGGTTGTAGAGCAACCAAAACTCTGTAACTATTGTTGGAAGTGGAAGTTGGCATTCAAGAATGAGCAATTTAGCAACATCTCTTAAAAGTGTTGATATCCACTGTCTAAGATACAGAAATTCCATCTCTGCATGTTACCTAGAGAAACTCTCATCCACAGGTATAAGAATAGTCTTTGGAGCATCATCTGAGATAGTGAGCCAAGATCGTGCAACTGCACTCCAGCCTGAGTAACAGAGTGAGACTCCATCTCAAAACAAACAAATAAACAAAACAGAATAAATATACTCAGGATATTTACAGACACTTTTATTTTATTTTTTGTTATTTCAACTTTGTTTTTTTTACCTGCCTCCCAGGTTTAAGCGATTCTCATGCCTCAGCCTCCCAAGTGGCTGGGATTACAGGTGCCCACCACCAGGCCTGGTTAATTTTTATATTTTCAATAGAGATAGGGTTTCACCATGTTGCCCAGGCTTGTCTCGAACTCCTGATCTCAAGTGATCCACCCGCCTCGGCCTCCCAAAGTGCTTGGATTACAGGCATGAGCTACCGCGCCCGGCTGCATGTGTTTTTAAACATTGCCTGGCCCGTTATTTCAACTTTTATTTTCGAATCAGGAGGTACACGTATAGGTTTGTTACAAAGGTATATTGCATGATGCTGGGGTTTCCAGTATGAATGAATTCATCACCCAGGTAATGAGCATGGTACCCAATAGGTAGTTTTTCAACATTTGCCCCCTCCCTCTCTAACCCCTTTGGTTTCTCCAGTGCCTATTGTTCCCATCTTTATGTCCATGTGTACCCAAGGTTTAGCCCCCACGTATAGGTGAGAACATATGTTATTTGAATTTCTGTTTCTGCATTAGTTTGCTTCGGATAATGGTTTCCAGCCATATCCATGTTGCTGCAGAGGACATGATTTCATTCTTTTTTATGACTGTATAGTACTTCATGGATACACAGCATTTTATCTATTTTATTTCTTTTTTATTTTATTTTTTGATAGAGACAGGGTTTCACCATGTTGCCCAGGCTGGCTCTTGAACTCCTGGGCTTAAGTGATCTACTTGCCTCGGCCTCCCAAAGTGTTGGAATTACAGGTGAGCCACTGCACCCAGCCTACACAGCATTTTAAATGAGTGGTCTGGTGCAACTTGTATCATCATGAAAAGATCCAGAGACCTATTATGAGGAGTAATAAAAGGAAGTTGCTGCAGGATATGTACAGTATATCATTTAAATAAATTTTCCAGATAAGCAAAATATTTTACTTTGCTTATATAGCCACGTATGGTAGAACTGTGAAAATGTGTCTGGTAATGACACATTACCAGATAAATACCAAATACACATGATAAATACCAAATGGTGACCATGATCACCACTGATAAGGGTGGCAGGGTGATGGGATCAGGAAGACAAGGGGCTTCAACTCTAAGTGTAATGTTTAATTTGTCATTAAAACAAACAAACAAACAAACAACATCCAAAGAAAACATGGTCATGTAGTAAGATTTGACAAAATTGAGAGGTGGATACATAAATGTTCATAATATTATTCTCTATACTTCTCTGCATATTTGTAATATTTCTTACTTTAAAAAAAGGAGAAATGAGATTATAAAAAAAAGTCAACCATCTTCCTACATACCAGCGACAGACAATTTGGTAGTATAATTTTAAAAATCATACAATTTGCACAATGACAACAATTTGCACAATGACAAGCAACCGTGGATAAAAATCTAGAAATCTATATATATATTTTTTTCTTTGAGACAGAGTCTCAGTCTGTTGCCCAGGCTGGAGTGCAGTGGCATGATCTCGGCTCACTGCAACCTCTGCCTCCCGGGTTGAAGCAATTCTCCTGCCTCAGCCTCCTGAGTAGCTAGGATTACAGGTGCATGCCACCATGCCCGGCTAATTACCATGCCCGGCTAATTTTTTTTGTATTTTTAGTAGAGACAGAGTTTCATCATGTTGGTCAGGCTGATCTCAAACTCTTAACCTCGTGATCCGCCTGCCTCAACCTCCCAAAGTGCTGGGATTACAGGCATGAGCCACCATGCCCGGCCCTAGAATCCTATTTTTTAAAAGCAACTAGGAGTATATCTAAGATATAGCATTTCTCTGTCTGAGAGCAGGGAGAGCTTGCATAGGTGTCAATGTCCTTCAAGGGACTCTTGAAACTAATTCAGGGCCCTATACACTGCAGGCATTTCTTGGAGTGGCCAAGGTATTGTCATGTGTTAAGAATTCTGAGAAGTTCTCGGATAATGAAATTTGTGCAGCTTTCTTTAATTCAGCAGTTTTCAAACATCTAACAATAGAATCCTTCTTGTCTGAGGGGCCTCGCCTTAGGAAAGGCTGCCCTAACAACCTCAAAGTTCCCTTCCAACACCCACAGTCCACCATTCTAGTCTTGGCTCTGCCACTAACTTACTGTATGACTTTGGCCGAATCACCTTTCCTCTTGGGGTCTCAGTTTGTTAAGTTATTAACACCCTGGGTGACAGAGCAAGACCCTGTCTCAAAAAAAAAAAACAAAAACATTTCCCTGGCAAAAAATTTATGACTAAATCCTCCAAAGCAATCGCAACAAAACCAAAAATTGACAAGTGACACCTAATTAAACTAAAGAGCCTCTACACAGCAAAAGAAACTATCAACAGAGTAAACAGGCAACCTACAGAATGGGAGAAAATATTTGCGAACTCTGAATCCAACAAAGGTCTACAAGGAACTTAGCAATTCTACAAGGAGCTAGAACCTACAAGGAACTTAAACAATTCAACAAGCAAAAAACAAAGAACCCCAACAAAAAGTGGATAGAGCACATGAACAGACACTTCTCAAAAGAAGATGTACAAGCGGCCAACAAAGATGAAAAAATGTTCAACATCACTAATCATCAGAGAAATGCAAATGAAATCGTGAGATACCATCTCACACTAGTCAAAATGATTATTAAGTTTCTTTTTTTGTCCCCACCCTTGATA
The DNA here is from genome assembly GCF_000001405.40 of Homo sapiens. Lineage (NCBI taxonomy): Eukaryota > Metazoa > Chordata > Mammalia > Primates > Hominidae > Homo > Homo sapiens. The sequence goes on along the minus strand of NC_000020.11, from coordinate 44,375,040 downwards.
TCTGAAGAATGGCTGTCATTAAAAAGTCAAAAAAATAACAGATGTTGGCAAGGCTGTGGAAAAAAGGGAACACTTATACACTGTTGGTGGGAATATAAATTAGTTCAGCCACTGTGGAAAGCTATTTGGAGATTTCTCAAAGAACTTAAAACAGAACCACCATTCAATTTAGCAATTTCATGATTTGGTATATAACCAAAGGAAAATGAATTCTTCTACCAAAAAGACACATGCACTTATATGTTCTACACAGCACTATTCACAATAGAAAGACATCAGCCAAGCACAGTGGCTCACGCCTGTAATCCTAGCACTTTGGGAGGCCGAGGCGGGCGGATCACCTGAGGTCAGGAGTTCGAGACCAACCTGGCTAACATGGTAAAACTGTGTCTCTACTAAAAATACAAAAATTAGCCAGGCATGGTGGCACATGCCTGTAATCCCAGCTACTTGGGAGGCTGAGACAGGAGAATGGCTTGAACCTGGGAGGCAGAGGTTGCAGTGAGCTGAGATTGCGCCACTGCACTCCAGCCTGGGTGACAGAGTGAGACTCCATCTCAAACAAAACAAAACAGTAGAAAGACATGGAATCAACCTAAGTGCCCATCAGCAGTGGAATGGATAATGAAAATGTGGTACATATACACTATGGAATAGTATGCAGCCATAAAAGGGAACAAAACCTCAACCAAGTTCAAGGACAGTGTCAAAAAAATAAAAAAGGGAACAAAGTCGTGTCCTTTGCCACACCAGGAATGGAGCTGGAGGACCTCATCCTAAGTGAATCAACACAGAAACAAAAAAACAAATACTGCATGTTCTCACTTGTAAAAGGAAGCTAAACATTGGGTACACGTTGACATCAAGAGAGGAACAATAGACGCTGCGGACTTCTAGAGGAAGGGCAAGGGCTAAAAAACTCTCTGTTGGGTACTATGCTCACTACTTGGGTGATGAGCTCAATCATAGCCTAAACTTCAGTGTCACACAATATACCCATGTAACAAACCTGTACATGTACCCCCTGAATCTAAAATAAAAGTTTAATTAAGGCCTGGTGCAGTGGCTCACACCTGTAATCCCAGCAGTTTGGGAGGCTGAGGTAGGTGGATCACCAGAGGTCAGGAGTTCGAGATCAGGCTGGCCAACATGGTGAAACCCCACCTCTACTAAAAATACAAAAAGAAGCCAGGCATGGTGGTGCGTGCCTGTAGTTCCAGCTACTCAGGAGGCTGAGGCAGGAGAATTGCTTGAACCCAGGAGGCGGAGGTTGCAGTGAGCCGAGATCATGCCATTATTCTAGCCTGGGCAATGGAGCAAGACTGTCTCTGAAAAAACTAAAAAGTTTAATTTAAAAAAAAAAGGGTGTGTATAGTTTGATCTCTTACCTTTTCCCAGCCATAACACCTCATGTTGGACCCCACGTTTAGGGGTTTATTAGGGGCTTTTTAGGGGTTTGGTTTTATTTCTCCTCCCCCAGTTAACTGTTTCTTACTTAACTAAAGCAGGTTCATGGTAGAGGAATTACAAAAATGCAGAGAAGGATGATTAAAAAAGAATTAAACTAGGCTGGGTGTGGTGGCTAACACCTGTAATCCCAGTGCTTTGGGAGGCTGAGTTGGAAGGATCATTTCAGGCTAGGAGTTTGAGACCAGCCTGGGCAACACAGTAAGACCCCATCTCTACAGAAAATTTTAAAACTTAAAAAAATTAAAAAGTAAACGTTAGACAGGCATGGTGGTGTGTGTCTGTAGTCCCAGCTACTTGTGAGGCTTAGGCGAGAGGATGGCTTGAGCCCAGGAATTTGAGGCTGTAGTGGGTTTTGACTATGCCACTGCACTCCAGCCCGGGTGACACAGCAAAACCCTATCTCTTAAAAACAAATCAGATTTACTCCAAATGCCACTTTTGGCTCTTTATGATGACAGCTGACATTTATAGAGCCTTTATGTGCAAAGCGCAGTGGTAGGATATCTCGTTTCACTTCTCGTTGAAGTGGAAGTCAAGTCTATTCTTATCCTTATTTTACAGATGAGGAGACTGAGGATCAGAGAGATAAAGTCACCTGTCCAAGGTCATACTGTGGATGTAGCTCTAACCCAAGCCCTCCCGACTGCAGCACAAATTCTCAGCCACTACCCTATTAGCCCCTTCATTTGAAGGTGTCTTCATCATTGCCAAGATTCCTTTTCCTCCCGGCCCCCTAAGTCTTCAGGATTCCCTCATCTCATCTCCCCAGAGAAGCCATGACACCATCTTCTCCAAAAACAAAGTCAGCGCTTTCACTGTAGATGGACCTGTGTTCTTCCCCCAAACTCAGTCCACCTCATCTCCAGAAAAACTATATGACTTGCCCTGGAGAAGAGGGGGAAAAAAAAACCTCTTCCCACCAACTCCACCTCCCAAATTACTGGATTTGGGGTAAATTTACAGGCTGGAGACAGAAGAATGGATGTGTATTTAGCTTTCAAATTGACTATTGTTTTATGTGAATGTCTGATAAAGAAAACACAATGGCTGCCAGATGGGGCCTGGGAGTGAGATTTCCCATGTGGAGAATTCTAGAAGACATGCCTGGAGTTCTGGAGCCTGGATCCTCTGGACAGACAGGTGGCCAGCTAACCAGGGTGGAGGCACCAAAGATAACTGTGGGGTGGGGAGAAGACACCAGCCCAAGAGATTTGACTGGGATTGGTCTACGCAAGAATGGAAAATGGAGGCAGAATGAGTTAGCAGCAAGCACACGTACACTGCTATAGAATCTGAGGGACCCGGCCAGTGCTGGCCAATAGAAATAGAATGTGAGCCACAGACATAATTTAAACTTTTCTTGTAGTCACTTAAAAACATGGTAAATCTATGAAATAGAAGATTGCTCGTGCAAATAAATGAACTCTGCTTTGGTCTCAGTGATCAGGGGTCCCACACTCAAGTGCCCTCAATACCCAGAGAAGTAACTGAAATAAATGGAACAGATAGGGTGTGAGCAAAGTTCACACGTTCCTCTAAGAAAAACAATACAGCAAACATGGTGATTTATGTTCATTAATAAGTTTCCGTATGGGGACACTAAGGAATAGTGGGGACTACGGCAAATTAGAGGAAGCATGAGAATCTAAAGTGGCTCCAGGAGACTGTTGTCTCATAGGTATCAGTGTTGCTAGACCTTCACTTTTTTTAAAGGAGGTGAAAGTTGGGATTTTCTTTAATTTATTTTTTTGACAGGGTCTTGCTCTGTCGCCCAGGCTGGAGTGCAGTGGCGATCTTGGCTCACGGCAATCTCCACCTCCTGGGTTCAAGAGATTCTCCTGCCCCAGCCTCCTAAGTAGCTGGGATTACAGGCGTGCTCCAGCATGCCTGGCTAATTTTTGCATTTTTAGTAGAGATGGGATTTCCCACTGTTGGCCAAGCTGATCTCGAATTCCTGACCTCAAGTGATCTGCCCACCTCCACCTCCCAAAGTGCTGGGATTACAGGTGTGAGCCACCGGGCCCAGCCTCTAATTTTTGTATTTTTTGTAGAGACAGAATCTTGCTGTGTTCAAGACCAGCCTGGCCAACATGGCGAAACCCCGTCTCTACTAAAAATACAAAAATTAGCTGGGCAGTAGTGGCACGCGCCTGTAATCCCAGCTACTCCAGAGGCTGAGGCAGGAGAATTACTTGAACCTGGGAGGCGGAGATTGCAGTGAGCCCAGATCGAACCATTGCATTCCAGCCTCGGCGACAAGATTGAGACTCCGTCTCAAAAACAAAAAGCAACAACAAAAAAAATTGTTTGAAAGCCACTAATCTGCCCATAGCCTCTAACTTACAAGTAAGGAAGCTAAGGCCTACAAATGTCAAGTACCTGAGATCCTGTGTGTGTCAGGGCTAGAGCTGGGACCACAACCTGCTCCCAGCGCTGAGCCCTGCAGGCAGCTGGGTTTGCCTGGGAAGCTGCCCAGGGGAGCACCCAGGCCTCCCTCCAGTTTCTCTGGCTCTGCCCAGGGCAGGGCCGCCTGCTCTCTCCCTGTCTCCCCACCTCCTCTGCCCTTCGTCATGCCTGTTTTGACAACTTTCTGACCTGCTCCTTCACAAACTCTGCTGGAGGTATGGCTGCCTCCACTGCTTGTCCCAGAGAATACAGAGGCGTTGGCAGTTTGGCGGCCCAGGCTCAGCCAGGCCCATGGCAGACAGTCGTCAAACAGTGGCTGTCTGGGGAGAGAGAGGTCTGTTTACCCAGGGCAAGGCCCAGGCAGAGGCTGCCGTTTCCTCCCTCCACTACTGGCCCATCCAGCTGCTCACCCTACTGACTCAGCTGTCCCCATCTGTATTTGCTCATTCCGCAAATACTTATGGGGCGCCTACTGTGTGTCAAGCACTGTTCTACATGCTGGGGATACAGCAGGGGACAAGACAGCCTAACTCCCTGCTGTCATGGAACTTCTGTGAAGGAGACAGATGATAAACAGATCAAGGAATACGTAATTTCAGCGCTGTAGAGGATAATGGAATTGCTATCAAGGGATGGAGGTGGGGCAGGCTTAGATTTGGGTGTTCAAGGGAGGCTGCTCTGAGTGGAGGACATTTGAACTAAGGCCCTGACAATGAGAAGAAATCAGCTATGCAAAGATCTGGGGAAGAGGCATTCCTGGCAGAGAGAACAGCAAGTACAAAGGCCCAATGGCAGGAGTGTGCTTGGCGTGATTGAAGGATTGTCAAAAGGCCAGTGTGGCTGGGCGTTGTGGCTCACGCCTGTAATCCCAGCACTTCGGGAGGCCGAGGCGGGCAGGTCACAAGGTCAGGAGATCGAGACCATCCTGGCTAACACGGTGAAACCCCGTCTCTACTAAAAATACAAAAAATTAGCCGGGCGCAGTGGCGGGCGCCTGTAGTCCCAGCTACTTGGGGGGGCTGAGGCGGGAGAATGGCGTGAACCCGGGAGGCGGAGCTTGCAGTGAGCCGAGATCGCGCCACCGCACTCCAGCCTGGGTGAAAGAGTGAGACTCCGTCGCAAAACAAACAAACAAACAAAAAAAACAAAAGTCCAGTGTGGCTGACTGCAGTGACCAAAGGGAGAAAGACGAGAGACCATCAGACAAGAGTCAGAGCCTGTGAGAGCCTTTTGGTCAAAGAAAAGAGCCCAGGGCCGGGCGCGGCGGCTCACGGGAGGCCAAGGTGGACAAATCGCTTGAGGTCAGGAGTTTGAGACCAGCCTGGCAACATGGTAAAACCCTGACTCTATTAAAAATACAAAAATTGCTGGGCATGGTGACACGCGCCTGTAATCCCAGCTTCTTGGGAGGCGGAGGTTGCAGTGAGCCAAGATCATGCCACTGCACTCTAGCCTGGATGACAGAGTGAGACTCCAACTCAGAAAAACAAAAGAAAGAAAGAAAGAAAAAGAGCTCAGGTTGTATTTGAAGGGCGATACAAAGCTGTTGGAGGAGTTTCAGCTGGGATGTGAAACATGGCTGTACTCTGACCTTCTCTAACTCTGCCCCATTCCCTTCATGACTTCCTGTCCCAACTGTTTCCAGGTACATTTGAGATTGTTTGAAATAGCGTTTAAATATTTTCTTTTCCTTTTAAATTTTCATTTATTTATTTATTTTCCTTTCTCTTTTTTTGAGGCAGGGTCTCAGTCTATCATCCAAGCTGGAGTGCAGTGGCATGATGTTTGTTCACTACAGCCTCGACCTCCTGGGTTCAAACGATCCCCCCACTCATCCTCCCAAAATGCCAGGATTACAGCATTTTGAGCCACTGTGGCCGGCCCAGTTTTTTTTTTTTTTTTTTTTTTTTTTTTTGAGATGGAGTTTTGCTCTTGTTGCCCAGGCTGGAATGCAATGGCGTGATCTCAGCTCACTGAAACCTCCACCTCCCACATTCAAGAGATTCTCCTGCCTCAGCCTCCACAGTAGCAGGGATTACAGGTGCCCGCCACTATGCCCAGCTAATTTTTTTGGTATTATTAGTAGAGACAGGGTTTCACCATGTTGGCCAGGCTGGTCTCGAACTCCTGACCTTGTGATCTGCCCGCCTCGGCCTCCCAAAGTGCTGGGATTACAGGCGTGAGCCACCGTGCCCAGCCTCTTGTTTGTATTTCTAAACATCATGGTTATACTGACTTCTCAAGAAATCAAGACTTCTTGATTTTTTAGTTATAGACGTAATGTGTTAACTTGCTAGTAAGAAAGATCCTATACAACTATATCCCAATTTGGAGATAAATCAATATTTTAAATTGCATAACCACATTACTATTATGGCTATTACTCACAGCTGACTTTGTCTGTATGTGAACCAAGGTCTTTCCATGCACTGTTTCAATTAATCTTCACTGTAACATGGTAATGTAGCTTTGGTCAATATCATTAACAATACATACTAACATTTTACATTCAAGGAACTTTTTGCAGTTTGCAGGACACTCTTGCCTCTATCCCCTTGAGCAGCAGAGCTACCCTGAGGGGTAAATAGAACTAGCATTATTAACCCCATTTTCAGAGGAGGATGTGGATCCCAGAATGATACAGAAAATTCTACCCATCCCAGTAGGGCCCAGTGGTTCAAATAAAACCCATCTTCCTGGCAGGGCCTGGTGGCTCACACTTATAATCCCAGCACTTTGGGAGGCCGAGGCAGGTGGATCACTTGAGGTCATGAGTTCGACACCAGCCTGGCCAACATGGCAAAATCCCATCTCTACTAAAAATATAAAAATTAGCTGGGTGTGGTAATGCAAACCTGTAATCCCAGCCACTCAGGAAGCTGAGGCACGAGAATTGTTTGAACCCAGGAGGTGGAGGTTGTGATGAGCCAAGATGGTACCACCGCACTCCAGCCTGGGCCACAGAGTGAGACCCTGTCTCAAAAAAAAAAAAAAAAAAAAAAAATATATATATATATATATATGTATATACACACACACACACATATATGTATACACACACACACACACACACACACATATATATATATATTTATGTCTCAAAAAAAAAAAGCCCATCTTCCATCTAGGGAGGAAGGAGTTGGGGACCCTGGACAACTGCGTGAAGGAGAGATAAACTCTCCTCTCGTGTTTTGGGTTGATAAGCTGGTATTGCCTTTTCTAATACAATCCTTGATGTTGAATTCTAGCTCCGCCTCTCATGCGCTGCGTGGTTTTGAGTAAGCTATTTAGTCTCTCTGAGACTTTGTTTTCTCAGAAATGGGTATGATGACAGTACCTACCTCAATAGACGGTTGTGAGGATTAAAGGAGTAATTTATTTATTTATTTATTTTCTCACTTTGTAGCTCAGGCTGGTCTTGAACTCCTAACCTTAAGTGAGCCTCTTGCCTCAGCCTCCCAAAGTGCTGGGATTTAAGTGTGCGCCACCATGTCTGGCCAAGGAGTTAATTTTTTTTTTTTTTTTGAGACGGAGTGTTGCTCTGTTACCAGGCTGGAGTGCAGTGGTGCGATCTTGGCTCACTGCAACCTCCGCCTCCTGGGTTCAAGCGATTCTCCTGTCTCAGCCTCCTGAGTAGCTGGGACTACAGCCATGTGCCACACCCAGCTAATTTTTGTAATTTTAGTAAAGACGGCATTTCACCATGTTGGCCAGGATGGTCTCAATCTCTTGACCTCATGATCTGTCTGCCTCGGCCTCTCAAAGTGCTGGGATTACAGGTGTTAGCCACCGTGCCTGGCCAAGAAGTTAATTTTTTTTTTTTTTTTTTGAGACAGAGTTTCGCTTTTGTTGCCCAGGCTGGAGTGCAATGGCGCGATCTCGGCTCACCGCAACCTCCGCCTCCTGGGTTCAAGTGATTCTCCTGCCTCAGCCTCCCGAGTAGCTGGGATTACAGGCAAGCACCACCACTCCTGGCTAATTTTGTATTTTTGGTAGAGATGGGGTTTCTCCATGTTGGTCAGGCTGGTCTTGAACTCCTGACCTCAGGTGATCCACTCACCTTGGCCTCCAAAAGTGTTGGGATTACAGGCGTGAGCCACCGCACCCGGCCAGGAGTTAATTTTTATAAAGTGCTTAGAGTAGTACCTGGGCCATGGTGTTATACAAGGATGAAAAACAACCTAGTGCTAGAAAACAAATGAGCCGGGTCCCAGATCTGGGCCTTCTGATGCCAGGTTTAGTGTGTGGCCCCCAAGCCCTAGACACTTGTATTCCTCTTCATACAATTGTTACCACATCTGCCTTTTACCTGTACTTTATTTATCTATAATTGTTTACTTGATGTTTTCCTTTCTTTTGAAGATATACCTTAATTTTTAAAAGATATTTTATATTAATGCTTTAATATGCTATGTATAAATTTTTCTAACATACAATAAATGCACAAAGATTTAAAAGTGTTTGTGGACTACCTACAATTGGCCCCTGTACTTTGTGGGTTCACCTAATACAAAGTATGCTGTTTTTTTTGTTTTTTTCTTTTTGACACAGGATCTCGCTCTGTTGCCCAGGTTGGAGTACAGTGGCGTGATCTTGGCTCACTGCAATCTCCACCTCCTGGGTTTAAGAGATTCTCCTGCCTCAGCCTCCTGAGTAGCTGGGATTACAGGTGCGTGCCACCATGCCCAGCTAATTTTTGAATTTTTAGTAGAGATGGGATTTCAGCATGTTGGCCAGGCTGGTCTTGAACTCCTGACCTCAAGTGATCCGCCCACCTTGGGCTCCCAAAGTACTAGGATTACAGGCGTGTGCCACTGCGCCCGGCCAATAGGGACATTTTGAGAATTAGGAGTTAATATGTGTAAAACCCTAGTAAGTACTCTATAAATTTTTGCTATTATCACAACATCAAGCACAAATCCATAAATATACATAAATAAAACAAAAGTTTCAAAAACATACATATCTTACTCTTACTACATGAAATGCTCTATGATATTTTCTATTTTATTTTATTTCATTCTTTTGTTAAAATGTGAAATTTCATAAAGCGATACATTGATGATTTGTGCCTTTTTCTGTTTTGAATGTTATACTTCAGTAAAAATATTTTTTAAGTCCAGGTGTGGTGGCAATTTTTCTGCCTTGACCTCCCAAAGCACTAGGATTACGCTGTGTCACCCAGGCTGGAGTGTGGTGTTGTAATCTCGGCTCACAGCAACCTTCACCTCTTGGGCTCAAGCAATCCTCTTGCCTCAGCCTCCCGAGTAGGTGGGACTACAGGCGTGTACCACCAGGCCCAGCTAATTTTTGTGTTTTTTGTAGAGGTGGGTTTTTGCCATATTGCCCAGGCTGGTCTTGAACTCCTGGGGTCAAGTGATTCACCCACCTCAGCCTCCCAAAGTGCTGGGATTACAGGCATGAGCCACGGCGTCCGGCCAAATCTTACTTTAGTTATAACTTATTGTTTTAGTCTACTTATAGGTCTAGTAAATTTTAAGAATTTCATTTTCTCCAATATTTTACTTTGAAAAATTTCAAACTTTAAAGTTTGAAAGACTAGTATAGTGAGCACTGATGTATCCCTTCGCCTAAATTCACCAACTGGTTGCATTCTGTCACATTTGCTTTATTGCTATCTCTGTATCTATCTATGCACTTTTTTATTGAAACATTTTATGTAAAAAATTGTAAAGGCCAGGTGCAGTAGCTCACACCTGTAATCCCGGCATTTTGGGAGGCTGATGCAGGAAGATTGAGGACAGGAGTAGGAAACCAGCCTGTGCAACACAGCAAGACCTGTCACTACAAAAAAATAAAAATAAAAAATTAGCTGGGCATGGTGGCATGCACCTGTGGTCCCAGCTACTTGGGAGGCTTAGATGGAAGGATTGCTTGAGCTTGGGAGGTTGAGGCTGCAGTGAACCATGATTGTGGCTCACTGTAGCCCACATGACAGAGCAAGACCCTGTTTCAAAAACAACAACAAAACAAAAACAAACCAAAAAAAAAAGATACTTTTTTAAATTGTATATTTACACTTGTTATACATATTTAACGTGTGTGTGTGGAGGGACGTGTGAGCATGACCCTACTGCACAGACGATCAACTGTGTACCAACTAATTCACGCTCCCCTTTACAAACTTTACAGCTAGTCCCGCCCCGCTAGGGACCACATCTTCCAGACCCCCTTGCATTTGGCAAGGGCCATGTGACTAGTTCTCACCAATGGAATGTGAGTAGAAGTGAAAGTGTCTTTCTGGGCTAGGGTGACCTTAGGGGTCCCTGGATGACTATGCCACAGAGGTCAATAAACTTCTAACTTAAAGTCTGCATTTGCTTGTTACATAAGCTATATTGTCTGAACTAATATAATCCCAATAAATTGAAGGACCGGCTGGGCACGGTGGCTCACACCTGTAACCCCAGCACTTTGGGAGGTCGGGGCAGGTGGATCACGAGGTCAGGAGTTCAAGACCAGCCTGGCCAAGATGGTGAAAGTCCGTCTCTAGTAAAAATACAAAAAGTAGCTGGCCGCGGTGGTGGGCACCTGTAATCCCAGCTACTCAGGAAGCTGAGGCAGAGAATTGCTTGAACCCAGGAGGCGGAGGTTGCAGTGAGCCAAGATCGTGCCGCTGCACTCCAGCCTGGGTGACAGAGCAAGACTCCATCTAGAAAAAAAAAATAAAAAAAAAATTGCATGACCTATTCCTGGGTTAAGATTGCAGTTTGAAACACACTGGTGTGGTCTTCTGATTTTCCAAATATTTTTGAACTGTGGAGACCCTCCATTAAATATTTCATTTAAAAGTCAAAACAGAGTGCCGGGTGCAGTGGCATGAGCAGGTAATCCCAGGGGCTGGGAGGCTGAGGCGGGAGGATTGCTTGAGCCCAGGAGTTTGAGGCTAGCCTGGGCAACATAGCGAGACCCCTGTCTCTAAAATAAAATAAAAAGAAATATACAAAAGTCAAAAAGAAGTGTCTCTGATGGAGCCAGAGGTTGAAGGGTGGGGAGAGGCTAAGCCCTAGTCCATTTGAACACGTCCCTACCCACATTACCCTCAAAGGGAACCCTGCAGCATCTTTCCTGACTCTTAGGACCCAGGGAATACTGTGTGACAATGGCTGAGCCAGATGGTTGTCATACCTCCATTTCTCAAAAGAGGAAATGGAGGCTGGGTGCTGTGGCTTACACCTGTAATCCCAGCACTTTGGGAGGCCGAGGTGGGAGGATCACAAGAGGCCAGGAGTCCAGCCTAGCCAACATGGTGAAACCCATCTCTACCAAGACTACAAAAATTTGTCAGGTGTGGTGGCACACACGTGCAATCCCAGCTACTTGGGAGGCTGAGGCATGAGAATTGCTTGAACCCAGGAGGTGGAGGTTACAGTGAGCAGAGATAGAGCCACTGGGTGACATTGAGACTCTGTCTCAAAAAAAAAAAAAAAAAAAAAAGAGTAGATGGAGAAACAGCAGGAGAAGGACTTGAGTGAGGTCACAAACAGCTACCCAGGGCCAGGGCCAGAGCCATCTCCCAGGTCTCTGATGAGGATAGGTCTGTCCCCTCCCTTTCTATGCCTCTCATCTGCCTCCTCCTCTGTGAAGGAGCCACACAGGCCCCCATCTATGAACCAGCACCCCCAAGAGGAGACCCTGGGCATCCCAGGGCCCCAGAAGGCTTGCAACAAAGCCTTGTCCTTAGTCTCCAGCCAGAGACAGTTGCATCCTGGGACCAGTTATCTATTCCTTACTCATCTCTGTTGTTTCTACAACAGCCAAAATGATGCTAACACCTAGTAAGCATCCAGTCCTTTGCATATAGTAGATGCACACACTATAGGTATAATAATAATAATCGTTCAAATTCACATAGCACTTTCTATGTGCTAGACACTCAGCACTTTACAAATATTGACTTTATGTCTCACAACAACCCTGTGAAGTAAATGGTATTATCATCAACCCCATTTGACAGATGAGGAAACTGAGGCAAAAAAGATTGGGTCGGCCGGGCGCAGTGGCTCAGGCCTGTAATCCCAGCACTTTGGGAGGCCGAGGCGGGCAGATCACTTGAGGTCAGGAGTTCAAAACTAGCCTGGCGAACATGGTGAAACCCCATCTCTACTAAAAATAAAAAAAAATTAGCCAGGCATGGTGGCAGGCGCTTGTAACCCCAGCTACAATCCCAGCTACTCAGGAGGCTGAGGCAGGAGAATTGTTTGAACCCAGGAGGCAGAGGTTGCAGTGAGCCAGGATCATACCATTGCACTCCAGCCTGGGCAGCAGAGCAAGACTCCGTCTCAAAAAAAAAAAAAAAAGAGAATTGAGTCATTCACTCAAGGTCACACAGCTAGTAGGTGGTAGAAGGTGGTAAACTCCTTGGATGCTATTATGACATAATAGCTGAAAGAATGAAGATTTGGTGTCAGACTAGATTTTAATCACCTATTTGCAAGGCGATGCAGGGAAACGTGACTTAACAACTCTGAATCTCAATTTCTTTGTTTATAAAATGGAGATAATATTTCCTACTTGGATGGGTTATTGCAAGGCTTAAAAGGGAGAAAACATATCAAATAGCCAACATCTTGCCCATTACATAAAAGGGGCTTAAATGAAAACAAATTCCTTTCGTTATCATTGACCCATCCTTATGCTACAGGCATATGAGTCAGGAAAAATGGAAGGCACAATTCCTTCACTTAAGCATCTCAGCATGCTTTTTTTTTTTTTTTTTTTTTTTAAGACAAGTTTCCCTCTGTTGCCCAGGTTGGAGTGCAGTGGTACAACCTCGGCTCACTGCAACCTCCACCACCTGCGTTCAAGTGATTCTCCTGCCTCAGCCTCCCGAGTAGCTGGGATTACAGGCGCCTGGCACCACGTCCAGCTAATTTTTGTATGCTTAGTAGAGACAGGGTTTCACCATGTTGACTAGGCTGGTCTGGAACTCCTGACCTCAAGTGATCCACCCGCCTTAGCCTCCCAAAGTGCTGGGATTACAGGCGTGTAATCCACAATAAGCCACCATGCCCAGCCTCAGCATGCTTTTAGGAATAAGATTAATCAATCATGAAACAACCAGACAAGTCTCAAGATACTTTCAGTAAAGGATGGAATTAATTGCAGTCAAATATAAGTAAAATCAGAGCAGTGTGTGGCCAGGCTCCAGGCCTTTTCATATGCTGTTCCCTCAGCTGGGAACACTCTTCCCCACCGTCTCTTCTCCCGGCTGACTCCTGCTAAACCGAGGTTCCAGCTTAGATATCAGTCTACTCCTCCAAGGTCAAGAAGTCTGTGACCCCTTCCCCTTCTCCTAAGTCCCTCTGTATCCCACAGTGCCTTTGCTGTCCTTATCATGGCACTCTGTCTTTGGTTGCTGCTGGCTTGTCTGTCCTCCTGCCAAACTGAGCACAGTTTAAGATCTGAAGCAAAGTTGTTTTTTTTGTTGTTTTTTTTTGGTTTTGTTTTGTTTTGGTTTGGTTTTGAGACATAGTCTGACTCCTGTCGCCAGGCTAGAGTGCAGTGGCGTGATCTTGGCTCACTGCAACCTCTGCCTCTACCTGGTCTCTAACTCCTGACCTCAGGTGATCCACCCACCTTGGCCTCCCAAAGTGCTGGGATTACAGGCATGAGCCACCACGTGAAGCAAAGTTTTATCCTCCTGTGTTTCCCCAGTGCCTTACAAAATGTCTTAAATACCATAAGCCTCCAGTGGAAGATTGTTGAAGAAATGAACAAATGAACAATGAATTAATGAATACGGGAGGCTTCTGGGTTGAGGCAAGATGCACTCTGGATATTTAGTTCCTCTGTTTACTAAATGGGAGAAAGTAAGGCAATGGTTTCCATACCTCAACTGAACTGCATACCCTAAGTCACACAAGGAGCTCAAAAAATTACAGACTCTTGGAACTCACCCCAGGAGACTGATTCACTGGGTCTGGAGTGGAGCCCCAAAATTGTTTTAAAAAGTTTCCTATGTGCAACCAGGTTTGTGAATCATAGGGGCTGAAGACTGAATTGACGTAGGATGGGAAGGTGATGTGGGAGGGGAGATAGGGGAAGGGCTGGAGAGGGGCCATATTTTAAGAATGAAGGGTGGGAACAGCCATAGCCTGATATTGGACACGGTCCCATAGCCAGCCAGCATCTGGGGTCCTACTCGATTTTGGGCCTATCCACCCTTCACAAGGACACGGCATGTTTGTTATAGCTTCTATTACCTTTTCTCTTTCATTAGCTCATGGAATCTTCACAACAACCAAGGCTCATTTGATGGGTGAAGAAACTGAGGACCAGAGAAGTGAAGCAAAGCACCATCATCATAGAGCTTCAAGGGGCAGAGCCACATCACCAAACTGTCTCCGACAATGGCCTCTGATCTGTCCTCAAGCTGATGCTATTGGTCAAAGGGACTAGGCCTACATAGCTAGGAAAAATTAGGCTCACCTGGCACTTAAAAACAGATATACAGTATTGCCCTGATGGAAGATTGTTGACATCCCCTATCTCTTCACTTGTCCTGTTTAGAGCACTTGAAGATGCTGCTATTCCAGGCTACCTCAGCCCACCCCTTCTTATCCATCCATTCATCCATCTTTTCATCAACCCACTCATCACATCATTTGTCCATCCATCCTTCCCCTAACCACCTACCCATCTATCCAGCTACTTATTCATCCATTTATCACATGCACCTACATATCTTTCCATCCATCTACTTACCCATCCATGCATCATCCTCCACACCCAACCATCCACCCATAACATCTTTTTATTAATCCATCCACCCATCTATCCACCCAGCCATCTCCCCAGTTACTCATTCATTTGTCTCATCCATCCAGCTATTTCTCCCTCTATTCCATTCATGCATCCCTCCACCCATCTATCACATCCATTCATCACATCACATTCATTCATCAGTCCATTCACCTATCCACCCACCTAAACATACATTTATTCATCCATCCATCTTCCCATTCATTCATCCACTTAATTAATCTTCAATCAAGGTCTACATGGGATCAGGCCCTGTGGAAGGCTGGACTATAACAAAAAGAATGAGATAGATACAGACCTTTCCTTTAAGGAGATTCGAGGTACTTACGGAAATGAGCAACTACCAAAGAAGCAAAATAAATAACCAAGGGAAACTTGTTAAAGGGAAAATAAGGGTAGAAAAGTAATAAGGCCAGGAGTCAGGTTAGCACACAGATATGCATGTTTAGCATCTCATCCTCAGAGTTACTCAGGGTAGTACCAGATTGGCACTGAGCAAGATCCTGGCACTCAAAGCAGAACAACACAAGAGTCACAGTCTACTCTACTCCATTGTGGTAGACACTCCCCAGAACTACCTTGTTCTCCTATAACACAGTGGGGTTATATGTGCCCCAGGGTACATTTGGCTTTCTGGAGACATTTTTTCTTTGGCAAAACTGATGGGAAGAGATGTTACTGGCATCTGGGGAGTAAAGGCCAGGGATGCTGCTTAACATCCTACAGTGCACAGGACAGCCCCTCACCACAGAGAATCTTCCAGGCCAGAAAGTTAACAGTGCTGAGGCTGAGAAACTCATTTATACCAGAGCCTCAGTTCTGTTTGGAGCAGGAGTGTGCCACACCCCAAGAGAAAAATCACTGGTCTAGGTCCATCTTGGCTTTCCCATCTCTTTCCACTACATACTTGTCTTCCCAGCTTTCCTTGAACTAGGGGAGTCTGCCAGGAGGTTTCTGGGGAAGTTTTGCTTTTGGATAAAAGAAACAAGGGCACTGAGGAAAACCTCTTCTCCTCCTGCCTCCAGCTTCAGACACGTAAGTGCAGACATGACAGCTGAAGCTGGGACAGCCAGTTTGGGTTATAATGGGGCAAATACAAGGACCAAAGACAACGCAGTGAGGAGGGCAGAGAGGAAGGAAGGCAAGAGAGTGGGATCTGGCTGACATTGATGATCATCATTGTAGCGCTGTTTTAAGCCCATCATTTCACTCATCCAACAAATGCTTATTGAGCATTTCTTCTGTGCCAGTCACCATGTGAGACATAGTGAGACAAACAAGGCTGAACAAACTACCCAGGTCCCAGAACTCACGGAGTTTATAGTCTGGTGGGGCAGCCAGACACCACAATTCACACCAGCAACTATCTGATCAGAGCGATGACGAGAACCGCAAAGCCAAAACCAGTGTGCCGTGGAAGCACCGGAAGTCCAGGGAGGGCCAAGTCCACCCAGCATCACCACACCAAAGAGCAGCTCTTTAGAATCCTGCTAAAGCTCAAAAACATGAAACCACAACGAGGATTTCTTGCGTGCTTGCTCTGGACCCAGGACTGTTCTAAGCACTCATGGATCCTTCCATTTGATCCTCACAACAGCCATGTCTTCCTCTGCCTCTAACTGAGGCTCTGCTATGTGCCATGTCCCTGACCCACCAATGCACCTCTACTATAGTCATCTTAGGAGATGATTAATGTTATCCCCATTAGAGAACCCCAGAAGAAGATTTTTTGTTTGTTTTTTGTTTTTTTGTTTTGTTTTGTTTTTTTTGAGATAGAGTCTTGTTCTGCTGCCCAAGCTGGAGTGGCAGTGGCATGATCTCAGCTTAATGCAACCTCTACCTCCCAGGTTCAAGTGAGTCTCATGCCTCAGCCTCCCAAGTAGCTGGAATTACAGGCGTGTGCCATCATACCCGGCTAGTTTTTGTATTTTTAGTAGAGACGGGGTTTTGCCATGTTGGCCAGGCTGGTCTCGAACTCCTAATCTCAAGTTATCTGCCCGCCTCAGCCTCCCAAAGTGCTGGGATTACAGGCGTGAGCCACTGCACCCAGCCTGGGAGAGGGGTTTTGTTTCCTCGGAGCACTTGTTTCTTTTCTCAGAAAGCAAATTTTTCTTTTCTTTTTTTTTTTTTTCTGGAGCCTTCCAGCAGACTTCAGTAGCTCATTTTACAGATAAAACATGTGAAGCTCAGAGAGGGGTAATGATTTGACTCACAAGACCACACAGTTTTTTGTTTTGTTTTTTTTTTTTAAATAAGGTAGATCTAGGATGCTAACCCAGGTGTATTTTATCAAAAATATCAAATCAGGGTCTTTCAGCCACTCTCACACACATACACATAGGCACACATACACTGCAGTGAATGTTCCACTGCCCCAGGACAAAAGTGCTCATTTTTTGTGGATGTACTGCAAGGTCACTGGAGTTCTCCTTTCTCTGTCCAGCCATATCTGTGGCCTAGAGCAGAGGGCCAGCAACAGCTGGATTGTGTCAAGTCTCGAGTCAGATGACATTTTTTGTTTGTTTGTGTTTTTTTTTTAATCTTGAACCTTAGTTTTTTCTTCTGTCCTTGGAGATTACAATATTATTTATCTCAGACAGCCGTTTGGAAAATGAAACAGCTGTCTGAGAGATAATAGTAGAACATTCACTAACCCATTCATCCATCCATTCACCCACCTACCTGTCGATAGAAGCAACCATTCTAATAATTGCTGAATGTTTGCTATATAATGAGTATGACACAGGAGCAGAGATGAAGAGACATGAGGACATCCTACAAGGTGCAGAGACGTGGGAGACAGTGAAAGGCTGTCAGGTTATATTATTGTATCATCCTTTAAGAGACACTGTGGGGCCTTCTGTTCACCCCTAGCTTAGCCTTATGACCTGGGCTGTCCTTCCCCAGAAGCTGTCTGGCCCCTTTGAGAGACAATGTCTTCCCCTAGCCACAGGTTCAACCAAGTCATCCATTGGCATCTATACTCCAGGTCTTAAAATTGTGGATTAAGGGTGGCCTCACCCTTAATCTCCTCTATGCTATCTCCTCTAATCTCCCCGCTCTCTGGGAGATAGGTCCTGTTGTTATCTTCATTTTACAGATGAGGAAATAGGTTCAGAGAGGGGAAATGTCTTGCCCAAGGTCACACAGCTGGTGTGTGGGATGGGTTCCCAGGCTGTTGGTTTCTTCAGCCTCTGCCATTTCCAGTGCATCACATATTCCTGTTTGATGGGGGTCAAAGCAAAGAAGATTCTTCCTGACTAGAGTCAGGAGATCAGGCCCTGATTCTGTCATTCCCTGGCCCTCTGTCCTCAGCAATTGATGACATAAATGTTGATTGTGTCTTTGCAATGCACGTGGTATCAAGGGCTTTACATCCTTGTTCCCCACGGCATCCACCATGATCTTAAGACACATCCTAGTCCTGTCTCCACTTCAGAAAGAAAGCAAGAGGCACGTGAATGTTGAGCCGTGTGACAGAGTCACAACTAGACCCCGAGGTCTGCTGGATTCCAGAGACCAAGTTCTGTGCGGGTGTGTGATTTGAACAGGTTTATAAAAGGCACCCAACTTTTAAAAAATCCAAAATGTGTCCCCAAAAGATAAAACATTCTCTTGAATTTCCCTCCTCAGAAACAAACCTGTCACCAATTTTATTGTGTCATTCCACGAATTTTCTATGCGTGGAATGTACACGTATACGCGTGTGTACATATATACATCTATATCCGTTTCGCTATCAGCAACTACACAGTTCTTCAGTGTACCGTTTTCACTTAATTTAACTGAGAGGTTCTTCCCTGTCACACACAGATGTGCGTTGTTTCCTTGAACAATGGGATAGCATTCCACTGTAAAGACGTCTCACGCTTTATTTACCCGTCTTCCCTCTGCTGAGGGACATTGGGTTGCTTCCAATGTGGGGGTCACCCTAAGGAGTGAGCCTGAGCCTTTCACTCTCAGTAACACATGCTTTCTAGCCCTGCATCTGAGTTTCACACGTCCGCACAAGATATTCTCATTTTCCAACGCTCCACCCTGCGCGGCGCTTTCTACCTCCTCCCCATTATCCAGAGCCAACGGAGGTGCGGAGCGACCGAGCTGCCCGGTCCCACGCCCAGCTTGATAATGCACCAGCAACGTGACCTAGGCCCAGCAAGCCTCTCCTGGTGGACCTCAATTTGCCCCGCATCGAAACAGGACGGTGCTTCCAAGCCCCACCCTCTGTGGGGTTTTGGAAAGACCCCTGAGATGCATTCCCAGGAAGGCCTCTGGACAGACAAAATGAGCCAAGCCTCTGCCCCAGGGCTTCTCGGCCCCTCCCAGCACTTCTCGCACCAAGCAGGCCATGCCCCGGCTTGAGAGCTTAGGGAAGCGGTCACATTGCCTCCGTGGGGCTTCCTGCCCTTCCAGAGGAGCTCCAGGAGGAGCTTTGGGCCCGTAAGAAACACACGGGGAGGTGTCCCATGGCCTCCCAAAGCTGACCGCAGTCCCGCCCTGTCCAGTCTTCCCCCAGCCCCACTTACCGTAAGAACTCTCCACTGGAGCCCCGAGGGGCGCGTTCACGCTGACCATGGCCAAGCCCACCCAGCCGGAGAGCTGGGGGCATGGAGGAGCAGGGGCCCGCTCACAGCAGCAGCACAGCCACCAGGAGCCCGTCCACCAGGAAGGCGGTGAGTGCGGCCAGCTGCCACCGCCCGGTTATCTTATTGATTCTTCTAATCACCCAAGGTGGGTGGATACGTTAAAGAGTAACCAGTCACTTAGGGAACCCGCGGCTGGGGACTGTTGCTGTCTCCATGGCAATGGCGACCTGGCCAGACCTGAGGTCCACTCGGGTCCTAGTCCTGCACTCTGGGGTTAGGGGAACCCAGAGCCAGGTGTATGGGGACATCAGCCCCCCAATTTGAGGACAGGGCCGGAGCAGAAGGGGCTGGAGAGGTGAGAGTCCAACCTGGGTTGGGTTTTATGGCTCCAAACTATGGGTGTGTCACCATGCAGGAAGTAGTGGGAAAACCGAGGGAGGGGCAGAGGAAAAAAGGAGGGTGGAGAACTGTGTTTAGTGAGTGCCTACTGGATGCTGGGAGTTGCATACAGGCGTTACCATATTTAAATTAAACCTTGAGATGAAGGGACTGAAGGACAGAGAGAAATTGCATGCCTGGAGTCTCACTGCTAGTACATAGAGGTGTTATCTTCCTTTCATCTAACATATTTATTGAGCACCTACTATGTACCAGGCCTTGTGCTAGACTCTGGGGATATGGAAATGAGCAAAGTAGATGTACCCCCGAAACTTGTGGACTAATGGAGGAGACGGACCTTAATCAGATCGTCATTCAAAGATACTATTACAAACTGGTGAGTGATATGAGGGGTGGAGAAACATGGGGCTGCCTCCAGGCCAATGGGACAAAGTCATCCTGTCTGGCGTCTCCTCTGGTCTCCTTCCCCATTCTAAATTCAACCTGCTGCTGAAACTCACACACTCTGTTTTAGCTCCCTGGCATGTTAGACACCTGCCACCTAGCTTTTTTTTTGGAACAGCCCCGTTTCTTTTGTCTCAGTTTTGGATCTCACCACCTGCTTGGGGATTCTGAAATCAAGGTCATTCATCCTGTTAGAGAGAGCTGAAATGAGAACAGTGAAACAAATTCTGGACTCAGAAAAATCAGAAAACTCCAGCTCTATTATTTTCTTGCTGTATGTTTTTTAGTAAATTATTTCATTTCCTTATAGGAATACCTAGCTCATAGTTTGCCCTGCTTCTAAAATAGCTAATTGATAATATTCCTCTTCTCTTCCCATAGTCTCTTTTTTCAGCTTTATCAATCACCTCAGAGGGACCTTCAGCCCCTACAGATGGGCATGGGTTGCATTAAAATGTCCTTTCTTTTCTAAAACAACAGTGATAACAAACGTTAGATTTTGGGGCCGGGTGCAGTGGCTCACGCCTGTAACCCCAGCATTTTGGGAGGCCGAGGCGCACCGATCACGAGGTCAGGAGTTTGAGGCCAGCCTGACCAACATGGTGAAACCCCGTCTCTACCAAAAATAAAAAAATTAGCCGGGCATGGTGGCAAACGGGAGGCTGAGGCAAGAGAATCGTTTGAACCAGGGGGACAGAGGTTGCAGTGAGCCAAGATCGTGCCACTGCACTCCAGCCTGGGCAACAGAGAGAGACTCCATCTCAAAATAAATAAATAAATAAATAAATAAATAAATAAATAAATAACTTCGATATTTTTTAAAAAAAAGTATTAATATTCTTGGTCGGGTGTAGTGGCTCATGCCTGTAATCCCAGCAGTTTGGGAGGCTGAGGCAGGTGGATCACTTGAGGTCAGGAGTTTGAGACCAGGCTGGCCAACACGGTGTAATCCCATCTCTACTAAAAATACAAAAATTAGCTGGGTGTGGCAGCGAGCACCTGTAATCTCAGCTACTCGGGAGGCTGAAGGAGGAGAATCGTTTCAACCTAGGAGGCAAATGTTGCAGTGAGCCAAGATTGCACTACTGCACTGCAGCCTTGGCGACAGAGCCAGACTCCATCTCAGAAAAAAAAAAAGTATTAATATTTTTATATGGGGGTGGGGGAGGTTTGCTAACCCTATGTCAATTTCCCAAAATGTTCTGGAGATTTAAGTGGTACGTAACCCCCTGCATGAAGTGGCGTCATGAGGTCACATAACTACGAAGGAGCCAACACAGAACTGGAATTCAGCATCATCTGACCCCAAAGCCCGTGCTATTTCAACAGGTCTCACATTGCCTTCCTGAGCACCAGGATAATGAGGATGACAACCACTGGCATTTATGAACTCTTTAGTTTGTCAGCATTGTATATTCTTAACGTCATTGAATTGTCACTGTCAATATTCCCATTTTACAGATGTAAAAACTGGGATTCAAGAAGTTTCATTAAATCTGTTCTTTTTTTTTTTTTTTTTTTTCTGAGACAGAGTTTTGCTCTTGTTGTCCAGGCTGGAGTGCAATGGCGCCATCTCGGCTCACTTTAACCTCCGCCTCCTGGGTTCAAGCGATTCTCCTTCCTCAGCCTCCCAAGTAGCTGGGATTACAGGCACACAGCACCACGCCTGGCTAATTTTGTATTTTTAGTAGAGACGGGGTTTCACCATGTTGGTCAGGCTGGTCTGGAACTCCTGAACTCAGGTGATCCACCTTCCTTGGCCTCCCAAAGTGCTGGGATTACAGGTATGAGCCACTGTGCCAGGGAAGAGACAAGCCAAAAGTGCCACTGTAAGGTGGGAATTCCACGTGATCTCTTCGGTTTTCCATTTCTGATACTGCCTTCGAGAGCCCATTCCAAAAAATAAAGTAGGAAAGATATAGTCTAAGAACAATGAACTCACAACAGTGTCCTTAATTCTCTCTCTCTTTTTTTTTTTTTTTTTGAGACACAGACTTGCTGTGTCACCCAGGCTGGAGTGCAGTGGTGCAGTCTTGGCTCACCGCAACCTTCACTTCCTGGGTTCAAGCAATTCTGGTGTCTCAGCCTCCTGAGTAGCTGGGATTACAGGCGTGCCCCACCATGCTTGGCTAATTTTTGTAATTTTAGTAGAGACAGGGTTTCACTGTGTTGCCCAGACTGGTCTTGAACTCCTGGCCTCAAGCTATCTGCCGCCTTGGCCTCCCAAAGTGCTGGGATTACAGGCATGAGCCACCACGCCCAACCTCTTAATTCTCTTATTTCACTCATTTCCAGCATTTGGAAGCTAGTACTCACCCCATGCCTCATTTATCTCATCTGTAAAGTGGAGCAATAGTATACGTGCATGCACTTGTGCATTGATCTAGCCTTCTGCAGAGCGGGGCCCAAAGCGCTGTTAGTTCCTTCCCCTGGTCTTCCAGTTGAGCTGGTTTTCCTCTCACCCATCTTCCCCCACCCAGTTCCCATTCCTTGTGTTTTGACCCTCTTGGGAGCCAAGAGAGGGAGGGACCAGAAAGAGCCACTACACTGGATCTCAAAAGACTTTATTGGGGGTGGAATGGGAGGGGGTGACATGCACAGGATGAGAAAATTCATTCCATCCAGGACAACGTAGGGACTCCATGGAAAAGGGCCTGTTTTCCATCCCGGGTCTTCAAAGGAAAAGCTCTCCAGCCAGGCAGGGAGTGGGCCCCAGCTGCAGGGCAAGGTCTGAGGGAGGAGATTTTACTATCTCTGGAGACAAAAGGACTTTTGTGTGCTATGATCCCTGGGTGGGATGGTGGGGGGAGAGGGGAAATGGTTTATTGGAATGAGAGTAAGATTATATGGGAGAAAAAGAATCAGAGATGCAGAGACCAAAACAAAAACAGGCAGAGATAGAACGGACAGTAGACAAAAGAGAGAGAGACCGAGGCAGAGATAGAGAAAAAAAGGCCCAGAGAGAGTCCCCTCAGGCCAACTTTGGTTTTCACTTCTCAGTTCTGAGAGCCGAGGAAGCAGGAAGGAGCTGTGAGAGACTGAGCTCTAACCTTGGCCATCAAAGACAAGCTGTGCAGCTCTGGGTAAGTTACACCCTGCTCTGAGCCTCAGTGTACCCATCTGTAAAAAGGGGGGCCTGGACTCTGTCGTGGCTCCAGTACCATGCAGTGGGGGTGGGGGGGCGGATGTCCACAAGCCAATTTCAATGTTTTTCAAAATCATGGGCCTGAAATGTGCCCAACTCAGGGAGCGAATCACGAGTCCTCAAAGACTGCCCAGAAACTGGTTGACTGTTATGAGACGAATGAAAGCGGGTTTCCTTTCTTTCTTTCTTTTTTTTTTTTTTTTTAGAGACAGAGTCTCACTCTGTCCTCAGGCTGGAATGCAGTCGCTGGATCTCTGTTCACTGCAACCTCCGCCTCCTAGGTTCAAGCGATTCTCCTGCCTCAGCCTCCCGAGTAGCTGCGATTATAGGCGCGAGCCACCACTCCTGGCTAATTTTTGTATTTTTAGTAGAGACAGAGTTTCACCATGTTGGCCAGGCTGGTCTCGAACTGTTGACCTCAGGTGATCCACCTGCCTCAGCCTCCCAAAGTGCTGGGATTACCGGTGTGAGCCGCCGCACCCAGTGGAATTCCTTTCATTGGATGGACAAAGTCATTTGGGTTTGACAAAGCCTGAGAGTTACAAAACCGAGGTGCCAGGTTTTTTATTTGTTTGTTTGTTTGTTTCTAAATAGAGATGGGGTATCGCCAGGCTTTCCAGGCTGTTCTCCAACTCCAGGACTCAAGTGATTCTCCCACCTCAGCCTCCCAAAATACTGGGATTATAGGTGTGAGCCATTATGCCTGGTCCCAAGGTGCCAGTTCTATGCCTTCCAGCCTTGGTTCTCTGAGAACCGAATTAATGAAAGATGCAGGGCTCTTTCCCAGAGGCCCAAGAAAAGAAAGATGCAACTAGGAAAGAAGGAAGGCAAGGAGGTCATTTTCTTTTGACCCATGTTGGACATTTAAGAAGGGGATCTAGGAGGGAAAATTCAACAGGGGGTGATTCTAACTCATATCCTTTAAAGAAACAATTATTTCTCCACCCAGTTTTTTGAGGGCAGGACATGGAGGGTCAGGCCCAGCTGGAGGCGCACCAAAGCCCAGAGAAAATTCAGAACCACGTGAACTTGTTGGATTTCAGCCCCTTGAAGCACATGTTGCTATTGCAGCTGCCTTGATAACTGGGGGGACAGGAGGAGCACGGCTTTCCCATCTTGTACGGGGACTCGCCAATCCAGTTGCCCCTGGAAGAGAAAAGGACCCAGGGAGACAGAGGAGCATTAGGTGAGTAACCTTCACACAGATGTCCAGATCTCAGCGCTGCCACTGACCAGCCCTGGGGACCTGGGGCAAGTCACATCTGCAAGCCTTGGTTTCTTTTTTTTCTTTCCTTTATTTATTTATTTATTTATTTTGTTTTGCTCTGTCACCCATAGCTCACTGCAGCCTTGACGTCCTGGGCTCAAGCAATCCTCCCAACTCAGCTCAGTCTTCTGAGTAGCTAAGACTACAGGCACATGCTACCATGCCCAGCTAATTTTTTATTTATTTGCAGAGATGGGGGGTCTCCCTATACTGCTCAGGCTGGTCTCAAACTTCTGGACTCAAGCAGTCCTCCTGCCTCAGCCTCCCAAAGTGCTGAGATTACAGTCATGAGCCACTGTGCCCAACCTGTAAGCCTTGGTTTCTCCTGTAAAACCAAGAGAAGAGCCTCCTCTCTCTCTAAGGAATTCAGCAAAGATCACATGTATGTATGCACCTAGCACTGTGCCTAGTTAATTAGTGGCTCCCTTGTAAGGGTTGATTTTCTTATTCTTTTTGTTTGTTTTGTTCTGAGAGGGAGTCTCGCTCTGTCACCCAGTCTGGAATGCAATGGTGCGATCTTGGCTCACTGCAGCCTCCGCCTCCTGGGTTCAAGCAATTCTCGTGCCTCAGCCTCCTGAGTAGCTGGGATTATAGGCATGTGCCACCACACCTGGCTAATTTTTGTATTTTTAGTACAGACAGGGTTTCACCATGTTGGCCAGGCTGGTCTCGAACTCCTGACCTCAAGTGATCTGCCCACCTTGGCCTCCCAAAGTGCTGGAATTACAGACGTGAGCCACCGCGCCCAGCCTTTTTCTCCCTCTTTCTCCTTTCAAAGCCTAAAATTGTTCCTCCAGCTCTTGCTCATGGCTGCCTAATAATCTCACCACTGGCCTGTGGCATTCTTTGCCAAGCCCCAGTGCCTTGTTTTCTCACCTTAAATGAACACACCTTTGAGCAGAAATATAATCTTTTTTCTCCAAACGTGATTGTTGAGTGACCATGAGTGAAATCAGCTGAAGTGCTCAGAAAAATACTCACTTCTGGTTTCCTAACAGGACTCATTCAATCATTTAGTCATTCAACAAACACTTCTGGAGCACCTATTGAACATCAGGATTTGTGCCGGCTGCTGTCAGTCCACAGTTCTCAAAAGGTGCTCTCAGAAGTTTGGGGGCGGGGAGAGTGGGTGGTGGTGATACCTGGGATGACATGGAGTTCTTTTTTTGTTTAATTTAACCACTTAGAAAAAAGTTCTGCTTAAAAAAACAAAGGATTGCAATCACTATAGTAGAAGGATATAGAAATGAAAACGGTCGATTTCCCATGCCCAAGAGTTTATAACTTGGTTCTAGTCATGGCCACCATTTATTTAGCATGTACTATGGGCAAGGCACCACAGAGGCTATTTTTATTTTATTTTATTTTATTTTATTTTATTTTATTTTATTTATTTTATTTTATTTTACTTTGAGATAGAGTCTCGCATTGTCGCCCAGGCTAGAGTGCAGTGGCATGATCTCAGGTCACTGCAGACTCCGCCTCCCGGGTTCAAGCGATTCTCCTGCCTCAGGGACGCACCTCCATGCCCGACTAATTTTTGTGCTTTTAGTAGAGATGGGATTTCACTATGTTGGCCAGGCTGGTCTCGACCTCCTGACCTCAGGTGATCCACTTGCCTCGGCCTCTCAGAGTGCTGGGATTACAGGCGTGAGCCACCACACCTGGCCTCACATTATATTTTAATCCTTAAATTCTGTGAGCAGGTAGCATTTACCTTAAAGGGGCTGGGCTTGGTGGCTCGTGCCTGTAGTCCCAGCACTTTGGGAGACTGAGGTGGGCAGATTGCTTGAGCCCAGGAGTTCCAGACTAGCCTGGGCAACATGGCGAGACCCCCGTCTCTACAAAAAACAAAAACAAAAAACAAAACATAAGCCAGGTGTGGTGGTGAACGCCTGTAGTCCCAGCTACTGGGGAGGCTGTGGTGTGAGGATTGCTCGAACCAGGAACGTGGAGGTTGCAGAGCTGAGATTCTGCCACTGCACTCCAGCCTGGGTGACAGAGCTGGACAGAAGAAAAGAAAGGAAAGGAAAGGAAAGGAAAGGAAAGGAAAGGAGAAAGGGAAAAGGAGAAAGGGGAAAAGGGAAAGGAAAAAGGGAAAAGGAAAGGGGAAGGAAAGAAAGGAAGGGGAAGGGGAAGGCCGAAGCCTGTCAAGATAAAATGATGTATTCAAATGCTTAGTAGATGCATTGCAGAGGGGAATCAAACCTAGGCCTGGTAATAACAATAGTAACCAATCTGTATTTCCCACTTATGAGCCTGGGGGCATTACCTGTGTTATCTCACTCAATTCCAAGATTGGGTATTATTTTATTCCCATTTTGCAGATGAAGAAACAGGAGTAGAGAAGTTAAGTAAGATCACACATTTGAACCCTGGTAGTCTTGGCCCCAGAGGCTAAAAATCTTAACAACTATACTGATAACACTCAATGCTTCAAACATTTGATATGTCAACAAACAAACTAGAAAACTTGAGCCTGGGAGGTTGAGGCTGCCGTGAGCTGTGACCATGCCACTGTACTTCCGAGCCTAGGTAACACAGCAAGACCCTGCCTCCAAAAAAAAAAAAAAAAAAAAAAAAATTAGACGCTATTTGTAATGAAATTTGGTTTCTTGTATTTTTCTGTCTCTGATAAAGCTGGGCTGTAACGTGACACATTGTCAATAGATGCCATTTCTAACAAATAACAAGTATCCTGTTTTGAGAATTTGTTTCAGGCTACTAATGACTTCAAGAACATCAGAATAATACAATAGAAAGAATTTGGAATTTGGAATCAAAAGACTGATTCTTCTGAACCAGCTCTACTACTTGTTGGCTTTGTGACATTTGGTAAATTACTCAACCTGCCTGAGCCTCAATTTCTTAATTTGTAAAAAGAATGTCCTCCTAGGGTTCCCCCCTTTTTCCTTCTTTCTTTCATCTCTTCAATGAGATAGTGTGAAAGTAGTTTGTAAATGATTAAAGGCTATGTGACAGTAAAATGTGGTTATTATATAATTTTGGAATTCTAGGGCAGGCACGGTGGGTGGCTCACACCTATAATCCCAGCACTTTGGGAGTCCAAGTAGGGAGATTGCTTGAGGCCAGGAGTTCAAGACCAGCCTAGGCAACATAATGAGCCCCCCATCTCTACAAAAATGTTAAAAATTAGCCAGGTGTAATGGTGCATGCCTGTACTCCCAGCTACTCAGGAGGGTGAGGCGGGAGGATTGCTTGAACCCAGGAGTTGGAGGCTGCAGTGAGCTATGATCTGGCTATTGCACTCCAGCCTGGGCGACAGAGCAAGACCTCGTCCCCCCCCAAAAAAAAAAGAAAAAAGAAAAAAAGAAATTCTAAATATCATGTTTACTTAGAATTTGTTCTTGTTTTGTTTTTGTTGTTGTTGTTGTTTGAGACGGAGTCTTGCTCTGTTGCCCAGGCTGGAATGCAGTGGTGTGATCTCAGCTCGCTGCAACCTCCACTTCTGAGGCTCAAGCGATTCTCCTGCCTCAGCCTCCCAAGTAGCTGGGATTACAGGCACGCGCCACCATGCCCAGCTAATTTTGGTATTTTTGGTAGACACGAGGTTTTGCCATGTTGGCCAGGCTGGTCTCAAACTCCTAACCTCAGGTGATTCACTCGCCTCAGCCCCCCAAAGTGCTGGGATTGCAGGTGTAAGACACTGCTCCTGGCCTGTTCTTGTTTTTCTATGAGAATCTGGAACGTCTGCAAGTTTCATTACGCTTGCTCCCTGTTTCCAAGAGGCTTGTATGCAGGCATCTCCTAAACTCTCCCACCCAGCAAACTGGAGAAGCTAAGCACACTCATTCCTCCTTCCTTTTCTTTGGGATCTGCCTGCCTGCAGGGAGCATGTGTTCTTGGCTGTATTTTTCTTGTCGTAAGCTTAGAGGGCTGGCACTGTACTTCTAAGAAGGGGCCTTTGGCTATCCAGTGTTACCTGCCACTGGATGTGTAGGTCTAATTCAGTAGTGAGATATTTGTAAGCCTAGTTGGCTGGTGTATTGGCAGATGTAAGCCACATTCTCCACTACTGACTTCAGCAACACTGTCTTTCCACCTGTGTCAATCCTGTCTATTTCCCAGTGATTCTCAAACTTGGGTAAAGGAAAAGGATTATTGGGCTGGGTAGGGTGGCTCACGCCTGTAATCCCAGCACTTTGGGAGACCTTGGAAGGAGGACTGCTTGAGCCTAGGAGTTCAAGACCAGCCTGGGCAACATAGTGAGACACCGTCTCTACAAAAAATTAGCGAGGCATGGTGGCATTCACCTGTAGTCCCAGCTACTTGAGAGGCTGAAGTGAGGAGGGTTACTTGAGCCCAGCCAGTCGAGGCTGTAGTGAGCTGTGATTGTGCCACTGTACTCCAGCCTGGGCAACAGAGGGAGACCTTGTCTCAAAAAAAGAAGAGAAAATAGGCCAGGCGCAGTGGCTCACTCCTGTAATCCCAGCACTTTGGGAGGCCGATGCGGGCAGATCACCTGAGGTTAGGGGTTTGAGACCAGTCTGGCCAACATGGCGAAACCTTGTCTCTAGTAAAAATACAACAATTAGCTGGGCGTGGTGGCAGACGCCTGTAATCCCAGCTACTCGGGAGGCTGAGGCAGGAAAATTGCTTGAACCTGGGAAGTGGAGGCTGCAGCGAGCTGAGATCATGCCACTGCATTCCAGCCTGGCTGAGAGAGCAAGGCCTCTTCTCAAAAAAAAGAAAGAAAGAAAGAAAAAATGGATTATTAATTGACTTTTTTTTTGAGACAGTTTCTCACTCATGAGTGAGCATGATAATGGCTCACTGCAGCCTCAACCTCCTGGGCTCAAGTGACCCTCCCGCCTCACCCCTCCCCCAGTATCTAGGACTACAGATGATCACCATGACACTCAGCTAATTTTTTTTTTTAAGAGTTGGGGTCTTGCTTTGTTCCCCAGGCTGATCTTGAACTCCTGGGCTCAAGGGATCTGCCCACCTTGGCTTCCCAAAGTGCTGGGATTTCAGGCGTGAGCCACCATGCTCGG
Organism: Homo sapiens; assembly: GCF_000001405.40. Lineage (NCBI taxonomy): Eukaryota > Metazoa > Chordata > Mammalia > Primates > Hominidae > Homo > Homo sapiens. Next base: position 44,345,523 of record NC_000020.11, on the reverse strand, counting down.
CCTTAGTAAACTCTTAAAACTACCCAAATTATATGGTATTGAGGGCACTTAGAATGAAGAAGGGATATGGAGCGTATCTTTCTTTGAATTCTCAGGACCCACCCGCCGGCCCCAGGGCCCTCTTTGCCTTGGTGCAGGCACTTACTTAATGGCATAGTTGCAGACCAGGTATGCCGCCCGATGCCAGGTGTTGCCCCAGACACTGATGCTACTACAGGTGTGGATGGCACAGCCCAGCCGATTGGAGGATGCCCACACCATCTGGTGAAGGACAGAGACAGAGGGGGCTATGAGAAGGGCTCAGTGGGACCCAGGCTCCCTGGGGTTGTACAGTTGCATTAGGTGAGGTCTTCCTGGGAGAGACAGTCTGCCTGTTCCAAGGTGTTGGGGGAGGAAACGGAGGCATTTATATTGTAACATGATGTTTCTCAATGTTTTCTTTTTATTACAACCAACAGTAAGGAATAATTTTTATATTGTTACAGGTGTACAAACAGACACACACATACACACAATTTGAACAAGAGTTTTACAAATCACTAGCCTTATCATGTTATCATGTGTGATATATTTTCTTTCTTTCATTTCATACTGCACTCAGTCAAGTGCAGTCGCGAGAAGGAAGTTGGATCTGTAACTGACTGTAAACAATCAATTGAGAGAACTCACTACCTTCAGACTAGCCAATATATTTTCTTTTTTTTTTTGACAGTCACTAATGTTTTTATTTATTTATTTATTTGGAGACAGAGTCTCGCGGTCTCCCAGGCTAGAGTGCAGTGGTGGTATCTTGGCTCACTGCAACCTCTGCCTCCCAGGTTCAAGTGATTCTCCTGCCTCAGCCTCCCGAGTAGCTGGGATTACAGGCAACCACCAGCATACCTAGCTAATTTTTTGGATTTTTAGTAGAGATGGGGTTTCATCATGTTGGCCAGGCTGGTCTTGAACTCCTGACCTCAGGTGATCTGCCCACCTTGGCTTCCCAAAGTGCTACGATTACAGGCATGAGCCACTGCACCTGGCCAGCCAATATATTTTCTATACTTTTCTATTCATTTCCTTTTTAAATTATTATTATTTTTAGAGAGGTGGGTCTCACTGTCACCCAGGCTGGAGTGCAGTGGTGGGATCATAGCTCACCACAACCTCAACCTCCTGGGCTCAAGCAATCCTCCTGCCTCAGCCTCCCACGTAGCTGGGACTAAAGGTGTGCACCACCAAGCTTCACTTTTTTTTTTTTTTTGAGACGGAGTCTCGTTCTGTTGCCCAGGCTGGAGTGCAGTAGTGCAATCTCGGCTCACTGCAACATCTGCCTCCTGGGTTCAAGTGATTGTCCTGCCTCAGCCTCCCGAGTAGCTGAGATTATAGGCACATGCCACCAAGCCTGGCTAATTTTTTGTATTTTCAGTAGAGACGGGGTCTCACCGTGTTAGCCAGGATGGTCTTGATCTCCTGATCTCGTGATCCACCCCCTTGGCCTCCCAAAGTGCTGGGATTACAGGCGTGAGCCACCTTGCATGGCCACACCTCACTATTTTTAGAAAGGTTTTTAGAAATGAGGTCTTTCTCTGTTGCCTAGGCTGCTCTCAAACTCCTGTGTTCAGGAAATCCTGCCATCTCAGCCTCTCAAGTTACTGAGATTACAAGCGTGAGCCACTGCACCCAGTCATTTTCTTTCTTTATATATATATAACTTTTAATTTTTTGCGGGGGGGACAGAGTTTCACTTGAACCTGGGAGGTAGAGGTTACAGTGAGCCGAGATCTCACCACTACACTCCAGCCTCGGCAACAGAGTGAGACTCTGTCTCAAAAAACAAACAAACAAAAAACAAAAACAAAAAAGATTCACCTCAATTCATTGTGCACACAACTTTCCAGGAATATGCCTCTTTGGTGAAAAGAAGCTCATAACGGTCTTTGTTTGCATTCTTATTTCTGCTCCACACATTCCTTTTCTTCTAAGGCGCCAGGATGTGTTATCCCAGGGGCCCTCAGCCCTGACGGAGGAGTACCTGGGTATAATGGGAGCAGGTGGGGCCATCGCAGCGCCAGGGGCAGTGTGGGTTACAGTCCCTTGGGGCCGGAAACAAGTAATGCCACTTCTCCTCAGACCAGGACTTCATGAGATCCACTACGGACCGGTACCTGGGGAGGCGGGGGACACGGAAGAAGCTGGGTGAGAGGATGGAAAAGTGGCTCGGCCGCCAACTTGCTGGTGACCTTGGGTGATCACTTTGCTTCCTTTCCCCCATCTCAGTTTCCTATCTGTGAGCATGAGGGCAGTGGCCCTGCCTCACAGGCATGTTCTGAACCCATGTGAAGTGCCTCCCTGTACCTGGCAAGTGGTAAGTCCTCAAAAAAGGATACGTGTTACTGTTATACAGAGGGCCGGGCAGGAGGTGCATCTCAGACGGGGGAGCTTGCATTTTTAGGAAAGGAAGGGCTCCTCGGATGATCTCCTAGGCCTCTGAGATGTGAGGAGAAGGCAGATACTGGTGTGTCACCCAGAGATAACCTCTGTAGTCTGAAAAGCCATCTGGGAGGACCTGAGGGCTTTTTCTTTTTTTTGAGATGGAGTCTCGCTCTGTTGCCCAGGCTGGAGTGCAGCAGTGTGATCTCAGCTCACTACAGCTTCTGCCTTCTGGGTTCAAGCAATTCTTGTGCCTCAGCCTCCCAAGTAGCTGGGACTGCAGGTATGCACCTGCATACGCCTGGCTAATTTTTGTATTTTTAGTACAGATGAGGTTTCACTATGTTGGCCAGGCTGGTCTCGAACTCCTGACCTTAGGTGATCCGCTCGCTTCTGCCTCCCAAAGTGCTGGGATTACAAGCATGAGCCACCGCACCCGGCCTCTGAGGGCTTTTTCTATTACACATATTTGACAGGGGCACAAATATATAAAAATATACATAAATGACTAAAGAGGGAGAAAATCTGGAAGAATGCACATTCATAATTTACGACAGCACAGCTTCGTGTCTAACACTGCTTTCTTTCTCTCTGTGAGCCTCTCAAATGGTGGCCATGGGTAGGGGTGGAGTCTGGCAGGAAGAGTTCAGCAGCGGGGGAGAGGGAAAGTGAAATGGAGGCAGGACTGAATCACCCGATGTCTGCTCTGTAGGGCTCTGAGTGACCATTCACGGCTCTCAGAGGCTGGTGCTGGTTGTGACCAGTGAAGGACATGAAAAAACACAGACAGGGCCCTGAATTTCCACTGAGCTCACTTGAAGGGACTGGCCTTAATTCTTTCCCACTCTCCCCGGGGTGATGGCAGAATGGCGAGGATGGGAAGGTAGTTGTTTTTCTGACATCCTTATTTGGCAAAATAAAAATCTGACAATTGTGTGGCAGTCTCACAGATTTCTTTTTGCAATTTTATAGGCCTGTGAAATCCACAAGTCTGGAAAGAACTGAGCTAGGCTAACAACTTTGTTTTACAAACAGGGACACCAAGGTTTAGAAAGTGGAAATAACTTCCCAAGGCTACCCAGATCAGAAGGTCCCCGGAATCTGACTTGACAGTCAGAATGGCGGTGAGAAGGTCAGGCCAGAAGGGTGGGTTTGCCATTCTCAGACTTATCTTTATTTTATTTTATCCCCTTATCTTTATTTTATTTTATTGACATTATTATTTTTGAGACACAGTCTCACTCTGTCACTCAGGCTAGAGTGCAGTGGCGCAACCTCAGCTCACCACAACCTCCACCTCCCAGGTTCAAGTGATTCTCCTGCCTCAGCCTCCCGAGTACTTGGGATTACAGGCATGCGCCACCACACTGGGCTAATTTTTGTATTTTTGGTAGAGACGGGGTTTCACCATGCTGTCCAGACTGGTCTTGAACTACTGACCTGAAGTGATCTGCCCACCTCAGCCTCCCAAAGTGCTGGGATTACAGGTGTAAGCCACCGTGCCCGGCCCCCTTATCCTATTTTCTTAGTCTTCCAATCCCTCCTCACTTTCCACCACAATCTGTGCACTTGTTTGTTCTCAAACCAAACAAGACTTGCCTCAATTCAATGTATACACAACTTTGTTAGGGTTTTGCCTGCCCCTTCTAACTAGAATGCAGGCTCCCTGCAGGTGGAGAGCTTGTCTGCCTTGCTCGCCACTGTATCCCAGTGTCAAGTGCAGCACCTGGTACAGAGTAAGTGTTCAATGAGTATTTGTTGAATGACTGAGTGAAGGAAGGGCAGAGGGTCACTCACTGGCCAGAATGGATGGAGAGGTTCTGGCCCACGTATCTCATCAGCTGTGAAGGCCCATGTGCCCAGATGCACTGGGTGGCCCAGGCTTCGGCAGCCCTGGCCAGCCGCTTGTCCCAGACCTGGGGAAAGAAAGGCAATGAAATTCCCCAGGGGAATTGCCACCATCGTCACAACTGTGTCCAGAGATGCACATTTACCTGGTGCCGTTTCTACCCCATCTCCCTGGAACCCTGCAACAAACCCACGTGACAAAGTAGAAGACTGAGGCTCAGCTCGCTGATGACTTGAAGGGCAACCATGAGTCCATACCAGAGCTGGGGTCCACACCCAGATCTCTTGACTCTGAGCTTGGGCTCTGCTCTGAGCAGGTCCCAGGGTGTTCGTACAGGAGTTCTCAGCAGTCCCTAGAAGTGACTGAACCCAGAAGGATGAGAAAATAACTAATTCTTAAATTGTACTTATAGTATTTTCTTTTTCTTTCTTTCTTTTTTTCTTTTCTTTTCTTTTTTGAGACAGGATCTCACTCTGTCACCCAAGCTGGAGTGCAGTGGTGCGATCGCAGCTCACTGCAACCTCTGCCTCCTGGTACAGTGGGAGGTGGTGAGGTGAGAGGCGATCCTCCCACCTCAGCCTCCTGAGTAGCTGGGACTGCAGGCGCATGCCACCACACCTGGCTAATTTTTGTAGAGACAGGGTTTTGCCATGTTGCCCAGGCTAGTCTCCAACTCCTGGCCTCAAACAATTCACCTGCCTCAGCATCCCAAAGTGCTGGGATTACAGGGCACTTCGGGAGGCTGAAGCAGGTGGATCGCACCCGGCCTTGTAGTATTTTCTAAATGTGTTTATTTTAACATTGAAAATGGTTAAGTCAAAAGCTTTTTTAAATCGTGAAAATATGCATAATTTTAATATGTAAGATATCCGCTTGGGCACAGTGGTTCACGCCTGTAATCTCAGCACTTTTGGGAGGCTGAGGCAGGCAGATCACTTGAGGTCAGGAGTTCGAGACCATCCTGGCCAACATGGAGAAACCCCCTCTCTACTAAAAATACAAAAATTAGGCCAGGCATGGTGGCTCACATCTGTAATCCCAGCACTTTGGGAGGCCGAGGTGGGCGGATCACCTGAGGTCAGGAGGTCGAGACTAACCTGGCCAACATGGTGAAACCCTGTCTCTACTAAAAATATAAAAATTAGCCGGGTGTGGTGGCGGGCACCTATAATCCCAGCTATTCGGGAGGCTGAGGCAGGAGAATCGCTTGAACCTGGGAGACCGAGGTTGCAGTGAGCTGAGTCCATATCATTGTACTCCATCCTGGGCAACAACAGTGAAACTCTGTCTTCAAAAATAATAATGATAATACAAAAATTAGTCAGGCATGGTGGTGTGTACCTGTGGTCCCAGCTACTTGGGAGGCTGAGGCACGAGAATTGCTTGAACTCAGGAGGCAGAGGTTGTAGTGAGCCGAGATCGTGCCACTGCACTCCAGCTTGGGCAACAGAGGGAGATTCCGTGTCAACAACAACAAAAATAGATAACCAAGGAGGAACAGTAGAAAGTCTCATCTCTCTCCTATACTTCTCCCCCAACCCCACCACCCTGCACACCGTCCCAAGAGGCAGTCACCACTGCTTCTTGTGTCCTCTGTATACAGGTATATATTCTATACCTGTACAAGCAGCTCTCTATATATACACACACACACAGACACACACACACACACACACACACACATATATATAGGCAAATGGCAGCATATTCTATTCTGCACCTTGCTCTTTTGTCTTAGTGATTATTCCCCATCACTACATGGTGAATGCCCTCCTCATCCTCCTTAACAGTTTTGTAATTTTCCAATGTATGAATTCTCCAAGTTTTATAACCAGAAAATATGTCATTAAAATACTAGTTCCCTTCCATCTCTGACTTCCTGGGATTCTCTGAAATAGGATTTGTTCATTCATCAAATATCAAACAACATCTCTAGGCACTGAGGACTCAGGGTAGCAAGGCAACAAGGCCTTCAACAAGTCATTGATTATTACAGTCCTGGTCGGTGTGAGAGTGAGAAATGGGAGCCAAACTTTCTTGCGGCAGTGAGAGAAGGGCTGCTAGGGCAAAGGCTGTCGAGTTGGACAGCCTGTTCTGTGAGTAGAAGTCAGCTAGGGAGGGAGAAATGGGGCATCCAAAGAGGGGTCCAGGTATCTACCAGGGTTGTCTGGCCCAATATTTTTTTTTTTTTTTTTTTTTTAGATAGAGTTTCACTCTTGTCATCCAGGCTGGCTGGATCTCGGCTCACTGCAACCTCGGCCTCCCAGGTTCAAGCGATTCTCCTGCCTCCACCTCTCAAGTAGCTTGGGATTACAGGCGCTCATCACCACACCCAGCTAATTTTTGTATTTTTAGTACAGACTGGGTTTCACCATGTTGGCCAGGCTGGTCTGGAACTCCTGACCTCAGGTGATTCACCCACCTCGGCCTCCCAAAGTGCTGGGATTACTGGCGTGAGCCACTGCGCCCGGCTCTCTGGCTCAGTCTTTTAGGGAGAGCAGAGGAGTGCTTCCCTCATGCTACAAAGGGGTAAAGTGAGGGAAGGAGCAGGCTAAACATCAAACCTACATGTTCAGGCCCTCCCTGGAGTCCCTGGTGAGATATTGAACCCTCTCTGCTCCATGCCGCCTGCAATCATTAAACACCTGTTGGGGCAGGTGCCACACACGCACAACGGGTGCTCAATAAATGTGCCATTTGTTTGAAAAATGGAGGGCATTCTAGGTGCTAACGAATGAATGAACAAGTCAATGACTCCCCTGCACTCTAGCTGCCTGCCATCCCGGCTCTTATTCCCGCCCCTCCCAACACTGTATTGCCTCCTCACGTTATCTTATGTACATTAATATCTTGTTGTTCATGCTTGTTTTCTCTTATTCCCACTAAAATGTCACCTTCGTGAAGGAAGGGGCCTTGTCTATTCTGTTACCAGCAGTATCCACAAGGCTTAGCACGGTGCCTGGCTGCAAGTGTACTCCAAGTATAAGTCAATGGATACGATGAAAAAGTTAAGTTTTCAGGCTATCGAGTGGCATGTGTTGGTCTTTCAGGGGGCAGACTGGCAAACTCTTTCCCTAAAGACATCTCTGGGTGGGCTGGAAACCCATCCCTCTAGGCTGGTTTTGGACAGTGGCCCTGGGGGAGGAGCTGTAAGCAAAAGGTTGGTGCCCTCCTTTGACTTCTTGGGGGCTGGAGTGAGAGCCACCAGCCCTGCCTCTTTGAGGGGAGACATCCCAGCTTCCTCTGCTGGTCAGCTGTTGGTTTTCCTCAGCCTGAGATTCCCCAGTACCTGTCCCCACTGCTCCAAGCCTGCCTCCAGGGGCTTGTGGAGGATGCTGTGGGTGTGTCAGTCAAGACCTTAGGGTAAAGAGACAATAGCATAGAAAGCACCAGCCACGCACCCCATGCAGGTCCCCAGTGTGGGGAGCCAAAATTCTTGGGTAGGGGATTGTGATGGTTACAGTTGTGATGGTGCCAGGTGGCAGCAGGCAGACCTGGATTGAAATCCTGGCTGGGCAAATTAATTCTCTGAGTCTCAGTTTCTTCCTCTGGAAAATGGAGATGATACTCACGTGCAGTGCCTGGCGCACAGTGGTGCTCCTTACATAGTAGTCACATGCCTGACTCACTGGAACAGCTGTGCAACCTTCTTGGTTTCCTCATCTGTAAAATGGGCAGATTAACTCCTGCCCTTTCCACAGGTCGACACCCAGATACTGGCTAGTGGGGCCAGGCAGGCAAGTGGTCCAGCTCTTCAAAGCCAGTCATTCTAGGCCAAGATGAGTCCGGCTGCGTTTGCCGGAAGGGACACTGCGGGGGGTGGGGGGCAGGTACGGGGACTCACCATGTATTCCATGTTGGCGGCAGGTGGGTACACACTGGCCCGGATGTGGTTGTGATAATCCAGTAAGGCATTCATGTCTCTCACAGAGATGTGGCGCTTCCGGCGGTACCTGGGCACCTCCAGGCCACTCAGGAGCCGCATAGCCGTGCTCTCGGGCTGGGCCGGGGCTGGGGTAGCATTAGGCATTATCAAGGCGTTCACTGCCTGGCCAGCCCAGAAGAGCAGGCCTGCCAGGCCCACGGTGCTGGGCAGCAGGGGCATAGCTGGATGGAGGAGTCACAGGTCTGCCTTGTGCAATCAGAGCCGGCTGCCTGGAAGGGGCAGGCACGAGAGCACCAGACCCTGAGCGTTCTCCAACAGTGCCGACCCAGAGGATGCTGCCTCCTGGGAACTTGGCAAAGACCTCCAGATGCAGCTCTGGTCCAGATGCCCAGCACCCCTTCCTTTCCACCCCAGGGGACTGAGTGGGTTGGGCAAGGGGAAGAAATGCCCAGACAGTGGCTAATCCAGACATGGCCCTGGGGTGAGATGGTGCCACCACTTCAAAGCCAGTGCTCTGTCCCTCCAGCCCAGGAGACAGACAGCAGCCCTCTCCAGTCTAGACATCCTCTTCACCAATCCTGCTGGAGCGGGCTCAGTCAATGCCCTCGGAGGGCAGGGCCCACCTTACCCCAAGTCATATTGCAAGGTCCTTTTGTCCCTGCTTTGCTGCAATTTAGGAATTGAGAATGAGACACAGAGAAAACCCAATGGCAGAGAATGAAAGAGGCAGAGAAAAAAGAGAGACCAAAAAGGGGACAGAAAAAAAGAGTTACAGAGAAAAAAGAATGAGAAATAGAAAGGTAAAGAGATAAGAGAGAATGAGAGAGAGGCAACAATGTGGCTGGGGGAGGACAGAAATAGACAGAGAGAGGGGCACAAACAGAAGAAAGAGCGAAAAATCGACTTAGAGAAGAGACAGAGAAGCACGAGAGACCAGGCAGGAGGCTCCAACGGTGCGTACCCAGGACGGGCAGCCCAAGCGGTGGCAGGCGGCAGCCCAGGAGGCCGGGGACCTCTGCAGACACCCTGGCCCACCTGGCGGCGCAGCAACTTTAACGGTCCCCTGGTGCTGTTGGCATCTGACGTCCCTGGCCCCACAGCCCCCTCCCCTTCCAGCCAGGCCAGACTCCTGCAGGGAGGCTCCGCCTGCTGCTTGATGGGCTTTTCTCTCCCGCCCCTCTCTCTCTGCTTTCACCTGAAGCATGTAGGGCTGGGCTGGGCAAATGGTCAGGGTAGTGATGTGGCAACAGGGCAGGGATTCCAGGAAAAAATACTCATCCCCTATGGGAGATCCCAGACCCCGAGGCTTCTCTCTGCCTTCCACATCCTGACATATTAAGGCCACCTTGCATCTGGAGAGTATTTTCTGACTGTTTTCCCTATAACACCCTCCAGCCTTGGAGCAGACAGTTAATATGGCCCATCTAGTGAGCCCCTGCTATGTGCCAGGCCCAGGGCTGAGTGCTTTACACAAAAGCCCAGCCAACCTTCAGAAGCAGGTACTATAGCTCCCCATTTCATAGATGAGGAAACTGAGCCCCAGAGAGGAGAAAGAACAAGCCCAAAGTCAAGCCAGCCAGTCTGCAATCACGCCAGGATTTAAGTCCAGATCTGACCCCAGGCCTGGTTAGTATCTAAAAGGATGCCTTTTCCTTTTCCTTTCCTTTTTTTTTTCTTTCTGTTTTTTGTCTCACTTTGTCGCCCAGGCTGGAGTGCAGTGGCGCAATCTCGGCTCACTGCAACCTCGATTCTCCTGCCTCAGCCTCCTAAGTAGCTGGGGCTACAGGTGCACACCACCACACCTGGCTAATTTTTGTATTTTTTAGTAGGGATGGGGTTTCACCATATTGGACAGGCTGTCTTTCTTTTTTTTTCTTTTGAGACAGAGTCTCGCTCTGTCGTCCAGGCTGGAGTGCAGTGGCACAATCTCGGCTCACTGCAACCTCCACCTCCCAGGCTCAGGTGATCCTCCCATCTCAGCCTCCTGAATAGCTGGGGCCACGGGCACGCACCACCATACTTGGCTAATTTTTTTGTATCAGCCAAAGATGCCATTTTCTAACCAAACCAAATATAGATGCATAAGGAAAAAAGCCTAGGGTGATGTTCGTTATGATGCCACTCAAACACAGCCTATTCATTAGCAAATGAATTAAGCCCACAAATCTGGGTTCAAATTTCCCTTATCCCACCCCCTCACTAACTAGGTGTTGGGCACGTTACTCAACCATTGTGTGCCTCATCTGTAAAATGGGAGAAATAGCGGTGCCTACCTTGTAGCATTACTGCGAAGATGAAATGAGTGAACATTTGTGGAGCCTTAGTACAGTGGCTGGCACACTGTGTGCACTCTAGGAATGTGTGTGTGAATGTGTTTGTGTGTACGTGTGTACTTGTGAGAGTATGTATGCACTTGTGTATGTGTGTGCAAGTATACTTACATGTGTGTGTGTTTGAGTGTTCTTGAGTCAAATGTGTCCCCAGGTGAATGTATGAGTATGTAGATAATGGACGTGTGTGCGTGTGTGTGTGTGTGTGTGTGTGTGTTTAAAGTCTCAGTCTCTGAGTTGCTGAAGTCCTAGGTTAAGAAAGAGTTCAATTTTCTCCTCTTTCATTACTTGTATTCCCCAAAAATAAAATGCATTACTTTTGTAATAGAAGGGGATAGACTTACAACAGAAAGGTGTTATATAAAAAACACAGGTGAAGAATTTGCAATCCTCAGACTACTCTTCTAGCAAGCTCTGAGGATTCCCAGGCTGAACCTAGTCTCGGGGCAGCAGGCCAAACCCTGGGCCAGCTGGCGAAGCAGGGCTGGGGGCTGGGACTGGGCTACTCCAGACGGGTCCTCTCCAGACATGTGGAATTCCCACCACAGGCAGCCCAGACAGTGCGGCTGCCAAAGCACACACCTTCCTGCTGGAGCAGTGACCTTCCTGCTGGATGCTGGGGAAGGTGGGGAGGGCAGAGCAGTGAGGGGTGAGGGCTGCGACCCCTGACCCCTATGGGGGCTCTCCCACTATGCCAGAAGGACAAGAGAGACTCGTTCGATCTAGCCCCGTCTCTGCCTCCAGTGTGCTGGGTGTCTTAAGGCAAGTTCTTATCCTTCTTTGGGCCTTGGATGCCCCACTGAAGAAACTGAACTGAAATTGCTGCCCCCACTGAAGAAGGCTGTTCCCAGTTTCTCTTTGATAGGTTCCCAATTCTGGCTCTTCGGACAACAACAGGTGGGATCTTCGATACACCAGGGCAAATTCTGCAGCCCAGGGAAGGCAGACACAAACAGCCATGGCACTTAGGAACCCAGGAGTGTCAACAAGTAAGCCCGGCTCTCTCAGAACGCATAGCACAAGCCACTCCTATGTAACTGGCACTTTGCACTGGCTCAGAACTTCACATCCTCAATTCACTTGGGCCTCACAGCTCCCTTTGGGGTAGTGACTCCACCCATTGTATAGATGAAGGAACCGAGGCACACGTGAGCCTCAGTGACTTGTCCTAGGGATGGAGACTGTTTGTGTGGTAACCTGGGTCCTGGCAGTGAACGTCCTTGCACATGTGCAGAAGGCGCAGGCATCTGCTGTACACACAACACATGTATGTGCACACACACACACACGTTTGTGCACACACTCATATAAGCACATCCCCTCCCACAAATCACAGAGAGCTCGTCCCCGCCAGGCCCTCATATCCTCTCCATTGTACACCACAGGTGTCCTGTATAAATATACAGAAACCCACAGGTTACACACTTAAGCATGTCTACTACATATAAGCTGATGGTATTAGCTACTTTCTCATAAGTGGCCAGCACTGTTTTAAGCACATTACATGGGCAATCTCATTTAATCTTCAGAATAACCCTATTATTATCATCATCCACATTTTTATATACATGAAGAAACTAAGGCACAAAGAGGTGAGTCATTTGCCCCGGGTCACACATCCTGTGGGTGGGAGAGGTGGGACAGGCACCCCCATACTGCCTCTCCACAGTGTTGAGAGACAGACAACGAGGAAGACCCCACAGTCCAGCCACACAGACAAGACCACCATCGCCTACTCCACACACTCATGCATCCACAGAAACACAGAAATTCACTCTCGTAGCAAACACACAGCCACATCCCAGTCAGACCCTCTCTGCTGCCCCCATTGAAGAAAGCTGGTCCCAGTTGCATTTTGGCAGGTTTTCAATGGGTAAAATATTAGGGGTGGGGTCAGGAAATAATCAGGGGTGACCCAAATTATTTTTATTTATTTATTTTTATTTTATTTTATTTTGAGATAGAGTTTCACTCTTGTTGCCTAGGCTGGAGTGCCGTGGCACAATCTCATCTCACTGAAACTTCTGCCTCCCAGGTTCAAGCAATTCTCCTTCCTCAGCTCCCAAGTAGCTGGGATTACAGGCACCCACAACCGTGGCCTGGCTAATTTTTGTATTTTTAGTAGAGATGGGGTTTCACCATGTTGGCCAGGCTGGTCTCAAACTCCCTCCCAAAGTGTTGGAATTACAGGTGTGAGCCACTGCGCCTGGCCTATTTGTATTTTTATTTTAGTTTTGAGACAGGGTCTTGCTCTGTTGGCCAGGCTGGGGTGCAGTGGCACGATTATGACTGAGTGCAGCCTCGATCTCCCAGGTTCAAATGATCCTGTCGCCTCAGCTTCCCCAAGCAGCTGGGACTATAGGCACGTGCTACCATGCGGCTGATTTTTAAAATGTTTAGTGGAGACAAGGTCTCACTATGTTGACTAGGCTGGTCTGGAACTCCTAAGCTCAAGCAATCCTCTTACCTTGGCCTCCCGAAGTTCTGGGATTACCTGTGTAGGCCACTGCACTTGGGCCAGCTCAAGTTAATGCCCTGGACATTTATCTCGCGTTAGGGTAAGAACGTCTTTCTCACCCTTGGATTTGACCAACTGAATTCAGCTACTGCTCCATCCTCACCCCTACTGGAATTCTCTCTGGGCTTGGACAAGCAAAGAGAACATTCTTCCAGAAAGTAGTAGTATTTGAGACAGTGCAGCTTGGTGGGTGATAGAGCAGGCTCTGCATCCAGATAGCCTGGGTTCATGGATCAATTCCATGGCTTTTTAGCTGTGTGACCATCAGCAATTTACTTAACCCTTCTGTGCCTCAGTTTCCTCATCTATAAGATGCAGCTATCTCATAGCATGGCTGTGAGGATTAAATGAGTTAGTACATCTTAAGACACTTGACACAATGCCTGGCACAGAGCAAACAGTCAATAAATAATGAATAATAATAGCTAATAACAATAACAGTCAACATTTCTGTAGCACATACCAGATGCCAGACACTAAATGTCTTAGGGACATGACTTCAGGTAAGCCTCATTCCAGTTTCACGGGTTGGGTTTCAGGATCCCCATTCTATAGACAAGGAAGTGGAAACTCAGAGAGGTTAAGTAACTTGCTCAAGTTCACACAGCTAGTTCCAGTGGAAACTAGATTCCAAGGCCAGGTCTCTCTGACTCTTACCCAGTGTTCTTTTCACCCAGTCAAGTTGTTTTTGGCTGGGTGCGGTAGCTCACGCCTGTAATCCAAGCATTTTGGGAGGCTGAGGCAGGTGGATCACTTGAGGCCAGGAGTTCAAGACCAGCCTGATCAACATGGCGAAACCCCATCTCTACCAAAAAATACAAGAAATTAGCTGGGCATGGTGGCGACGTCTGTAGTCCCAGCTACTCGGGAGGCTGAGGCACGAGAATTGCTTGAACCCAGGAGGCGGAGATTGCAATGAGCCGAGATTGTGCCACTGCACAACAGCCTGGGTAACAGAGCAAGACTCTGTCTCAAAACAAACAAAGAAAAAAGTTGTTTTTGAGAAGAGACTGTGGGGCAAGAGCCTGGTGCTTGAGAGAGGAGACTGAGAAAGCAGGAAGGCCCTTAGAGATGATCTAGGTCATGTACCCATTTGTCAGTTGAGGAAAGAGGTTCAGAGAGGTTAAGTGATTTGTCCAAAGTCACACAGGAACAGGTAGACTCAGGACTGCAACCCAGATCTATGTTACTCCAAATCCAAGCAGGAGGAGGGAGGAAGCCGGAGAGAAGGGTGTGTGAGTGGAAAAGAGCAGCGAGGATCCAGGCTCTGAGGAAACTCTTTTTTTTTTTTTTTTTGAGACAGAGTTTTGCTTTTGTTGCCCAGGCTGGAGTGCAATGGTGCGATCTCGGCTCACCACAACCTCCGCCTCACGGGTTCAAGCAATTCTCCTGCCTCAGCCTCCCGAGCAGCTGAGATTACAGGCATGCGCCCCACACCCGGGTAATTTTTTGTATTTTTAGTAGAGACAGGGTTTCTCCATGTTGGTCAGCTTGGTCTTGAACTCCTGACCTCAGGTGATCCATCTGCCTCGGGCTCCCAAAGTGCTGGGATTACAGGCATGAGCCAACATGCCCAGCCCTGCGGAAACTCTTAAAATTCAATGCCCCAGGTTCTTCAAAAGACAAACTGTAAGGAAACAAAGGGGATGGGAGGCAAATTACTATAGACTTAAAGGCTATACATTTGGGTGTAAAACTGTAAAGAAACAAAGAAATACTATAAAGGCAGGCTGGGGTGGGGCATTTAAGGAGAAAAAAAAAAAATATATATATATATATATATAATTTTTTGAGATGGAGTTTTGCTCTTTCTGCCCAGGCTGGAGTGCAATGACACTATCTCGGCTCACTGCAACCTCCTCTTCCCAGGTTCAAGCGATTCTTCTGCCTCAGCCTCCTGAGTAGCTGGGGTTACAGGTGCCCGCCACCATGCTCAGCTAATTTTTTGTATTTTTAGTAGAGACAGGGTTTCACCATGTCGGCCAGGCTGGTCTCAAACTCCTGAGCTCCTGTGATCCACCCGCCTCGGCACCCATCCCAGCACCTATCCTCCCAAAGTGCTGGGATTACAGGCGTGAGCCACTGCGCCCGGCAGGGCTTCTATTTCTTGATCTGGCCTGTGGTTACAAGCTGTTTACCTCATAATAACCTAGTAGGTTCCTTGTTTGTTTTATGTGACTTTCAATATTTGTGTTTTAATTAAAAATAAAAAGTTTTTTATTTTTTTAAAGAAAATAGCAACAGTAGCAATTTATACAGTGACACCTTCCATCTGTTACCCCTTAACCAAGCAGGAGAAATTTAACCTCCTTTTAACAGTTGAGGACACGGAGGTTCAAAGACAGAGGCAACTTGCCCAAAGTTATACAACAAATAAATCCCGGAGCTGGGACTCGACCCCCATAGCTTGATGAGTCTCCACAGCATAGCAGTGGTTGGGCTGCTGAGTCCCTGACCCAGCAAGGCGGGGTTGGAGAGGCCTCACAACAGATTCTGAGAAACCGACTTGGGGAATAAATCACACACAGAAGCATCTCTGAGCTCCAGGCTCTGTCTTCTGCTCTCTGCACTCAGAGAGCAGTGCCCCTCTTCTGCAGATCACCCCAAGGGAGGCAGGACCGTCTAATAAGCATGGACCAGAGCTGTGGATTCTGATAACTCTTGAGTGACCTGGAACAAGTCGTGGGCCTTCTCTGAGCATTTGCTCATCTGTAAAATGGGAACAATTAATAGGTGCTGGCCAGGCATGGTGGTTTACACCTATAATCCCAGCACTTTGGGAGGCCGAGGCGGGAGGATCACTTGAGCCTAAGAGATTGAGAGCAGCCTGGGCAACACTGTGAGACTCTATCTTAAAAAAAAAAAAAAGTACAAAAATTAGTCAGGCCTCGTGGTATGTGCCCATAGTTCTAGCTACTCAGGAGGCTGAAGAGGGAGGATTGCTTGAGCCCAGGAGGTTGAGGGTACAGTGAGCTGTGATCATGCCACTGCACTCCAGCCTGGGTGACAGAGGCCTGTCTCTAATAAATAAATAAATAAATAAACAGGTGCTAGCTGATTCGGCTATTAGGAGAAATTCAGTGAGATATGGAAAGTTTTTAGCACACAGAGCAAACTTAGTTCAATATCAGCTATTAACCTCGCCAAAGAGAAATGCTGTGTGATTCCATTGACAAGATACTCAAGAACAGGCAAACCTAACTTAGGGTAATGGAAGTCAGAACAGTGGCTGCTTTTGCGAGGAGTTGGGGGTTACTGGCTCAGAGGAGGCATGAGGGAGTTCCTACAGGGGTGTTTTACATGTTTTATATCTGTTTTTTTTTTTGTTTTGTTTTTAAGAGACGGGATTTTGCCATGTTGCCCAGGCTGGTATCTAACTCCTAGGCTCAAGCAATCCTCCTGCTTTGGCTTCCCAAAGTGCTGGGATTACAAGCATGAGCCACTGCTCCTAGCCGTTTGTTCAATTTAAAAGAGCACTTTCAACAGGTATAAAAGTAAAATTATATAGAAGAAAAAACACACACACCAACAGAAATATCCTGTTCTTGTCCCCCCAACACATACTTCCTACCCAATACACATAAATACCCTCCCCAATATAACCACTAGCCCCCCAACACTACACACATTGCTAATGACCTTGACACCAACGCAAATAGAAGCTACCTTCCAATAAAGCAGACACGCCTACACTCCACCTCAACCCCATCTATCTTTAAATAGAGATGCTTTTCCACTCTGGGTACATGGAAACATACCCTACCTGCAAACACACAGACACACACACAAACCAAACCCATGGACTGAATCGACTGAATAGGCAGATTCTTGAGCCAAACAGACATAGGTGGGATCTTGGCCCCACCTTTTCCTTACCATAGGACCAGAGCCAGTCATATCAACTCACGAGCCTCAGTTTCTTCATCTGTAAAATGGACCCAATAAGATCTTCTCTTACAAAATAAAATAAAGTAAAACAAAATAGGAAGAGTATAAATAAGCTCTTCGAAGGAAGGAGTTATGTCTAATTTGTATCGTCACTGACTCATGTCATCATTTTGGTAAACCTATGTGTTGTCAGTTTACTCCAGATTAATCTATGATTCGATACAATCCCAATCAAAATTCCAACAAGGTTTCTAGAGGAAGCTGGAGGGCTGATTCTAACCTTCCTGTAGAAGAACTACGGTTCAAGGATTTTCAAAACACTTCGTTCATGACAATGTTAGTAACAGGTGACGACTAAGCAGAAAACAGAAAAATAAGTGGAGGTCAGATGAAGAAAACCGGAAGCTGGAATGTGGAGGAGGGGGGAAGATGGCAGAGCAAGGAGAGGGAACCACTGGGTCCACCCTCTGAGGCTAGAGGGAATCAGATTCATTTTAAAAACTGAAGAAGGGCCCGGTGTGGTGGCTCACGCCTGTAATCCCAGCACTTTAAGAGGCCGAGGCAGGTGGATCACCTGGCAACCAGCCAGCCTGGGCAACATGGTGAAACCCCATCTCTACAGAAAATACAAAAATTAGCCAGGCATGGTGGTGCCTGCACCTGTAATCCCAGCTACCTGGGAGGCTGAGGCAGGAGAATCGCTTGAATCCAGGAGGCGGAGGCTGCAGTGAGCCGAGATGGCACCACTGCATTCCAGCCTGGGTGATAGAGTGAGACTCTGTGTCCAAAAAAAAAAAAGAACTAAAGACTGTCAGCACTTTGGGAAGCCAAGGTGTGCGGATTGCCTGAGCTCAGGAGTTGAAGACCAGCCTGGCCAACATAGGGAAACCCTGTCTCTACTAAAAATACAAAAAAATTAGCCAGGAGTGGTGGTGCGCACCTGTGATTCCCAGCTACTCAGGAGTCTGAGGCACGAGTACGGCTTGAACCTGGGAGGCAGAGGCTGCAGTGAGCTGAGATCACCCCACTGCACTCCAGCCTGGGCAATGGGGCAAGATCCTGTCTCAAAACGAAAACAAAAACAAACAAAAAAGCCCCTAAAACAAAAAAGAACAACAAAAAAGAACTGAAGAAGGTCAGGTTAGGGAGGACCTAGAGGGTCAAGAGTGTAAGAGGTGGATGGAGAGATGGGCTCAGAGGTAAACAGAGGCCAGTTTTTGCAGGGCTGGAGGCCTTGCCCTGTGCTGGGTCCTGGAGCCCTAAGGGGCTTGGGGGATGGGGGTGGGAAGGAGGTAGGGAGAGCCTAGCCCTTCAGGGAAGGGGGGGCCCCTCATCCCAGTCCATCTTCCTAGGACTGATTTCCCATGGACCCCTAGAACGCAGAACCAAAGAGGGCCCCTGAGCTGCCCCTCCTCATCCTTGCCCTCCCATTAAGTAAGGGGTTATCAAGGGCTGAGTTAGGGAGTCCCTCACCCTCCTGGGTGCTGGAAAGGACTAGCGCCCTTTGAAAAGGTGGGGAGGAGGTTCCTGGAAGGTGGAGCTGGCAAGGCCACGCGGACCGGGACCACCTTCAGAGGCAGAGCTGCCTCCACACCCGGTGCCAGGGGGTTGGGGTTGGCAGCGGGGAGGGCGAGGGCTGGCCTAGCGCGCTTAACCCCAGGGGGCGCCCCCAGCTCCTGTGCCGCGCGGGGCCCCGCAGTCCCGGGGTCAAGGCCGTGCCCCGGGGGGCTGGCGACCGGAGGACTGGGAAATCCTCGTCCCGGGACAGCTGCACAGCCAGGTGTGCCCTCGGAATTTGCTGTGTCGCCGGCCCGCGCAGCTGGAGCGGAAAAGGCTCGGCGTCAGCGCCCCTCCCCCCATCCCGCCCCCGCGCCCCCGCGCCTTGCCACCGGCCCGCGGGCGCCCCACATTCCTGAGCGGGCCGGGAGTTAGGGCCCCGCGGCCGTGTCCTGGCGCCAGACCCTAAGAATTCAACAGGGTAAGGGCGGGAAGGGACTTGTGAGACCCTTAGGGCCTCCTTGCTCTTCTGTGGCCTCAAAACTGAGCCAGCCTTCCCATCTGTTAAATGGGGATGGTGACACTGCGTGACCTATCTCTCAAGCTACTAGGAGCAGCTGAAGATATCTTTTTTATTTTATTTTATCTTATTTTATTTGTTTTGTTTTGTGTCAGGGTCTCTCTCACCTTGTCACCCAGGCTGGAGCGCAGTGGCACAGGCCTGCTCACTGCGGCCTGGAACTCCTGCGATCCTTCTGCCTCAGCCTCCTCAATATCTGGGACTACAGCCACACCACCACTTCGGGCTAATTTTTAAAAATTTACTTTTTGTTGAGACAAGGGTCTCACTATGTTGCCGAGGCTGGTCTGAACTCCTGAGCTCAAGTCATCCTGCCTCAGCCTCTGAAAGTGTTGGGATTACAGGTGTGAGCCACCATGCCCAGCCTATTTTATTTTATTTTAAAAATTTATTTATTTATTTTTTGTAATTTTATTTTATTTGTTGTTTTTTTTGAGACAGAGTCTTGCTCTGTTGCACAGGCTGGATTGCAGAGGTGCAATCTCCACTGACTTCAGCCTCTGCTGCCCCAGGTTCAAGTGATTCTCCTGCCTTAGCCTCCCAAGTAGCTGGGATTACAGGCAGCTGCCACCACGCCCGGCTAATTTTTGTATTTTTAGTAGAGACGAGGTTTCACCATGTTGGCCAGGCTGGTCTCAAACTCCTGGCCTCCAGTGATTCACCCGCCTTGGCTTCCCAAAGTGCTGGGATTATAGGCGTGAACCACTGTGCCCAGCCAAAAATGTATTTATTTTTGAGACAGAGTCTTATTCTGTTACCCAGGCAGGAGTGCAGTGGTGCCATCACGGCTCACTGCAGCCTGGAACCCCTGGCCTCAAGCCATCCTCCCACCTGTCTCCTGAGTAGCTGGGACTACAAGTGCATGCCACCATGCCTGGCTAATTTTTGTATTTTTTGGTAGAGACGAGGTTTTGTATGTTGCCCAGGCTGGTCTCGAACGTCTGGACTCAAGCAATCCGCCCGTCTCGGCCTCCCAAAGTGCTGGATTACAGGCCTGAGCCACCTCACTCTGTTGCCCAGGGTAGAGTGCAGTGGCGTGATAACAGCTCACTGCAGCCTCAAGCTCTGGGGCTCAAGAGATCCTCCTGCCTCAACCTCCCAAGTAGCTGGGATTACAGGAGTGCATCACCATGCCCAGCTTGTTTTTTATTTTATTTTATTTTTGAGACAGAGTCTTACTCTGTTGTCCAGGCTGGAGTGCAGTGGCATGATCTTGGCTCACTGCAACTTCTGCCTCTGAGGTTCAATCAATTCTCGTGCCTCAGCCTCCCGAGTAGCTGGGATTACAGGCGCACACCACCACACCTGGCTAATTTTTGTATTTTTAGTAGAGACTGGGTTTTTCCAAGTTGGCCAGGCTGGTCTCAAACTCCTGACTTCAAGACATCCATCTGCTCAGCCTCCCAAAATGTTGGGATTACAGGCTTGAGCCACTGCACCCGGCTGAGCCCAGCTAATTAAAAAAAATTTTTTTTGTAGAGATAGGGTCTCTCTGTTGCCCAGGCTGGTCTGGAACTCCTGGGCTCAAGTGATCCTCCCACCTCAGCCTCCCAAAGTGCTGGGTTATAAGCATAAGCCACCTTGCCTGACCTACCATTGGTCTTTCAGGTAACAAAAGCTTCCCTCTCCTCCCTGGCCATGACCTGTCTAAGATAGGAGGTACTGGAGTCTGCAGGAGACAGTGACCAGAGGAGGAAGCTGGAGGGTCTTCAAGACTGCCAGGGATGTGTAGGGTCCCAGGAACCCCCCCTGCCACTCAGCCTGCAACTGAGTAAAGCCGCCAGCCCTGCTGACCCTGTGCCCCAGATGGGCCCAGGTGATGGGTAGCCTGGGCTTGTGTGTGTTTCAGGGAACAGTCAGTGGAGACAAGCCCTTCCCAGTTGGGCAGTCAGGCAGCCTGGCCTCTGGCAGACACCAGCTGTGCTCAGCTGCCTCACCCCAGGGAGTGGCTAGTCGTCCCTTCCTGGCAGAAGGAGAGGTGGCTAGAGGTTAGTAATGGGGGAGGCATTGCAGAGGAGAACTCAGAAGGAAGGAGCTGGTGCTGGAGATGAATCCTCCTGTTCACTGGCCAGTAGCTGTGGACAAAGAGGGCCTCCCACTGGGAGAATTACTGGGCTGCTGCCCCTGACTCCCAACCCAGAGTGAATTATTTCATGCACATCAGCCAACACAAGGGCACCTGCTGGTTGCTTTTCCTGGAATGACTGCTTCCCACTGTTCCTCTGGCCAATCCTTCAGATCTCGACTTAGACAGAAATCATCCCTTCCAAGAACTCTTCCCTGACCCCAAGCACCCTCTACTTAAACCATTGTCATTTTATCACAGCATCTTTCAGACTTGATAGAGCAGAAAATCCCTTTCACACAGATGTATAATCTTGGGAACTCCTTAAGATTAAAACAATGATAATTTCTTTTTTTTTTCTTTGCATCACTCCAAAATAATATCTTTTTTTTTTTTTTTTGAGACGGAGTCTCGCTCTGTTGCCCAGGCTGGAGTGCAGTGGCACGATCTCGGATCACTGCAAGCTCCGCCTCCCGGGTTCACGCCATTCTCCTGCCTCAGCCTCCCGAGTAGCTGGGACTACAGGCACCCACCACCACACCTGGCTAATTTTTTGTATTTTTAGTAGAGATGGAGTTTCACTGTGTTAGCCAGGATGGTCTCGATCTCCTGACCTCGTGATCCACCCGCCTCAGCCTCCCAAAGTGCTGGGATTACAGGCGTGAGCCACCACACCTGGCTCAAAATAATAATTTCATAATTTTTTATTATTTTCCATTGTTTCTCTTCTAGTTGTAAAGAAGCAATTTAAATTTAAAAATGATTTCCTGGCCGGGCGCGGTAGCTCACGCCTGTAATCCCAGCACTTTGGGAGGCTGAGGTGGGTGGATCACGAGGTCAGGAGATCGAGACCATCCTGGCTAACACAGTGAAACTCCATCTCTACTAAAAATACAAAAAATTAGCCAGGTGTGGTGGCAGATGCCTGTAGTCCCAGCTACTTGGGAGGCTGAGGCAGGAGAATGGAGTGAACCCGGGAGGCAGAGCTTGCAGTGAGCCGAAATTGAGCCACTGCACTCCAGCCTGGGCAACAGAGCAAGACTCCATCTCAAAAAAGAAAAAATGATTTCCTTTAGATCACTGTGTTAATAATGATTGTTTAATTTATTCAACCACAAACTTCTAGAACACAGTTCTAGACACTTGGGATGCATGAATGAGCAAGACAGATAAAGTTACCTACCCTCTGGAGCTGACATTCCAGGGGAGACAGAAAATAAACACACAAATAAGTAAATTATAAAGTATATTTTAAATGGAATCTTTGATGGATACTCCTAACCCATAAAGACCTCCTACATTTTGCCATTTAACCAAGTGACACAAGCCTATTTATTTATGTGTTTATTTATGTATTTTAGAGACAGGGTCTTGCCCCGTTGCCCAGGCAGGAGTGCAGTGGTGAAATCATAGCTCCCTGTAACCAACTTACTTGATTTTTTATTCTTGAGACAAGAGTCTCGGTCTGTCACCCAGCCTGGAGTGCAGTGGTGCAATCTCAGCTCACTGCAAACTCTGCCTCCCAGGTTCAAGTGATTCTCGTGCCTCAGCCTGCCAAGTAGCTGGGACTACAGGCACACGCCACCACGCCCAGCTAATTTTTGTATTTTTAGTAGAGATCGGGTTTCACTGTGTTGGCCAGGCTGGTCTCGAACTCCTGACCTCAAGTGATCTGCCCACCTCAGCCTCCCAAAGTGCTGGGATTACAGGCGTGAGCCACTTTGCTTGGCCACCAATTTACTTTAAAATGGAAATAAACACTCTCATTTTTTAGTATTCTACCCCAGCAGAATTTAATCCCCTTATGAATCACTGGCATTTTAACTTAATATGGTTATAAAGAACAATTTTTTTTTTTGAGACAGGGTCTCACTTTGTCTTCCACGCAAGAGTTCAGTGGCACAATCACAGCTCACTGCAGCCTCAACTGCCCAGGCTCAAGTGATCCTCCGGCCTCAGCCTCCCAAATGGCTAGGCATATGACACCACTTTGACAAATTTTTTTGTTGTTGTTGTCTTGTTTTTGAGGCAAAATCTTGCTTTGTCGCCCAGGCTGGAGTACAGTGGTGCGATCTCAGCTCACTGCAACCTCTGCCTCCCAGGTTCAAGGGATTCTCGTGCCTCAGCCCCCCGAGTAGCTGGGCCTATAGGCGTGCCCCACCACGCCCAGCTAATTTTTGTATTTTTAGTGGAGATGGGGTTTCACCATGTTGGCCATGCTGGTCTCAAACTCCTGACCCCAAGTGATCTGCTGCCTCGGCCTCCCAAAGTGTTGGTGTTACAGGTATGAGCTACTGAACCTGGCCTAATTTTTTTTTGTTTGTTTGTTTTAAGAGATGTGGTCTAGCTGTGTTGCCCAGGCTGGTCTCAAATTCCCAGGCTCAAGCAATCCTCCCACTTTGGCCTCCCAAAGTACTGGGGTTACTGGTGTGAGCCACCACACCCAGCCCAAAAATTCTTTATGATATACTCCTTTGGGTTAAGGGAAAAAAAGAGAAAAATTCTTTATGAGAAGCATTTTAAACTTAAATTTCCTTTTACTTTAATCTTTATATATACACATACTAATTAATATATAATATATAATCATATATTAATAATACATAATATTATATATATATATAAATGTCCAACCTGGCCAAAGCACAATCATAACCTCAGATGATTTTCATGTAACAATTCCACAAATTTAGTGATTTTATGTTTTTCAAAAACTCAAACTGCCATCAAAATAAAAAGACAAGTAAAAGTGATTTTTTAAAAACTCAAAAAGTTTTATTTGCCTAAGAGAGACTCAGAGACTACTCTTGCCAAAACAGTGACATATATATGGAGTTTGAAATTACAGTTGGCAATAAGAAAATGTTGCTTTTTTGAGGCAGATGTATTTTTGGTTATAGTTCATTTCCACAGTAAACGTGAAGCCATGTGCTTCTGCAAAATCCAACTCTAAGAAGCCTAAAATATAAAATTCTGAGCAAAGGTCAAAATTCTGATTATTTGATTTTTAAAATTTAAAATTTATAAGGTGAATTTTTAGAGATTTAAAGTGCTGCTGATATTTATTTTATTAAATTTTTCTCAGCCAGGTGCAGTGTCTTGTGCCTGTAGTCCCAATATTTTGGGAGGCTGGGCAAGAGGATTGCTTGAGCCTAGGAGTTCCAGACCAGCCTGGACAGCATAGTGAGACCTTGTCTCTACAAAAAAAAAAAAAAAAAAAAAAAAAAAAGCTTTAAAAATTAGCCAAGCATGGTGACACATGGTGGTGGGAGGATCATTTGAGCCCAGGAGGTGGAGGTTTCAGTAAGCCAAGATCTCACCACTGCACTCCAGCCTGGGTGACAGAGCAAGACCCTGTCTCAAAACAAACAAACAAAAAAACCACAAAAACAAAAAAAAGATTTTTCTGTTTATGAGTATCTGCAACTCACTCTTCTTTAGTGAATGTGACTCAGTATCGCAAACTTAAATTTTTACTTGCATGTTACATATGGTGATATTCTAATTCTATCATTCCTTCTTCATTTATTGAGATATTCCTTTTTTTTTCTTTTTTTTTTTTCCCGACAGAGTCTTGCTCTGTCACCCAGGCTGGAGTGCAGTGGCTCTAACTTGGCTCACTGCAACCTCTGCCTCCGAGGTTCAAGTGATTCTCCTGCCTCAGCCTCCCAAGTAGCTGGAATTACAGGCACGTGCCACCAGGCTTGGCTGATTTTTGTATCCTTAGTAGAGATGGGGTTTCACCATGTTGGCCAGGGGTTTCACCATGTCGGCCAGGCTGATCTTGAACTCTTGACCTTGTGATCCACCCGCCTCGGCCTCCCAAAGTGCTGGGATTACAGGTGTGAGCCACCATGCCCAGCCATTTATTGAGATATTTCTATAAAAAGAAGCTCACCTACTGTTTGGCTGCTCAGTGGTTCAGTTCACATAGGAAAGACAGAAAAAAATTACTTGATTCTTTACTTTTGTTTACTAGTTTTCAAAATAATGAGTTGGTTCCTCTGAAAGTGGGCATTAGTTTTTAAAGTACCATTGTGAACCCATGGATTTAAACCTATTTGTGTGTTTCCATTCATTGCCGTTATTATTTATGTTCAAGTTGCCCATCTTTGGCCTGTGGGAGGGTTTTCTATTGATTCCTGTGTTCTCCTGACCTTAGCAGTCTTAGAGAGCTTACGGCAACTGTTAAAATAAAAACTTTAGACAAAATAAATTTAACAGGCTTTCTTTGAGCAAAGAATGCTTCATGAAATGGGCAGCACTCAAAACTGGAAGAGGTTCAGAGAGCTTCACTCTACTAGCTGTGTGAGCAGCAAGCTTTTACAGGCTGACCACAGAAGCAAAAAAAAAGCAGAAATCACCTAATTGGCTACAACTAGGCATTTGTCTTATTTGGGTATGGTGTGATGGGAAGACCCTAGTTACACAACCAATCAGCTGGTTGGCTGTTTGTGATTGACTGAGACTGTTTTGTTTTATTTTGGTTTTATGTCAGTTACAAGAAATGCCTCCCAGTTTTGGTTTGTTTACATAAGAGCTCTAGGCACAGAGACAACCTCAGCCTAATGATCTCCTTATTTGCTTTAACATTTCCTTGCTTTTGGTTGACAAGATGATCCAGCCTCATGTTGAATATTCTGCCTCAAACCTGGGAAACTATGTTCCTAAAGGGTGAAAAATCTGCGGTTATTAAAGAAACTCACCTATCTAAGACATTAGAAGTCCCAACATCTAGCCCAATGCTTGGTGCAGAGTAAGTAGCTAATAAATGTTAGTTGATTGAATAACTTAATGATTATCACTTTCACTAGATTTTAAGTTCCTTGAGGTCAGAGACCATGTACTTCTTTTTTTAAAAAAAAAAGTTTATTGTAAATTGACAAATTATAGTTGTATATATTTATGGGATACAAAGTGGTGTTATGATTTATGAATACAGTATGGAATCATTAAATCAAGCTAATTTACATATTCATTATCTCAAATACTTATCATCTTTCATAGCAAGAACATTTGAAATTTACTTTTAATGATTTTGAAATGTACAGTACACTATTATGCACTATATTCACCATGCCATGCAATAGCCCTCAAAAAAAATCAACTTATTCCTTCTGTGTATCTAAGGCTTTGTACCCTTTTACCATCATCTCCTCATTCCCGCTTCACCCCCTAGCCTTTGGTAACCGTAATTCTGTTCTTTGCTTCTATGTGTTCGATTGTTTTATTGTTTTATTTTTTATTTTTTATTTTTTTGGAGGTGGAGTCTCGCTCTGTCGCCCAGGCTGGAGTGCAGTGGCACAATCTCGGATCACTTCAACCTCCACCTCCCCAGTTCAGGTTCAAGCGATTCTCCTGCCTCAGCCTCCTGAGTAGCTGGGATTACAGGCGCCTACCACCACGCCGGGCTGATTTTTGTATTTTTAGTAGAGATAGGGTTTCACCATGTTGGTCAGGCTGGTCTTGAACGCCTGACCTCGGGTGATCCGCCTGCCTCGGCCTCCCAAAGTGTTGGGATTACAGGCGTGAGCCACCATGCCCGGCCGTGTTGGATTGTTTTAGATTCCACATATAAGTATTGTCTTTGTCCACAAGGTATTTGTCTTTGTGTGCCTAGCTTATTTAAATATGTATAACGTTCTCCAATTCCACCTGCATTGCCACAGATGACAGAATTTCTTTCCTTTTTTAAAGGCTGAATAGTATTTCAGTGGGTATATATACCACATTTTCTTTATCCATCCATCCACTCAGTGATGGACACTTAGGCTGATTCTGTAACTTGGCTGTTGTGAACAGTGCTACAATGTACTTGGGAGTGCAGGCATCTCTTTGACATACTGATTTCAACTCTTGTGGGTGAATACCCAGAGTGGGATTGCTGGATCATATGGTAATCCTGTTTTTAGTTTTTGAGGAACCTCCATACAGTTTTTCATAATGCTGGTACTAATTTATATTCCCACCAACAGTGTACAAGTGCTGTCTTTTCTTCACATCCTCATCAACACTTATCTTTTGTCTTTTTTATAATAGCCTAATTGCCATTCTAACAGGTATAAGGTGATATTGCATTGTGGTTTTAATTTGCATTTTCCTAATGATTAGTTATGTTGATGAGCATTTTTTCATATATCTGTTGGCCATTTCTATGTTGTCTTGTTTTGAGAAATAGCTATTCAGATCCTTTGCCTTTTCTTTTTTCTTATTTTTTTAGAGACAGGGTTTCACTGTGTTGCCCAGGATGGAGTGCAGTGGAGTGATCATAGCTCACTACAGCCTCGAACTCCTTGGCTCAAGCCATCTCCCCACCTTAGCCTTCCAAGTAGCTGAGACTACAGGTGGAAGCTACCCACACCCAGCCATTTGCCCATTTTAAAATAAGATTATTTGTTTTCTTTCTATAGAGTTGTTTAAGTTCTTTCTATATTTTGGACATTAATCCCTTATAAGACTTATGGTTTGCAAATGTTTTATCCCAATATGTGCATTGTCTCTTTACTCTGTTAATTATTTCCTTTGTTGTGCACAAGCTATTTATTTATTTATACAGAGTTTCACTCTGTCACCCAGGCTGGAGTGCAGTGGCGCAATCTCGGCTCATTGCAACCTCTGCCTCCCAGGTTCAAGTGATATTCCTGCCTTGGCCTCCTGAGTAGCCAGGATTACAGGTGCCCGTCACCATGCCCAGCTAATTTTTGTATTTTTAGTAGAGACGGGGTTTCACCATGTTGGCCTGGCTGGTCTCAAACTCCTGACCTCAGGTGATCCACCTGCGTTGGCCTCCCAAAGTGCTAGGATTACAGGTGTGAGCCACCGCTCCTGGCCTGCTTTTTATTTTTATGTAATCCCCTTTGTCTGTTTTTGCTTCTCTTGCCTGTACTTTCAGGGTCAAATTATCTTTGCCTAAACCAATGTTGCGTAGCTTTTCCCATATGTTTTCTTCTAGTAGTTTTATAATTTCTTGTATTATATTAAGTCTCTATTCCATTTTCAGTTGATTTTTGTCCATAGTGTGAGATAAGGATCCAGTTTCATTCTTCTGCATATGGATATCCAGTTTTCCCCAACATCATTTATTGAAGAGACTGTCCTTTTCCTGTTGTGTATCCATGGCATCTTTGTCAAAAGTCAATTGACCATATATGCATGGGTTCATTTCTGGGCTCTCTACTCTGTTCCATTGGTTGCTATGTCTATTTTTATGACATTACTATGCTGTTTTAATTACTGTTGTTTTGTGGTATAGTTTTAAATCAAGTAGTAAGATGTCTCCAGCTTTGTTTTTTTACTCATTATTGCCTTGGCTATTTGAGTTTTTTGTGGTTCCATATGAATTTTAGGAAGGTATTTTTCTATTTCTATGAAAAAGGACATTGGCATTTTGGTAGGGATTGCATTGAATCTATAGCTCGCTTTGGGCAGTATGGGCACTTTAACAATATTAATTCTTCCAGTCCATGAACACTGGATATCTTTTCATTTATTTGTGCAGATACCATATACTTCTAATAAGTATTTGTAGAATAGACAAATGAAAGGTGAAAACCAACAATTAGGTGGTCCCACTGAAGTCTCAGGCAGGGCAGAACCCTGAAACTTGTGGTCTTCTATTATCCTCTGGTGGGAAGTGTAGGAGCATTGTTTTCTAATGCCTCAAACTCTCTTAATGCAGTGTTTTCCAAACTACAGGTTCTTACCCTTTAGTGGGTTATAAAATCATTTCAGTGGGTCATGACCAGCATTTTAAAAAATTGAATTAAATTTCTGAGTAGAAAACATCAGAGTACTTCACACATGGTAGAGGAAAATTCTGCCATAAATTGTCATAAAACTATTTCTTTTTTTCTTTTTCCTTTTTCTTTTTTTTCTTTTCTTTTTTTTTTGAGACAGAGTCTCACCCTGTCACCCAGACTGGAGTGCAGTGGCGCAGTCTCAACTCACTGCAACCTCCACCTCCCGGGTTCAAGTGATTCTCCTGCCTCAGCCTGCTGAGTAGCTGGGACTACAGGCATGTGCGACCACACCCAGCTCATTTTTGTATTTTTAGTAGAGTCAGGGTTTTACCATGTTGGCCAGGCTGGTCTCAAACTCCTGACCTCAGGTGATCCGCCCGCCTCTGCCTCTCAAAGTGCTGGGATTACAGGCGTGAGCCACCGCGCCCAGACATAAAACTATTTCTATATTCCTATTAGCATATATATTTGCTTATACACTATATAAATTTTTATGTGTGTACTAGGCCACAACCAGTGATTTGTTGATAAAAGTTTAACTATTGGCCGGGCGCGGTGGCTCACGCCTATAATCCCAGCACTTTGGGAGGCTGAGGCGGGCAGATCACGAGGTCAGGAGATCGAGACCATCCTGGCTAACACGGTGAAACCCCGTCTCTACTAAAAATACAAAAAATCAGCCGGGAGTGGTGGCAGGCGCCTGTAGTCCCAGCTGCTCAGAGGCTGAGGCAGGAGAATGGCGTGAACCCGGGAGGCGGAGCTTGCAGAGAGCCGAGATCGCCGCTACCGTACTCCAGCCTGGGCGACAGAGGCAGACTCTGTCTCAAAAAAAAAAAAAAAAAAAAAAGTTTAACTATTAAGGCCAGGCGTGGTGGCTCACACCTGCCAACATGGTAAAACCCCATCCGTACTAAAAATACAAAAATTATCCAGGTGTGGTGATGCATGTCTGTAATCCCAGCTACTTAGGAGGCTGAGGCAGGAGAATCGCTTGAACCTGGGAGGTGGAGGTTGCGGTGAGCCGAGATCGTGCCACTGCGCTCCAGCCTGGGAGACAAAGCAAGACTCTGTCTCAAAAAAATAAAAAATAAAATAAAATAAAGGTTTACTATTGGCTCTCTAGGGAAACATGTATAAGCATATACCTACCTATGTTTATTATAAATGTTTCTTAATGTGTAGCACATTATTTACAAATAATAAAATATATGGCCAGGCTTGGTGGCTTACACCTGTAATCCCAGCACTTTAGGAGGTTGAGATGTGCAGATTGCTTGAGCCCAGGAGTTTGAGACCAGCCTGGGCAACATGGCAAAACCACATCTGTACCAAAAAATGTACAAAAATTAGCTAGAGGTGATGGCTGATTTAGTCCGCCTGTAGTCCCAGCTACTCGGGATGCTGAGGTGGGAGGATCACTTGAGCCCAGGAGATTAAGGCTGCAGTGAGCCATAATCACACCACTGCACTCCAGCCTGGGCAACAGAGTGAGAACTTGTCTTAAAAAAAAAAAAAAGAAAGAAAGAAAAGAAATATATAAATACTCTTTGTTATAACTATAGCTAATTGATTCTCACAGAATGCTTTTATTGATTTTTGTTGGATTCTTGTAACCATAGGCAACCTGTGGTTTCAATTCAACCATGTTTTGACAAATGGAGTTGACTCTCAATGTAGACAAACCAAATAAATCCCTGATTTGTAGCACCTGCCAATTTCCATAGTGTAAATACTCCCCCTGTGGCTGATTTCAAGCTCTCAATGTGACATCACTGAATAGATTTGGGAAGAGTTGTGCAGGAGCTTACCATACAGGAACAATAGATGTAAGTTACCCCAAGAGCATAGATAATAATAAAACATAGTAAAATAATTAGTAACTAATGAGTTTTGAGTATTTTCAGTTTGTTTTTTTATATATGTAACTTTTTTTTTTTTTGAGAGAGGATTTTGCTCTGTTACTCAGGCTGGAGAGCAGTGGCATGATCACAGCTTACTGCAGCCTCAGTCTCCTGGGCTCAAGCCATCCTCCCACCTCAGCCTCCTGAGTAGCTGGGACTGCAGGCACACACCACCATGTTTGGCTAATTTTCGTATTTTTTGTAGAGATGGGATCTCCCTATGTTACCCAGGCTGGTCTGGAACTCCTGGGCTTAAGCGATTCACCTGTCTTGGCCTCCCAAAGTGCTGGGATTACAGGGGTGAGCCAACAGGCCCAGGCCCTATAATGCAGTTCTTAATATGGCTGTGTTTGACAATCACCCCGCAAAAGTTCTGAAAATTTAATCATCAGCTCTTGCAGGCTGGTATGAGTTGACTACAGCACATCATTTCACTCACAACATAAATATGTATTTCCCAATACTGATTCAATTTTTTTTTAAATACAAAAACTTCTCTAGAGACCTGCAACAATTTTTTCAGGTTGAGTTTAACCCAGTCTTCAAAAATCTCCAGCCATGGTGGCCAAGCGTGGTGGCTCATGCCTGTAATCCCAGCACTTTGGATGCTGAGGCAGGAGGATTGCTTGAGGCCAGGAGTTCAAGGCTACAGTGAGCTATGATCGCACCACTGCCCTCCAGCCTGGGAGTGCAGAGCAAGATCCTGTCTCAAAAAAAAAAAAAAAAAGAAAAAGAAAAAAAGAAAAGAGAAAATGGAAGGAAGGAAGGAAGGGAGGGAGGGAAAGAAAACTCTCCAGGAATGAAACTGCAGTTTCAAAGGAAACAAACCCATTTCCTTTCTCAAAAATACAAATCCTGAACCTTTCAGAAGGTACTCTTTGGACAGTCCCTCGGGGTGATATTTAGTGTTTATATTCACCGAGCAGTCTTTCCCTCCTTCTTGGGTTGGGGGACGTATCTGGATTTTCTTTGGAGGAACCACACAGCTAATAAGGAGGAGAACCGGCACTCAAACCCAGCATCCCTGCTCTTAATTCTTATGCTGTTTGCTAAGGAAAGCCACAGTAATTGAGCACCTGACAAACTCAAGGAGACAGAGATGGTATCAGATACTATTTACAAGCTGCCTTCATAAATAACCCCTTTCTGGCTATGTAGTTTTTATTCCCAATCATGAAATGCCAAATTGGTATAATTATCACTATATTTTATTTTTTAAACCAAGCATTCTGAAGGCCTGGAAGCATCTTGCTATATAAGAACTCTAATCAGATAAATGCAATTTACAGATATGAAGGTCATCTTAAGATGGTTTTAAGGAATTATTATTTTCATTAATTTGTTGATTCTCTGCATGAGACTATAAACATTAGTCCATTGTAGGCATAAATCAGGCTAACATTTCCCAGTGTGGTAGCTGTCCTTGGTATAGAGACACAAAATTATTTTGGGCAGCTAGTGATGATGAATATTTCGATAGAAATTTTTCTTTGGGCCGGGTGTGGTGGCTCACGCCTGTAATCCCAGCACTTTGAGAGGCAGAGGCAGGAAGATCACTTGAGGCTAGGAGTTGGAGACCAGCCTGGTCAACATGGCGAAACCCTGTCTAAAAATACAAAAAAATTAGCCAGGTGTGGTGGCATGTGCCTGTAGTCCCAGCTGCTTGGGAGGGTGAGGCAGGAGACTACCTTGAACCCGGGAGGCAGAGGTTACAGTGAGCCAAGATCAAAATAGCTTGGCCTCCCAAAGTGCTGGGATTACAGGCGTGAGCCACCACGTCTGGCCTAAAATGCCCATCTCTTGATATGACTATATATGTGTGTATTGGCTGGGTTTGTGGCTTTTGGAATAAACTTCTGTTGTTTAAAACAAGTTTAGGGTTGGGCACGGTGGCTCGCACCTGTAATCCTAGCACTTTGGGAGGCCGAGGCAGGAGGATCACTGGAGCCCAGGCGTTCGAGATCAACCTGGGCAACATAGTGAGACCCCATCTCTATTTAAAACTAAAGAAAAAAAAAGGAATAAAAATAAACTGAGTTTATAGTAATTTATTAGAGCTGCCACAGGAAACTAACATTGGGGTAAGGGAATGAGTCCAAGGTTGGGAACTGAAATAGACACCCAGCCCTAACCAGGGGTGAGGGGTTAGTTTTGTGATAAACTGAGCAACTGAGTCTCCAACAACTTCATGTGATCTCCCCATTAACCCCCAGCATCCAGCATTTTCATCCAACAGGCATAGATAGCTGTTTTGTGTTTCTTTGTGTGCTTTTTAAGACGGTCTCGCTCCGTGGCCCAGGCTGGAGTGCAATGGGACCATCACAGCTCACTGCAACCTCAAATTCCTGGGCTCAAGCAATCCTCCCACCTCAGCCTCCTGAGTAGCTGGGACCACAGGCCTGAGCCACCAAGTCAGCTAGTTTTTAAAATTATTTCTTATAGATACTGAGTCTCACTGTGTTGCCCAGGTGAAAATAAATTTAGAAATTTAAACTTTAAATGTAATAATTGCACCAGGTGAGATGGCTCACTCCTGTAATCTCAGCACTTTGGGAGGTGAAGGCTGGCAGATCACTTGAGGTTAAGATTTGGAGAGGTCAGATCACTTGAGGACAGGAGTTGGTCAGCCTGGCCGACATGGTGAAACCCCATCTCTACTAAAAATACAAAAATTAGCTGGGTGTGGTGGTGCGTGCCTGTAATCCCAGCTACTCGGGAGGCTGAGGCAGGAGAATCGCTTGAACCTGGGAGGCAGAGGCCTGCAGTGAGCTGAGATCGCGCCACTGCATTCCAGCCTGGGCAACAGAGCGAGACTATGTCTCTAAATAAATTAATTATATTAATTAATTAATTTAATAACTGCAGAGCGTGGTGGCTCACACTTGTAATTGCAGCATTTTAGGAAGCCGAGGCAGGAGGATCGCTTGAGCCCAGGAGTTTGAGACCAGCCTCGACAACGAAGCAAAACCCTGTCTCTACAGAAATAAAAATAAAAAAAATTAGCCAGGTGTGGTGGTGCCCGCCTGTGGTCCCAGCTACTCGGGAGGCTGAGGTGGGAGTATTGCTTGAGACCAGAAATTTGAGGTTGCGGTGAGCTGCGACGGTGCCATTGCACTCCAGCCTGGGCGACAGAGAGGGACCCCCCCCCAACTAACTAATAAATAAATAAATACAATAATTATTCCTAAGGAAACTTCATCTCATGTCCCTCTACGTGTGCCAACGTAATGAACCCCTGAGCTCATAAACTAGCTTTTGGGAAAGGTTGATCTCCTCTTGTCTCTCGCATTTTACAGATGAGAAAACTAAGACTCAGATGGCAGAGGTGTCTCCGAGGCTCCAAGAAAGATCAAATGATGCTGTGACTACTGCTCCAATTCTCCAGGGCTACATTTATCCTCTTCCAGCCTCCAGCAAATACTTTCACAAGCGCTTTTTCCCAGACCAGAGCAAGACGCGGAGGCTCGGGGAGAGGAGGCGGCCAGGAGAGCGCAGAGGAGACGAGCGAGTTCGGGGACCGTCACGCGCCAGAGGCAGCAGCGGCCACGAGGGGGAGCGCGCGGGCTCCGGAGCCCAAGCACGCCTCAAGCTGTGGGACTCGCGGGCAGTGCGCATGCGCTCGAAGGGAGGTGGAGGCGCAGGTCCGGGCGAAGGGCGATACGGTGGCCGAGAGGGCACGGAGAGGAGGACGGTGGCTGACGAGATCCGGCATGGAGCATCTGGAGCGCTGCGAGTGGTTGTTGCGGGGGACGCTGGTGCGGGCGGCCGTGCGGCGCTACCTGCCCTGGGCCCTGGTGGCCTCCATGCTGGCGGGCTCCCTCCTCAAGGAGTTGTCCCCGTTGCCCGAGAGCTACCTCAGCAACAAGCGCAACGTCCTCAACGTGTGAGTGCACCCCGGTCCTCCGCTGTCCCCGCCCGAGCCGGCCCGCTGTCGCCTCGCCCAGAGAAGCCGGTGCTAGCTGCCGTGGTGGACGAGTCATTGGAGGGGAGGTCCTCCTCCTAGCCGTGACAGCAGCATCTGCACGCGTGTCACGCCTGGGAGGCCCCGGGGTAGCTGGTGTCACTAGCAGTTAGTGTTTGCAGACCCACTTTGGGCAGCATGAGCTTGACTGGGCAGGTGGTGACAAGCGGGGTCGTGTGTGTCTCTGTATATGTAGGGGTGTGGAATGGGGTGGGGATGAACCAGCCCCTGTCACCACTCCCCCGCCTCCCCTTGGAGTTAGGAGCTGACCCCTGCCCTGTTTGGGAGATGCCATCTCACCTCTGTCCTGCCTGCCTGTGGCAGACCCCGCGCAGACCCCACCCTGCGTCAGATCAGATCCCTCCAGCGCGTGACAGAATCCCTTTACGACCTGTGGAAGAGCCTCGCCCCAGCCTGTGACAGGCAGAGCCCCCGCCTGTGAGATACTCACAGAGGGCTGGAACCCCCTAGTCTGTGCCCTTTCCCCTGGATCTCCTTGGATCATCTCAGCCACTCAGAATGCATGGCAGTGGCCCAGAAAAGCAATCCCAGCTGGGCGCTTTGAGACATCTCCTTAACTCCACCCATCCACTCCTTTGCTTGCTTACTTGCTTTTTTCAAAACTCCCGGTTAGTAAGTTTATTGCACAAAAACTCTGTTGCGGTCATAAAGGGAAACTCTGAAAGATAAAACTGCTCCCTTGATGTGAGCCTAAGTGTTTTCCAGAATAAGTGTCTCTGGCGTGTCCTGAAAGTCAGCCCAACTTTGGTTATCTGCTTAAAACCCTGGTTCCTTTCACAGGCAGCTTCCTCAAATGCCTGACGGGTCTTGGCTCTGGCAAGATCTTCCTTATCAGTCCCAGTGAAGATTTTAGTGACAGGCCTGGGGGTGGTGCCTGAGAATCCATTGGAACCTAGAAAAAAGTCCTTCTGTCCTTGGTCCACCTTCCTTCCTCACCCACCCTGAGAGGCTGGGCTAAGAATAGATCATGAGAGTGGTAGTGGCCCCAAGTCTCTGTCCTGGGTTTAGGTCAGCCACCTTTCGTGAACGCTGGGGAGGCGGACAAGGCAGCTGCTGCTTCCTCTGGCCTAGGTGAGCTGGGAGCCAAGTGGCCTGGCTGACAACACACCCCTGTTGTTTGAAGGTAGTCATGGATCCTGGAGTTTTGTTCCAAGCCTCTGTGCTGATTAATGAGAGGGAACTAGTGAATCCTGGGATATAGAAGGGACCTTAAAAATCATTTGGTCCTCTCAGCTCTGTTTGATAGCTGAAGAAACTGAGGCCTGGAAAGGTAGGAGGTATAGTAAGTTAAGTAAGAGTGAAGATTTGAACCCGTAAGAGTGAAGATTTGAACCCCGGTCTTTTGGCTTAAAGTAAGACCTTGTTGCAAGACTGTTTCTGCCGTTAGGAAAGAACCAGGCTGGGCGCAGTGGCTCACACCTGTAATCCAGGCACTTTGGGAGGCCAAGGCAGGTGGATCACTTGAGGTCAGGAGTTCAAGACCAGCCTGGCCAACGTGGTGAAACCCCATCTCTACTAAAAATACAAAAATTAGCCTGGCGTGGTGGTGCGTGCCTGTAATTCCAACTACTGAGGAGGCTGAGGCAAGAGAATCACTTGAACCTGGGAGGCGGAGGTTGCAGTGAGCTGAGATCATGCCACTGCATTCCAGCCTGGATGGCAGAGTGAGACTTTGTCTCAAAATAAATAAATAAATAAAAATAAAAATACAAAAATTAGCCGAGTGTGGTGGTAGGTGCCTGTAATCCCAGCTACTCCGGAGGCTGAGGCAGGAGAATTGCTTGAACCCGGGAGGCGGAGGTTGCAGTGAGCCGAGATCGTGCCACTGCACTCCTGGGTAATAAGAGTGAAAACTCTGTCTCAAAAAAAAAAAAATCATTTGGTCCCCCCAGCTCTGTTTAATAGCTGAAGAAACTGAGGGCTGGAGAGGTAGGAGGTATAATAAGTTAAGTCAGAGTCAAGAGTTGAACCCGTGTCTTTGGCTTAAAGTAAAGCTCATTGTTGTAAGACTGTTTCTGCCATTAGGAAAGAACCAGGCCAGGTGCATGGCTCATATCTATAATCCCAGCACTTTGGGAGGCTGAGGCAGGATAATTGCTTGAGGCCTGGAGTTCAAGACCAGTGGGGGCAACATAGCAAGGCCCCATCTCCACAAAAATAATAATTAAAAAAAATTAG
The DNA here is from genome assembly GCF_000001405.40 of Homo sapiens. Taxonomy (NCBI): domain Eukaryota; kingdom Metazoa; phylum Chordata; class Mammalia; order Primates; family Hominidae; genus Homo; species Homo sapiens. The sequence continues at coordinate 44,308,698 of NC_000020.11, read as the reverse complement.
CCAGGCACATTGGTACACACCTGTAATCCCAGCTATTTGTGAGGCTGAGGCAGGAGGATTGCTTGAGCCCAGGAGTTTGAGGCTGCAGTGAGGTGTGATTGTGCCACTGCACGCAAGCCTGGGGGACAGAGTGAGATCCTGTCTCAGAAAAATAAAAATAAAAAATAAAAAACCACATATGGTATGGGAGAAACAGCATGAGTCTGGGGGCTATCCAAACCGTGGTTTAATCTGTTCATGCTGGTTGTGTGAGTGTGACCCTGGCAAGGTACTGAACTTTTCTGAGCCTTAGATTTCTTGTCTATAAAATGGAACAATGGCACCTTCCTCCCAGGGTAAATGTGAGTGCTCTATGGGAAAGTGAATGTGTGTGAAAGCTCCTGGCATTTGGTAAATGCTCAGTTATTATTATTTATTTATATTATTTTCCTAAGTAAATAACATAGTGCTTAAGACGACAGATCCTGGATTTGAATCCTGGCTCCTCCGCTTCTGGCCTCCACTTTTGGTGTGGCACTTCCCTCTGTCTCAGTTTTCTTCTCTGTTAAAGGCAGATATTAACAGTACTTAACTCATAGAGTTGTTTTTTTTCGTTTGTTTTGTTTTGTTTTTGAGATGGAGTCTCGCTCTATCGCCCAGGCTGGAGTGCAGTGGCACAATCTCGGCTCACTGCAAGCTCCGCCTCCCGGGTTCATGCCATTCTCCTGCCTCAGCCTCCCGAGTAGTTGGGACTACAGGCGCCCGCCACCACGCCTGGCTAATTTTTTGTATTTTTGGTAGAGACAGGGTTTCACCATGTTAGCCAGGATGGTCTCGATCTCCTGACCTCGTGATCTGCCCACCTCGGCCTCCCAAACTGCTGGGATTACAGGCGTGAGCCACCGCGCCCGGCCAACTCATAGAGTTGTTAATGGATTACCTGGTTAATACATTTAAAGTACTTACACAGGGGTGGGGTAGGGGAGGAGGGGAGGGCTGGGCACAGTGGCTCATGCCTGTAATCCCAGGACTTTGGGAGGCCAAGGTGGCCGGAGCATTTGAGGCCAGGAGTTCGAGACCAGCCTGGCCAACATGGTAAAACCCCCTCTCTACTAAAAATACAAAAATTAGCCAGGCGGGGTGATGCGCACCTGTAATCCCAGCTACTTGGGAGGCTGAGGCAGGAGGATTGCTTGAACCCGGGAGGCGGAGGTTGCAGTGAGCTGAGATTGCGCCACTGCACTCCAGCCCGAGTGACAGAGCGAGACTCTGTCTCAAAAATAAATAAATAAATAAATAAATAAAGTACTTAGTAAGTGAAGTATATGGTAAGTACCTAAAACATGATAGTTGCTATGAGCTGTAGCTTTGATCAGTTTTCTCATTTTCCCTCCCCTGACAGTGTAGAGACCTGAGTCCTGACATGGTGTCCTCTCCACCGTGTTCCCTCTCTTCACTTCCACTTTCCTCCTCTGTCAGGTATTTTGTCAAAGTGGCCTGGGCCTGGACGTTCTGTCTCCTTCTGCCTTTCATTGCCCTCACCAACTACCATCTGACCGGCAAGGCTGGCTTGGTCCTGCGGCGGCTGAGCACCCTGCTTGTGGGCACGGCCATCTGGTACATCTGCACCTCCATCTTCTCCAACATCGAACACTACACGGGCAGCTGCTACCAGTCCCCAGCCCTGGAGGGGGTCAGAAAGGAACACCAGAGCAAGCAGCAGTGCCACCAGGAAGGGGGCTTTTGGCATGGCTTTGACATCTCAGGTCACTCCTTCCTGCTGACCTTCTGCGCCCTCATGATTGTAGAAGAGATGTCTGTGCTGCATGAGGTGAAGACGGACCGAAGCCACTGCCTCCACACCGCCATCACCACCCTGGTTGTGGCCCTGGGCATTCTGACTTTCATCTGGGTGTTGATGTTTCTGTGCACAGCTGTTTATTTCCACAACTTGTCCCAGAAGGTGTTTGGCACCTTGTTTGGTTTGCTGAGCTGGTACGGGACATACGGGTTTTGGTATCCGAAAGCCTTTTCCCCAGGACTTCCTCCCCAGAGCTGTAGTTTGAATTTGAAGCAAGATAGTTACAAGAAATAAAAGAGTAACAGAGGGGGGACAGAAGGACAATGGCTAATCTATTTTTCAAATATATATTTTGCTTAGTTATTTGGCTAAATTATTGATCCTACTTCAGAGGGAAAGTGTACCAGGCAGTTTTGGTGGGTGGTGCTGAAGTCTGGGGAGTGAGTTTAGTCTTCAGACTATTCTTGGCGACATCACCAGTGTTGCAAGCACCACCATTCCCAGTTAGGCACTTTTTGTCCCTGGTAAGACTTGACCTTTATCTGGAACACTCCTTTTGTCCCTAGAGTGGGGACCTAAGGCTCAGCAAAAGGGCAGAATCAGGAAAGCCTTTATGGTGTGGCTAAAGGAGTGGCCAGAGCCTTGGGACTCCTTTGCTGCCTTCTCCCTGGTTCCAGTTGTCTTTAGATTTTCACGGCTCTTACTGCTGTTACTTAACAGTATTTTCCAGCCAGGCATGGTGGTTCACACCTCTAATCCCTGCACTTTGGGAGGCCGAGGCAGGCGGATCACCTGAGATTGGGAGTTCGAGACCAGCCTGTCCAACATGGCGAACCTCGTCTCTTCTAAAAATACAAAAATTAGCTGGGTGTGGTGGCACATGCCTGTAATCCCAGCTACTCAGGAGGCTGAGGCAGGAGAATTGCTTGGACCTAGGAGGTGGAGGTTGCAGTGAGCTGAGATCGCACCACTGCACTCCAGCCTGGGTGACAGAGCAGACTCCACCTCAAAAAAGAAAAAACAAAACAAAACAGTATTTCCCACTGGTCAGTTTTGCATAGGCATCTATTTCAGGCAGGGTTTTTTTCTTTTTTTTGAGATGGAGTTTTGCTCTTGTTGCCCAGGCTGGGGTGCAATGGCCCGATCTCGGCTCACCGCAACCTCCACCTCCCAGGTTCAAGCGATTCTCCTGCCTCAGCCTCCCGAGTAGCTGGGATTACAGGCATGCGTCACCACACCAGGCTAATTTTGTATTTTTAGTAGAGATGGGGTTTCTCCATGTTGGTCAGGCTGGTCTCAAACTCCTGACCGCAGGTGATCCACCTGCCTCGGCCTCCCAAAGTGCTGGGATTACAGGCATGAGCCACCGCGCCCGGCTCAGGCAGGGTTCTTTATAAAAACAGCCTGATGCCTGAAGGACACTCTCTGGTTGTAATATTTGTTTCATCCATGAAGTGTTTAAATATTGCAACTGACTTGCGATTAGCCACCAAAACAGGCCCTTTTAGATGCAGTGCCTCTCCGACCAAGTATTGGATGATTCATACGTAATGGACTATGATCATTTTCTGTCCATGTTTTCTATTACTATATGCTGGTTTTTTTGGAGCAATAAGATTACTTTTTTTCTGTTCTATTTTGAGCGAATCCTTTACAGTTTTTGATAAGAACTGTGACATTTGTTCTTTGTTGATAAAACTCCTGAAAATAACTCACAAGGCCAGTGCTGCACTCTGGCACATGTAGGTTGTTTTGAGGGTTTGTTGGTTGGTTGGTTGGCTGGTTGATTGGTTGGTTGGTTTAGAACACTAATGTACTTGTTATGAACCAAACTCTGGTCTTACAGTCTTAAATTCCACCTCATGGGGCTGTTTTCTCTGTTAGCAATGAAACCTGGGCCAGGTGTAGTGGCTCACACCTATAATCCTGGCACTTTGGGAGGCTGAGGTGGGAGGATTACTGGATCCCAGGAGTTTGAGACCAGCCTGGGCAACATAGTGAGACCCTGGTTTCTATAAATAAATAAGATAATCAAACCAGAAAGCAGGCATTTTAGTAACAGCCTGTTGAATTTTAAGGTGAATCAAGGTAATTTTGCAGAATGCGTTCTTGCACCGAAATGTCCCTGACCACATATCAGTGGTATAGACTGAACAGTGTGCTTCAGGGTCATGTGCTGAGTGCACTGATCACTCTGCTGTGGCCCAGGGCATCTGTACCTGTTGGACAAGATTATGATAATTCAGAAGTGAAGTAAAATGCCTCCCTCTGATGGCAAAAAGCCAACCTGTTTGCAAAATCACCCTTATTGAAGGGTGGCATGGCTGTGGTCCCTCCCTCCTGTTACTTGCATCACCAACCAAACTAAACCAAACCATACCTGGGCCTGTTCAGCTGGACTTGAAATCAGTTTCCTTTTTCTCTCCCCTTTGCAGCACTTTTCAGTTTCCAGCTTTGTCATTCTGTGGCCTTTGCTGTGACAATGCTGGGAAGGGTTAGAAATCCTGTCACCTCCATCCACAAAGGCACAGTTCCACGCCCTGTGATAAGATATCCCCTCTTCTCTCCCAGACTGTCTCCTTAAGCCTTTCAAACTGAGCCCCTTGCTGTTGGGGTAATCACCCTTAAGGCCGCCTTGATGCCCCTCTCTCCAATCAAGTCCAATAGTAGCATTAACTGAGAAGCACTACACCTGACTGGCTTCACTGAAGCTTAAGTGGTTGAGGATGAATCTTCGGTGTAAAATCTTTTACTATAAGGATATATTTTAAATATTTCATATCCCATCAAGTTGGAGGTTAATTTTATCCATCACAATGAGTCATGATTTGTTGCACCCAAAAGGAGCAGAAACACAGGTGATGAGATATGGGAGGTGGCACCATGGTGCTTTGGAGGCGTTGGTAAGATGTGACCCTCTGTTGCCTATGCCCATAAACCAGTGGTGGGAGTGGCCATGGAGTAGATGGCAGGGGCTTGTTGAAGGGATTGAAAGCTCTCCTAGGCTAGGCATGGTGGCTCACACCTGTAATCCTAGCACTTTGGGAGGCTGAGATGGGAGGATCACTTGAGGTTGGGCCAGCCTAGCCAACATGATAAAACCCCGTCTCGACTAAAAATACAAAAATTAGCCAGGTGTGGTGGTACACGCCTGTAATCCCAGCTACTCGGGAGGCTGGGGCAGGAGAATCGCTTGAACCCAGGAGGCAGAGGTTGCAGTGAGCTAGGATCACGCCACTGCACTCCAGCCTGAGCGACAGAGTGAGACTCTGTCTCAAAAAAAAAAAAGGCTCTCCAAAGTGTCATGTTCAGCACCAAAAGGGAATAGGCACAGGGTGACCCCAGAAGTTCATTTGTGACACTTAAATCTCCAGATATTTATCCCACGTGGGTCTGATGCGGGCTCAGCACTAAATTAACTGTATGTGGAAAGTGTCAATTGCAGAGCCTTCTGTATCGATGAGGCTTCCGCCACTTGTCCATGCTTAGCCCCCTTGCCTCTTCCTTGGGAGCATGCTTTCTATTCCTATGTGAAACAGCCTGACATAAGTGAAAGGATTTGGGCTCAAGCAAACATGAGATGTGGGTTCATATCTTGGCACCACTCCTGATAGCTGTGTGATCATGGCAAACCTCGTTTTCATCGTCTGTCAGGTGGAGATGAAGAGAAATGGTGCATGTAAAGTGCTCAGCATCTGTGCTTAGCAGGCCATAGTCTCCCTGCCTCCTTTTTCTTGAGTAAGCCTTTAGAACTTTCTGACTCCTCTAGAGAAGGCAGAGAAACGAATATATTTTGGGTGCCATTTGGAGTCTGGGTCTTTTGTTAAAATTGTCCTGTATTATGTTGAAAAGTGTCGGTTACCCCCAGGCTCTGGGGGCATCTGTGATCATAGAATACTGCCATGCTTATTTTGCCTTTCTATGTTGAGATTAATTCACTGACGCCTCATTTTCCACGTGCATCTGTCATAGTCTGGGTACCAGATTGTATTTAGAGAATGGCTCTTGCCACTGTTATGTACACACAGATCGTGTGTGTAAACAAGCAAATTAAAGTAAACTGAGATAATGAAATCCCATATTTCAGCATTTTGTGTGTTCTTTTCTAATACTCTTAAGGAAGCGCAGAGCCCAATAAACCTCAGCGCACTTCGTGAAAGTAGGTAATTCTTTCTCAATTTAACTTGTCATATACGGGTTATTTTATGGCTAGAGTTGCTCCTGTTTTTCCCCGTATGTCTTGTAATATAAATGCATGTTCAGACATGTATTTATTAGCTTGACTTACTCCTTCCCTGTGTGCCACCTTCATGTCTTACAGTCCTGAGGTCAGGATCAGCCAGACTTGGGAGCAGTTCTCTTGGTAAAAAGTGAAGTAGGCCTCACAGAAGCAACACTGAAGAGCACTTTCAAAGTTTACTCAGATGAGGTCACCTTTGCAAGTGCTTTGTAGTCCTGGAGGCCTGTACACATGTGAGAGCTTCTTGTGCCTTTTAGTGCCCACTCGTTTGTCAGCCTGACCTGCTTGGCACGTCCAGGAAGTGTCTGTTGAAAGCTCCGTGGCTCCAGGATCAGAATCCCCTCCTGTTGCAGAACTTCCCTGTTCAGATTCCTTTGGCAGCAACAAACCCTTCTTGGGCTCACACTGTGAGCTGGGAGCTGGGGTGGAATGATAAACTCCCCTCCGCGTGGAGATTGTGGTTCAAAGTCCATCCTTTTGTAGCTTAAGCTGTGTGCTGGTGTTGCAAAGATGAATTTGGTCCATCTCTGCCTTGGAAGAGTTTTCACTCTCATGGAGAAGAACCAATCCTGCCATAAAGGGTTCTGAGTGCTGGGGCAAGGTCAGGGCCAAGAACATAAAGCAGGGAACAACCAGAGGCCCTGGAGAGTCAGGGAATATTTTCAAAGAAGGCAGCAATTCTTTGGGTTTTGATGGATGAGGAGGAGTTCAAGCAGTTAGGCAGAGAAGGGAATCCAAGGCAGTGGGGACAGCACACACAAAGGCTCATAGATATGTTACCATGATTTTTATGCGGACATCCATTTTCAAGAAGCCTCACTTTCCTGTCATTTTTAAAAGCAACTGAGATTGGAAGGAAGTTAGCCTTAAAGGACTGTGAGTGGAGATCATAGATACTCCCTGCTGTAACATAAAGAGCACTCAGTGCTGTGGTTTGAATATATTTTCCAAAGTTCATGTCTTGGAAACTTAATCCCCAATGCAACAGCATTGAGGTGGGACCATTAAGAGGTAATCAGGTTATGAGGCCTCTGGCCTCATGAATGGGTTAATGCCAGTATTTGGGGAGTGGGTTTGTTACCATGAGAGGAGCATCTTTATAAAGGATGAGTTTGTCCCCTAGCCCCCAAAATCTTTGGCCCTTTTGCCTTCCACTATAGGATGATGTAGCAAGAAGGCCCTAGCCAGATGCCAGCCCTTTGATCTTGGACTTCCCAGCCTCTAGAACTGTAAGAAGTCACTGTTCTTTATAAGTTACCCAGTCTGTGGTCTTGTGTTATAGCAGCACAAAATGGACTAAGATGCTCAGCTGGAAGTTAGAGCACCTGGCTTTGAGGTGGGTTCTGCTGCTGGTTTTTCCACTCTTTTGTGTGACCTTGAACTAGTCACTCAACATCTCTGGGTTTCAATTTCCTCCTGTAATAAACGATGGGGTTGGACTGGATAATCTCACCAACTCTTTGAATCTTTTCTACTGTTTCTCTGTTCTGCTTGATGAAAAGTTCTTCCCAAGCTGACTATGGCTTTTATTTTTGGAAACAACATGAAAAGAAACTCCCACTCAGAGCTGTTGTGGCAGCTGGTTTCTTGGTGAATGATGGGGGAAGCAGACCTCTGGGTGGACTTTGTTGCAGCCCTGCCTCCTTTTTCTCTACATCAACACACAAATGTAGTTCAGGCCTGGTTGCGCATGTTCACATAGGTTTAATGGACATGGGGAGCTGGACCTAATTCCCAGAGGAATAAACTGCAGAGGTCTTATTTATTTGTAATATTTATTTATTTATTTGAGACATAGTCTTGTCTTACCCAAGCTAGAGTGCAGTTGCTAGTGTCGGGTCACTGCAACCTCCACCTTCTGGCTTCAAGCAGTGCTCATGCCTCAGCCTCCCACGTAGCTGGGATTACAGGCGTGCGCCACCATGCCTAGCTAATTTTTGTATTTTTAGTAGAGACGGGATTTCACCATGTTGGCCAGGCTGGTCTCGAACCCCTGACCTCAGGTGATCCACCCACCTTGGCCTCCCAAAGTGCTGGGATTACAGCAGTGCGCTACTGTGCCTGGCCAGCTCTTTTAAAAAGTCTCAAAAATAAAAACATTTTTGAGAGCTGTCAAGAAGGTAGGTTCTGTTAGGAGAAATCCTTTACAGTTTAAACACCTTTAGAAACTGTCCCAGAAACCTCGAATACAGTCTCTGGGGAGTTTTAAAGTTGAACACACACAGTACAGAAAACAGGGATTCTCATACCTTAGGAGAAGGGAGGTAAGCTGGTCGCACCTGTTTAGATAGCAACCTAGCGTGTCCGTAATTGGTGGGTTCTTGGTCTCACTGACTTAAAGAATGAAGCCGCGGACCCTCGCGGTGAGTGTTACAGCTCTTAAGGTGGTGCGTCTGGAGTTTGTTCCTTCTGATGTTCAGATATGTTCGGAGTTTCTTCCTTCTGGTGGGTTCGTGATGTCTCTGGCTCAGGAGTGAAGCTGCAGACCTTCGCGGTGACTGTTACAGCTCTTAAGGCGGCTTGTCTGGAGTTGTTCGTTCCTCCTGGTGGGCTTGTGGTCTCGCTGGCTTCAGGAGTGAAGCTGCAGACTTTCGGGGTGAGTGTTACAGCTCATAAAAGCAGTGTGGACCCAAAGAGTGAGTAGCAGCAAGATTTATTGCAGAGTGAAAGAACAAAGCTTCCGCAGTGTGGAAAGGGACCCAAGCGGGTTGCCACTGCTGGATCGGGCAGCCTGCTTTTATTCTCTTATCTGGCCCCACCCACATCCTGCTGATGGGTAGAGCCTAGTGGTCTGTTTTGACAGGACGCCGATTGGTGCGTTTACAATCCCTGAGCTAGACCCAAAGGTTCTCCACGTCCCCACCAGATTAGTTAGATACAGAGTATCAACACAAAGGTTCTCCAAGGCCCCACCAGAGTAGCTAGATACAGAGTGTCGATTGGTGCGTTCACAAACCCTGAGCTAGACACAGGGTGCTGATTGGTGTGTTTACACACCTTGAGCTAGATACAGAGTGCCGATTGGTGTATTTACAATCCCTGAGCTAGACATAAAGGTTCTCCACGTCCCCACCAGACTCAGGAGCCCAGGTGGCTTTACCCAGTGGATCCCGCACCGGGGCTGCAGGTGGAGCTGCCTGCCAGTCCCACGCCATGCGCCCGCACTCCTCAGCCCTTGGGTGGTCGATGGGACTGGGCGCCGTGGAGTAGGGGGCGGCGCTCATCGGGGAGGCTCGGGCCGCACAGGAGCCCATGGAGGAGGTGGGAGGCTCAGGCATGGCAGGGCTGCAGGTCCCGAGCCCTGCTCCGCGGGAAGGCAGCTAAGGCCCGGTGAGAAATCGAGCGCAGCGCCGGTGGGCTGGCACTGCTGGGGGACCCAGTACACCCTCCGCAGCCGCTGGCCTGGGTGCTAAGCCTCTTATTGCCCGGGTCCGGCAGGGCCGGCCGGCTGTTCCGAGTGCGGGGCCCGCCAAGCCCACGCCCTCCCGGAACTCCAGCTAGCCCGCAAGCGCCGCGCGCAGCCCAGGTTCCCGCTCGCTCCTCTCGGTCCACACCTCCCTGCAAGCTGAGGGAGCCGGCTCCCGCCTTAGCCAGCCCAGAAAGGGGCTCCCACAGTGCAGCGGTGGGCTGAAGGGCTCCTCAAGTGCCGCCAAAGTGGGAGCCCAGGCAGAGGAGGCGCCGAGAGCGAGCAAGGGCTGTGAGGACTGCCAGCACGCTGTCACCTCTCACTAGTAGTAGGCCAGGCGCGGTGGCTCATGCCTGTAATCCCAGCACTGTGGGAGGCCGAGGTGGGCAGATCACCTGAGATCAGGAGTTTGAGACCAGCCTGGCCAATATGGTGAAGCCCTGTCTCTACTAAAAATACAAAAATTAGCCGGGCGTGGTGCCGTGCGCCTGTAATCCCAACTACTTGGGAGGCTGAGGCAGGAGAATCACTTGAACCCAGGAGGCAGAGGTGGCAGTGAGCCGAGATCGTGCCGCTGCACTCCAGCCTGAGAAATAGAGTGAGACTCCCTCTCAAAAACAAAACGAAACAAAACAAAAAACACTTAAAATGTGTAGACCCAGTGATTTCAATCTAGGGATTTGGGCTTTAGAAATGCTTCAAGAAGTGAGCAAAGCTAAGGACGAAGGTTTCATTACAGCTGTCTGTAAGAGTGAAAGATTATCAAGAACCTAAATGCCCATCGGTTATAGCAACTCCATTTTAGTGATAAATGCAGTCACTGCAAAGAATAAGTGATCTCACCACCACAAAGAAGGCGAGGAGGAATAAAAAGAATAAGTGGTATATGTCTAGTGTAGAACCTGGAGGTAGAAAGCCACAGGCTCATGTTGGCTATAACTCACAGCCGTGTGTTCTTGACCAAGTCAATGTCTCTGAGCATCAGTTTCTGAAGCATGTGGTGGGGTTAATAGTGCCTCAACTTACTCAGCATTCACTGCCCCAACAGCTGAGGAGCACCAGGTATACCAGGCTCAGTACTAGGCACAGGGGATGCACCATTAACTCAGAGAGACACAGACCTGCCCTCAGCAGGTCTACAGTCTAGCTGGGCATAGACAGTGAAAGGAGAGTCCCCAAAGTGTGCTGAGGGTCAAAAGCAGGGTGTTTTCCGAATCTACCCTGACACTGTCACCAGCTCAGGCAGAGATGGTTTATATAAAGCATTTAGAAAAGCAAAGGAATGGAGAGATTATCATGGACTGCGTTAGTTTAAATCCTTACTCTGTCACACTCTGGCTGTTCCTTAACAAGTTCCTTGACCTCTCTGGGCCACAGTTTCCTCATCTGTAAAATGGGTATAAGAACTTACCTTAAAGGGTTGTGAGAACTAAATGAATTAACACTTGTACTCAGAACAGGAACTAGTGAGGCCGGGCATGGTGGCTCATGCCTGTAATCCCAGCACTTTTGGAGGCTGAGGTGGGCGGATCATTTGAGGTCAGGAGTTTGAGACCAGCCTGGCCAACATGGAGAAACCCCATTTTTACTAAAAATACAAAAAAAAAAAAAAAAAAAATAGCCGGGCGTGGTGGTGGGTGCCTTTAGTCCCAGCTACTCAGCAGGCTGAGGCAGGAGAATCACTTGAACCCAGGAGGCAGAGGTTACAGTGAGCCAAGATTACACCAGTGCACTCCAGCCTGGGCAACACGGTGAGACTCGGTCTCAAAAAATAAATAAATAAAATAAAATAAAAAGAACAGGAACTAGCACGTGGGAGGTACTATATAAATGTCTTTCAAGTGCACAGTAAATCTCTGATGTGCCAGCAGAACCATAACTTACTTTAAAATCAGGGGGAAAAAACCCATGCATGTGACTTTTAAATTTTTATTGACTCATGGGTAGTCAAAATATACCATCAGGGTAGGCTCAGTGGCTCATGCCTGTAATCCCAGCACTTTGGGAGGTCAAGGAGGGCGGATCGCTTGAGCTCAGGAGTTTGAGACCAACCTGGGCAACATGGCAAAACCCTGTCTCTACTAAAAATAAAAAAAAAAAATTAGCCGGACATGGTGGTATGCGCCTGTGGTCCCAGTTACTCGGGAGACTGCAGGGAGCCAAGACTGCACCATTGCACTCCAGCCTGGGTGACAGAGCGAGACCCTGTCTCAAAAAAAGAAAAAAGTGCAGTTAGTGAATGTGGAAGGCCGGGTCCCCGTGCTCCAGCCTCTGCAGTCTGGTTTCAGGGTTCACTAGGGGATGAGGGAGAATAAGAACTGTTTTTTAGGAGAGCTGTAAAAAGAAAGGGCACATTGTGTCTGTGGTGTCCTTTTGGCTAAGGTTAAGTAGGTCCCCATCTTATTTGAGGTGCTATCTGCCCAAAGGTGAGCTAAGGGCTGCCTGGCACTAGTTCCTGGGCTGCTTAGTTTTGGGGACCAGGCTGGGGGCCTTCTCACTGAGCCCTGCCACTTGCCATGTCTTCTCTGTCAGGGTGTGGCTGCCCAGGGCATGTGCATCTGGGGTGTGGGAGTGCCTAGGAGGTAGGTGGGTGGGAGCCTGGGAGCCACCTCTGGTTAGCCTGTTAATTTCTAAAGTTATTGGGGGTCGGGTGCAGTGGCTCACACCTGTAATCCCAGCATTTTGGGAGGTTGAGGTGGGCGGATCACTTGAGGGCAGGAGTTCAAGACCAGCCTGGCCAACATGGTGAAACCCCATCTCTACTAAAAATACAAAAATTAGCCAGGCACAGTGGTACCTGCCTGTAATCCCAGCTACTCAGGAGGCTGAGGCAGGAGAATCGCTTGAACCCGGGAGACAGAGGTTGCAGTGACCAGAGATGGCACCACTGCACTGTAGCCTGGGCTACAGAGTGAGACTCCATCTCAAAAAAAAAAAAGAAAAAGAAAAAGTTATTGGGGCCCTGCCCTAACAAGCTGCTGTAGTTAATTTTCCACCCTCCACTCCTCTCAGCCCTTCCTGCCTTCTGCCTGCATTTCCTGATCATGCTCCATCTGCCAGGCACACCCCCCGCCGTGCTGATGGGAGTGGTATGGGGTGAATGGATGGGGACATAAGTGGACTCTCTTCTGGAGTTATTAGAAGCACTCGACCTGGAGCCAAGCAGACCGCGTTCCAGATCTGCCAATCAGCTCCTCAGCTGTATGATCTTGGGCAAATCACTTCGTTTTTCTGAGCTGGTTACTCAACTACGAAGTGAGGATAATACTTTCTGCCACACTAGTCTTTAATTGTCTTTTTTATTTTATTTATTTATTTTTTTGAGACGGAGTTTTGCTCTTGTTGCCCAGGCTAGAGTGCAACGGCGCGATCTTGGCTCACCACAACCTCTGCCTCCTGGGTTCAAGCAGTTCTCCTGCCTCAGCCTCCTGAGTAGCTGGGATTATAGGCATGCACCACTACGCCCGAGTAATTTTGTATTTTTAGTACAGACAGGGTTTCTCCATTTTGGTCGGGCTGATCTCAAACTCCCGACCTCAGGTGATCTGCCCGCCTCGGCCTCCCAAAGTGCTGCGATTACAGGCGTGAGCCACCGTGCCTGGCCATCTTTAATTGCCTTAATGAAGTCACGGGTTGGAAAATATAAGTTTTAAAATGTCAGGCACCTATGGGGGCTACGTAATATTATATTTTTGCCTAAGGATGTCTCTCTCAGAAGCCTGGGCACTATAGTTCCTAAATATCCCCCAACAACCCTGAAATGACTTAGTATCATCAATATAATAATAAAGCAACCATGAATAACATTAATAACAAGCATTTGTTCCTCATTTTTTTATTTAGGGTCTGACATTTTTACTGTATTTTCTCACCTGTAGTTACCAACAACCTACACCATAGAGAAAATAGCAAAGGCTTTGGCTCCTAACACATCTGATGCTTCATATCCCAGCTCTGCCATTGTATTAGAGATTGCTGTAATAATGAAACCGCCTTTGCAAAATTATAGTAGGAAATTATGACAGTGAAAGAAATCAGACCTAACCGACTCCATCTTGCATCTAACCTTTAAGCTGTCCTTGTTCATTCCTGGGTGTAGGCCAAACTAACTTTGGAAAGGAACTCAGTTCATGGTTTGACTCGGAAACAAAATTGATAATAGCCGTTTCCCAAAAAGACCCTCTTCTTGCCTGAGGGCCAGTCTGCCTTTGCAGGACTAACAAATTAGCTACAAGATTAGAAATTACACTTCAGGGGTCATGCAGTCCCTGGCTCCAAGAATCTGAACACCCCCAAATTGCTCCTGGGGATAACAACACTGCTGTAAAACCTAAGATCAGTGCTTGAGATATTTTGCAAATCCTGCACTCCATGGATCAGCTGACACTAACCAGACCGGTAACTGGGCTCAACCAGTTCTGCCATTCAACCCAGGAACAGAAGACAGCAAGAAAACCTTACTTCAACCCCCTATGATTCCATCTCCAACCTGACCCATCAGCACTCCCCACTTCCCAAGCCCCTGCCTGCCAAATTATTTTTATTTTTCTTATTTATTTTTTACTTTATTTTTTTGAGATGGAATCTCACTCTGTCACTCAGGCTGGAGTGCAACAGTGTGACCTCAGCTCACTGCAACCTCCGCCTCCTGGGTTCAAGCGACTCTCCTCTCTCAGCCTCCCATGTAGCTGGGACTACAGGCACGTGCCACCACACCCGGCTAATTTTTGTATTTTTAGTAGAGATGGGGTTTCACCATGTTGGCCAGGCTGGTCTCGAACTCCTGACCTCAAGGTGATCCACCCGCCTCGGCCTCCCAAAGCGCTAGGATTATAGATGTGAGCCACTGCACCCAGCAACCCAAATTATTTTTAAAAACTCTGATCCCTGAATACTTGGAGAGACCGATTTGAGTAATAATAAAACTCCGGTCTCCTGCACAGCTGGCTCTAGGTGAATTACCCTCTCTTCATTGCAATTCTTCTGTCTTGATACATTGGGTGTGTCTAGGTAGTGGGTAAGGTGAACCCATTGGGTGGTTACAATAATGCTTTACAACAAGCCACCTCCAAACTCACAGGCTTACAAATGCTCACAGATCAACTGCAGCTCTGCTGGTATGGGCTGGCCTCAGCTGGTGAGTTCCGCATCAGGCTGCCCATTGGCTACACTTGGCTCCAGGCCACAGCTGGGCTCTGCTGTTCCACTTGTTTCATTCTGGTGTCCAGGCTTAAAGGGCAGCAACTGTATGGGGGCATGCTCTTCTCATCAAGACCACTGAGGCACCCAAACCTTGGCCAAACCATACAGCACATTTAAAGCCTCTGCTTGGCTGGGCGCGCTGGCTCATGCCTGTAATCCCAGCACTTTGGGAGGCCAAGGTGGGCAGAGCACCTGAGGCCAGGAGTTTGAAACCAGCCTGGTCAACATTGGTGAAACCCCGTCTCTACTAAAAATACAAAAAATTAGCTAGTCATGGTGGTGTGTGCCTGTAATCCCAGCTACTGGGGAGGCTGAGGTAGGAGAGTCACTTGAACCCAAGAGACAGAGGCTGCAGTGAGCCAAGATCGTGCCACCGCATTCCAGCCTGGGCAACAAGAGCAAAACTCCATCTCAATACATACATACATAAATAAATAAAATAAGGCCTCTGCTCCTGACACATCCTTCCTCTAACCTTCTGTGGGCGCATCAATGGGGCAGGGAATAAACTCTACCGACAGTGGGAGGTCCTGCAAAGTTTCATGTCAAAGGCCAGGAATGTACAATCCAATTGGGGAAGACGAATAGTCTAATCTACTGCCTTTACCTTCAGTACTTGAACTCTCTGAGCCTCAGTTTTCTCATCCATGAAACATAAAAACTGCACTTCTCAGGGTTAGAAATAATTTATGTAAATTTCAGAGTGCATAGTTAGTAGTCAATGAATGGAAGCTATTATTATCAGCTCCATTTCAGAGATGAGAAAACTAAGGCCTTTAGGTAATGTAGGTTGCTAGAAAGGAACCAAACAGGTCTTTGGAGATAAGCTGATGTGATCTAGGCAATTGAGTCTGTGACTTTGGCAGTGAGGAACCAATGAGCTAAAGAAAATATGCCCTTTAGAAGCCCTTACTGTCCTCCCCAGCAGGAATCCTGTAATGATGGAGAGACCTTTCTTAACAGTCTAAACTTTGGGGACACCTACTACCACAGTCCTGGCAGTGTTGTCCATCAGACTACTGAACTCTGATAGCCACCGTCGTCTTCATTTCTGAAGCACCTGATGGCAACTCATAGAAGGCTGGGCAGCTGACAGATTTCTGGGTAAATGCCTATGTATTGACACTTCCTGTCTCCCACTCTGGATTTTCTCCATGATGTTCTGAGAGACAGAATGGGACCAGGAGCCAGGCATGGTGGTGCACGCCTGTAGTTCCAGCAACTCAGGAGGCTGAGATGGGAGGATCACTTGAGCCCAGGAGTTTGAGGCTGCAGTGAGCTATGATCTCACCACTGCACTCCAGCCTGGGCAACAACAGAGTGAGACTCTGTCTCTAAAAATAAAAATAAAAATAATGGGACCAGGGAAAGGACTCCTAGGGCTCTAGTCCTCTTACAGTGGGATCCTGACCAAACCAGACATCACCCCATGCAGGGCCTTGGTGTCCCATATGTAGAACAGGTGGGTGAGGGGTTTCCAATGTCTTCCAGCCCATACCGAGTCTGCCATTTTCTTTCTTTCTCCTCCTCTCCTCTCCTCTCCTCTTTTCTCTCTCTCTCCCCTTCCCTCCTTCCTTTCTTCTTTCCTTCCTCCCTCCCTCCCTCCCTTCTCTCTCTCTGTTTCTCTCTTTCTCCTTCCTTCCTTCCTTCCTTCCTCCCTCCCTCTCTCTCTTTCTTTCTTTCAAGACAAAGTCTCCCTCTTGTTGCCCAGGCTGGAGTGCAGTGGCGCAATCTCGGCTCACTGCAACCTCCGCCTCCCAGTTCAAGCAATTCTCCTGCTTCAGCCTCCCCCTAGTAGCTGGGATTACAGGCGGGCACCACCATGCCTGGCTAACTTGTATTTTTAGTAGAGACAGGGTTTTACTATGTTGGCCAGGTTGGTCTCAAACTCCTGACCTCAGGTGATCCACCCATCTTGGCCTCCCAACGTGCTGGGATTACAGGTGTGAGCCACCGCGCCCAGCCAGAGTCTGCCATTTTCTCCAGCAGTCTACCTGATCTTCTTCTCATTCACAGTTATTCCTTATGCCAGAGGCTGCTAGCTGTCCAGGAAAATCTGTTCTCTTCTTCCTTAGCAATAGACTACCCAGCCAGATACTACATTTCCCAGCCTCCTTTGCAGCTGGGTGAGGCCCTCCATTCTTACCATTGGAATGTGAGCGGAAGTGATATGTTGCTCTTTCAAGTCTAGGCCTTAAACTATTGGGCATATGTTCCTCCATCGTCTCTTTCCTGTCCTATCACATAAAACCCGGCTTCTCATGATCGAGTTTTGACCATGCAGATGAAGACAATGCACTGGAAGGTGGAGTAACAGTCAGCAAACAGACACCGGCCAGTCTGCACCACTGAACTTGTTAATGGGAGATAACTGAACTTCCCCTACCCCTTTTAAAGATTTTAGTGATGGGGTTTCACTTTGTTTTCCAGGCTGGATTTGAACTCCTGGGCTTAAGCGATCCTCCTGCCTCAGCCTCCCCAAGATAACTGAACTTTTACTCTCTTTTTTTTTTTTGAGATGGAGTCTTGCTCTGTTGCCCAAGCTGGAGTACAGTGGCGCCATCTCAGCTCACTGCAACCTCCGCCTCCCAGGTTCAAGCAGTTCTTCTGCCTCAGCCTCCCGAGTAGCTGGGATTACAGGTGACTCCCACCATGCCCGGCTAATTGTTGTATTTTTAGTAGAGACAGGGTTTCACCATGTTGGCTGGTCTCAACTCCTGACCTCATGATCTGCCTATCTCGGCCTCCCAAAGTGCTAGGATTACAGGTGTGAGCCACCATACCTGAACTTTTACGCTCTTAAGCTCCAGGTGTTTCTTCCCTCTTGTTAAAACAGCTCAGCGTTCACCCTAATGATTCTGCACTTCCCAGCCCCTGTATTCCATCTCCTTTATTCCCACTTCTCCAAGCTGGGGTTCCTCATTCTCTTCATGCAGATATCCTTAGAAAAGCTACTGTGTGTTGGCCATTTATTGGAGACAGCTCATTTGGGCAACAGTCTTTCCACAGATTCTAGGAAGAGTTGCCAGCTCTTCTAACAACTGAAGACCCTCCCTGTCTCCAAACCGAGATGGGAGTTTCTCTGTCTTTGCTGTGGGCAGTCATCCCCAAATCTCAGCAGACTCTTCCTGCTGATCAGTCTTTCACTTATTGTTCTGGCCAAAATTGCTTTCCATCCTGCTTCCAGAGTTCCCCTTACCTTCAAGCAATATTGCTCTCTTCTTCAGCCCCAAAGCTGGAGGCTCCCTGGGGGTGGGGACTGGGTCCTATTTAATGACTCTGGCCCAGGGTAGGTGCTTCCGGAGTGTTTGTAAATGGATTCTCCTCCTTGTCCTCCTGCTAGGGATCCCGAGCCCAGGGCAACACTAATCTGCTTCTGCTCCAGCAGACAGAAGAGGCTGACTGGAAGCATCCTCCCAGCTCTAATCCTTGGGACCCCCCAAACAGGCATCTGTGCTTTCTCCCTGGAAGTGAAATGGTCAAAACACCTGTCAGAGAGTCAAGAGAGCTGTGCTCAGATCTGACTCCACCTTGACTTTGTGTGCAACCTTGGGTGAGCTACTTAATCTCACTGAGCCTCAACTTCTTCATCTGAACAAGGAGTATGTGTAACACTCTGTGCCCTTTCTGCATCTTAGGGTGGTCTTAAGGGTCAGATGTTTGTGATGGTACTTGAAAGCACCACGATAATTGCTTTAGCATGGTTTCCTCAGAAACAGACTCTGAGATGAGATTTACATTTAGAAGGTTTATTGGGAAGTGCTCTTGGAAACATCACCTGCAAGGGAGTGAGACAAGCAGGGAAGGGCAGAGAGAGAAGTTGAACTATGATGCAGTTGTTCCAGAACCTTAGCTGATCCTGTGGAGAGTTGTGGGTCTCGGATGGCCCTTCAGAGATGTCCTAAATTGAAGTAAGGAGGGTCAGACCTTTCTATCTCTGTACCTACCAGTCGCTGGATGTAAGCTACCCTTAGGGAACTGGAGTAACCTTGAATGAGACAGCTCCCTTCAGCTGAGGCAGTGCCCCAAGAGGGACTCAGCTGTGAGCCATTAACAGCCAATCCTCCCAGCCACTGGGGGAGCAAGGGTGGCAGTCCCAGTACCTATTACAACAACAATATAAATAACCCATGCAACTGTAATAATAACTGGAATAATAACATTCTATTGCAAATGTACAGCACTTGATTAATTTATAAAGTAATCTCACAATCATTATCTTAGTTCCTCAACATAATCTGCAGAGGTAAGTAGGGGGTGAATTTTTAACTTTGTATTTGAGGCGAGGGACCTGAAGTTCAGCAGGGTTAGTGTCCTGGGCGATGCCCGTTGACTCTGACCTCCACCCTTCCCCTCCACGTGCTCCTCTGTATCCCCAGGATGGGAAGCCTGCATTGTGCATTTCTCATCCTGCTTTCCTCTGGGCTCTGCTAGTGGAAGACACTGGTGGAGATTGGGAGGTGGAGGAAACGAGGACATTTTTAATTTTTTCTCTGATTCTAGAAATGGGCTCTGACAGTGGCAGTGGGTGACTGAAGGTGACTATAGATGATCCTGGGCTCTAACAACATGAAAAGCATTTTAGCAATCAGCAGGAGTGGGGGTTTCTGTTTTTTTTTTTTTCAGCAGCAGCAGTGAAGTAACATGAGCTTCAGTAGCGACAGCAGTGCCCCCAGTCATTCAGTAGCAATGGCAGGCTCATGGGCTCCATTCCATTATTCACATACAGTTTGGACCCCTGTGGGTAAAATCAGATGAATCTGCCAACCTTGAACCTCCAAATCAACCCAGGTCCTCTTTAACAGTGGAAGCAGCCCTCCTCCTCTTCTGAGAAGATCATTCTCTTGCTGGAAGACTCGTAATGACCTCATCCAAGACAGTTTCCTGCAAGGGGGTGCCTCACCTCAAGGCCAACTCCAGCACCCTTCACTGCTTCCAGACCCTTACACACCCCAGGAGAGCAAGTTCAAAGTCTGACCCAAAGAGAGTCTATGATACCAAAGAATAAAAATGTTTTGTTGATGTATGTTGACAGAGACCTGGGGGAGTATGTGTGGCAATGGAACATAAAGATGCCAGACCAAGAAGAACAAACCATATTAGGCTGGGTTAAATTTATGGATATTCATGCATTTTCTGGAGAGTCTAGATTTAATATGTTATCTCAGCATTTGCGAGTGACTCTAATGGTTTCCTGGATTGACTGACTGAAACCTGGACTTAGTGGTGGTCTACATTCATTGAAGTTGAGATGCTAGAATTTCCCTAAGATACTATTAAGGGAGGAATTCGAAGTTTTAAGGAAATAGAAATGTTGGGATGGATTTACTATGTACGGTTTTTTAAAATATCATGGGGTGACATCTTTCTTTTTTAATTTTAATTTTAATTTGTTTTGAGACAGGGTCTCACTATGTTGCGCAGGCTGATCTGAAACTCCTGGGCTCGATTGGTCCTCGCATCTCAGCCTCCCAAGTAGCTAGGATTACAGGTGCCCCACCACAGCCAGTTGTTATGTATGACTTGACCCTGACCCTATCACCTTAAATAACCCTATCATTTAAGTCCACCAGGGGGGCCCAGAGGACACTCCTTTCACTAAGTCACTGAGCAAGCACTGGCAGAGAAAGCACTAGTACCATTCAAAAGCCCTGGAGTACTTTCCTCTATAGCCTAGGTGTGACAGTGGGAAGTGCCACCACTGAAATGGGCTTCCTGGTTTTGATGAGGAGTGGCAGAGTCTAAGTGGCAGCACTTACTGCCAGAGATGAGTTGGGTGCAAACTCCATCATAGCAGCAGAGCCATAGCAACCACTGGAATATTTTGACCCACAGGGACTTTTACTGGAGGTGAATTCATCATATTGTCCCTAGAAATCAAACATTTGAGCAGTTTAAGTCTTACTTGCTCTGTATAGTCAGAAAAACTTTGGGTCCAGTGAGCAGAGACCTAACTTTAAGTGGAGACATGGTTTGGCTGTGTCCCCACCATAATCTCATTTTGAATTCCCACGTGTTGTGGGAGGGACCCAGTGGGAGCTAATTGAATCATGGAGGCAGTTCCTTCCCATGCTGTTCTTGTGATAGTAAGTCTTACAAGATTTGATGGCTTTGAAAAGCTGGAGTCTCCCTGCACAAGCTCTCTCTTTGCCTGCTGCCATCCATGTAAGACATGACTTGCTCCTCCTTGCCTTCCACCATGATTATGAGGTTTCTCCAGCCACGTGGAACTGTTAGTCCAATTAAATCTCTTTCCTTTGTAAATTGCCCAGTCTTGGCTATGTCTTTATCAGCAGTATGAAAACAGACTAATAAAGTGGTGAAACAGGCTCACCATGCACTGGCTACCAACTTGTCTGAGTCCGGTGGGACAGAACACTCATATTCACAAGTTACATGAAGCAGATTTATTACTTACAGATAGGAGCAAAGGACAACAGAAGCCTGGTCCCCCAAGCCTCAGGAATGCTGCCCAAGGTGGATAATGCCTTGACTGTGTATGCCTCACTTGCACTGCAGCAGTGGGACCCTGGAAGTAGCTTGGCTTGGGTTTTATGACCCAGGGCAATGTGATCACTGGGCTAAAGCACTGAAGGACATCCTGTTCGGGGCGGGCTTTGGGGGGATTGGAACAGAGCCCAGGAAGTTCTGGCTAGTCCCTTCCTATGTCAAGATATTACATTCCAGCACATTCTACTGTTGTTTTAGAGAATTGTAAACAAGAAAGTGGGGAGAACTGGATCAGTCCAAGGACACCCAGAGAACTGTCCTGCAGAAGTAATCTCTTACCCAGTTCAGTGCCCTGGGGCCCATGAAATGTAGGGAAGGCTAGATCTCCTTGAGAAAAGTTCCTGTGACTGTCACAAGTATAAACTATTTTCCTTTAAGCTCTTCAGAGGAGCCTAACACTTACCTGAGTGTATCCCAGAGAAAAGGAAGAAATTTCAAGAAAGAGGGAAATACCCAGAGCTTTCAAGGTATATTCTACACTGGCTCTGATTTGAAGCTATTCCCTGGGGACCCAAAATGCTACTATAATCACAAGCAGGGCTTATTTCCAAACTCATTCTATGAGGTCAGTATTACCCTGATACCAAAACCAGACAAAGACACATTAAAAAAAAAAAAGAAAGAAAACTACAGGTCAATATCCCTGATGAACATTGATGTAAAAATCCTCAACAAAATACTAGCAAAAAGAATCCAACAACACATTAAAAAGATCATTAATCATGACCAAGTGGGATTTATCCCAGGGATGCAAGGATGGTTCAGCATATGCAAATCAATCAGTGTGATACATTATATCAATAGAATGAAGGAGAAAAACCACATGATAATTTCAATTCATGCTGAAAAAGCATTTGAAAAATTCAACAACCCTTCATGATAAAAAAAACTCAAAAAACAGGATAGAAGGAACATATCTCAAGACAATAAAAGCCATGTATGGCAGACGCACAGCCAGTATCATACTGAATGGGGAAAAACTGAAAGCCTTTCTTTTAAGATCTAGAAGAAGACAAGGGTGCCCACTTTCACCACTGTTATACAACATAGTACTGGAAGTCCTAGCTAGAGCAGTTAGACAAAAGAGAGACGTAATGAGCATCCAAATTGGAAAGGAAGAAGTCAAATTATCCTTGTTTGCAGATAATATGACCTTATATTTGGAAAAAACAAAAGACTTCACCAAAAATCTCTTAGAACTGATAAATTTAGAACTGATAAGTTGCAGGATGCAAAATCAATGTACAAAAATCAGTGGCATTTCTGTATGCCAACAGCAAACAATCTGCAAAAGAAATCAAGAAAATAATCTCATTTACAATAGCTACAAGTAAAATAAAAACCTAAAAATTAATTTAACCAAAGAAGTGAAAGATCTCTATAATGAAAACTACAAAACATTGATGTAAGAAGTTGAAGAGGACATACCAAAAAAAGGGAAAGATACTCCATGTTCATGGATTGGAAGAATTAATACTGTTTAAATGTCCATACTACCCAAAGCAATCTACAGATTCAGTGCAATCCCTATCAAAATACCAATTACATTCTTCACAGAAATATAAAAAATAATCCTAAAATTTATATAGAACCATGAAAGATCCAGAATAGCCAAAGCTAAAGAATAAAACTGGAGAAATCACATTACCTGGCTTCAAATTATACTGTAACCAAAACAGCATAGTACTGGCATAAAAACAGACAGATAGACCAATGGGAAAGAATAGAGAACCCAGAATTAAATCAGTATGTCTACACTGAACTAATTTTCAACAAGGGTGTCAACACTAAAAGGCTGCGCATGGTGGCTCACGCCTGTAATCCCAAAATTTGGGGGAGCCAAGGCAGGAGGATTGCTTGAGTGTAGGAGTTTGAAACCAGCTGGGGCAACATAGTGAGACTTTGTCTCTACAAACAAAATTTTAAAACAAAAATACTAAAGAGGCCAGGCACAGTGGCTCATGCCTGTAATCCTAGCACTTTGGGAGGATGAGGTGGGGAGATCACTTGAGGTCAGAAGTTCGAGACCAGCCTGGCCAAAGTGGTGAAACCCGTCTCTACTGAAAATACAAAAAATTAGCCAGGTGTGGTGGCACGTGCCTGTAGTCCCAGCTACTTGGGAGGCTGAGGCAGGAGAATCACTTGAACCTGGGAGGCAGAGTGAGCCGAGATCGTGTCACGCACTCCAGCCTGGGTAACAAAGCGAGACTCCATCTCAAACAAAAAACTGAAGAGTATAATTGGATTGTTTGTAACACAAAGAAAGGATAAATTCTTGAGGTGATAGATACCCCATTTACCCTGTTATGATTATTATGCATTGTATTCCTGTATCAAAGTGTCTCATGTACCCCATATATACCACAGAAATGTAAAAGTAAATAAATTAACAAATAATTTTTAATGAGGCTTATTGGGATTAGGTGATAAATGGAGTTTTGGTTTGAAAACATCTCATAGCGAGTGGACCAGTGGCTCTGTGGACCCATCTGTGATTTTTAACCCAGGTCCTGAATATGTTATTGGAACAAACAAATTTAACAGCTAGTGGAGCCTACACAGGACTCCTTGACCCATGGAATGAGGACTACTTAGGTAAAAGGACGAAGAGAAAGCTCCTGGAACTTCACACCACCACCACCTCACACACTAGACTAGTAAACTAAAAGCAATACTGTAAAAGGGATGGGTTCAGAAGAAGGATAAGGTTTTACTGTGAACCCCCTCAGGTGGTAATTCAAACCGCAGTTTTTTCAGATGTGGTTTCTTTATTAATGCAAATCAACACAGTATTTAGCACTTTGTATCCAGCTCTTGGTCTAGAAAATGTTTATTCTGTATATCAAATTGATAAGAATCACCAAAAGTCATTTTTTTTTTTTTTTGAGATGGAGTTTTGCCCTGTCACTGAGGCTGGAGTGCAGTGGCGCAATCTCGGCTCACTGCAACCTCCAACTCCCAAGTTCAAGCAATTCTCCTGTCTCAGCCTCTCGAGCAGCTGGGATTAGAGGCACACGCCACCACACCCAGATAATTTTTGTATTTTTAGTAGAGATGGGGTTTTACCATATTTGTCAGGCTGGTCGTGAACTCCTGACCTCAGGTGATCCACCCGCCTCGGCTTCCCAAAGTGCTGGGATTACAGGTGTGAGCCACCATGCCCAGCCTCATTTGCCTTAATTGGCAGGGCAGTAGCATATCACTTTCTTCCATGGGACTATGTCAGCTTTTCTTTTTCTGTCATAATCTAGTGTGTAGAGACCTTGATTATCTTGATTATCTGTAACAAAACATTGATCCTCTACATTGATGACATCATGCTGTAACTAATGAGCAGGACGCATCAAGTACACCAGATGATTCACTAAGACCCAGGCATGCCAGAGGGTGGTATGTAAACCCCATGAACATTCAGAGTTCTGGAAACCTGGTAAAGTTTTTAGCAACCCAGGGATCTAGGAAATGTCAGGATATCCCCTCCAAGTGAAAGATAAGTTGCTGCACCTCCTACTAAGAAAAAGGCACAATTGGTGGCCCTCTTTGGATTTGGGAGGCAACATACACCCATTTGTTCTTATTTTTGTCTTTGTTTTTGATGGGGGTCTCACTAAATTGCCCAGTCTGGTCTCAAACTCCTGAGCTCAAGTGATCCTCCTGCCTCAGCCTCTCAAGTAGCTGGGATTACAGGCATGTGCCACTGTACCTGGCAATACATCCATTTGTGTACACTGCTCCAAACCATTTACTGAGTAACCCATAAGACTGCCAGTTTAGAATGGATCCCAAAGCAAATTCAGGCTACAGTATAAGATGCTCTGCGAGTTCAGCCTTATGACCCAGCAGATCCAGTGGTATTTAAATCACATATGACATAGGCATCCAGTATGGAGCTTCCAGCAAGCCCTAATAGGAAAATCTCAGTGCACATCCCTAGGGTTTGGGACAAAGTCATGTCCTCTTCTGCAAACAATAATGGTCCTTTTGAGAAATAACATCTGGCTTTCTACTGGGCCCTGGTAAAGACTACACGCCTGACCAGGAGACACCAGGTGACTATGCAACCTGATCTCCCCATCATGAACTTGGTATCATCTGATCCATCAAGCCATAAAGCTAGGCATATATGGCAGCATCATTCTATCATCAAGTGAAAGTGATACAGCTCAGACGATGGCATCTATTTCACCACATTGCTGCCTCTTCCTCAGTCAACACCAGAGGCCTCTTGGCAAATGCCCTATAATCAGTTGATGGAGGAAGAAAGACTCAGGCCTGGCACCACCTGGAAGTGGATGGTTGCAGCACTACAGGAATTCCCCGAAAGACATTGCAGAAGGCAAATCCTCGCAGTGAACAGAATTTCAAGCAGTATGTCTGCTTGTCTGCCCTATCAAGATAGAGACAGAAGTCCAGGAATATAAATCTGTACATATTCATGGGACGGATGGTTTGGCCGGATGCTTATGAACATGGAAAGAAGACTGGAAGATTGGTAACCAGGAGCTCTGTGGGAGAAGGAATGTGGATGGACCCCTAACAGTGGACACAGAATGGGAGGATATTTGTGTCCTATGCACATGTTCCCTCAAACAGTACCCACTGCAGAGGAAACCATTGTTCAAGAAACCAATGGACAAGATGCCTTGTTCTGTAGCTGTCTGTCATTCTCTTTCCCCAGCCACTCCAGTGCTTGCTCAATAGGCTGATGTACAAAAGGGCCATGGTAATTGAGCTAGAGGTTATAGATGGATACAACAACACGGACTTCCTCTGATTAAGACTGATTTAGTGAATGCCACTGCAGAGTGCCCCGTGTGCACAGTTCCTAATATGACACCATTCGCCATAGGAACCAGCTCTCTGAGGGCAGATAGATCATATTGAACCCCTTCCATCACAGAGGAAGCAGCAGTTTGTACTCACTTATTCTCTCTATGGGTTTGCCTTCTCCGACCACTATATCCATGGACTTATGAATGCCTTGGTTCCAGTGTTGGTATTGCACATAACATTGCTTCTGACCAAAGAGTTGATATTATCGCAAAAGAAATTCAGCAATGTGGTTATACCCATGGGATATTGTGGCCTTACCATGTACTCTCTTATCTAGAAGAAAGTACTCTCTTATCTAGAAGCAGCTGGTCTTATCGAACACTGAAATGGTCTCTTGAAGACTGGTACAGTGGCAGCCAGGAGACACTGCAATGTGGAGTGCTGTCCTACAGGATACAGTATGTACTTTGAACCAACCACAGTGCTGTTTCTCCCACTGCCAGAGAACACGGGTCTAACAATGCCAAGGTGGAAGTGGAAGTGACTCTCACTATTATACAAATAACCCATTCATAAAACTGTTGCTTCCCATCCCTGACACTGTGGATTTTGATAGCTTAGAAATTATAGCTCCTAAGGGAGGAGTACATCTATTGAGGAATAATTCAATGGTTCAATTAAGTTAGAAGTTGAGACTGCCACTTGGCCATTTTGAGCTCCTCATACCCTTGAAACTACAGGCAAAGTAGTGTGTTTCTCTACAGGCTGGGGTAATTGAGCTGATTACCAGGGCTAAACTGGGTTGCTCCTGCACAATGATAGCATGGAAGAATAGGGGATTGTCTGCAGTGCCCCATAATACTTCCACATCCAATAGTAATGGAAGACCATAGCAATCTAAGGACCACCAGAGTCTGAGTCATGTCACCAGGTTAAATACGCTAACTAACTGAGGTGCTGGCTGAGGGCAAAGAGAACCTAGAATAGCTAGTGAAAAAAGAGAAACTGTAAATATCAACAGTGGCCTTGGAATCAATTACAGAAATGAGACCTATAGCAGTTCTGAGTATTTTCTTTGCTTGGGGTGTGTGTGTGTGTGTGTGTGTGTGTGTGTGTGTAATTGAATATAAGGAATGCTAGTGATGGTCAAATTTATGTTTTCATCTGAATATTATAGTAGATTGAGGTGTGGGTGTGATCTCTAGAGCTAGAGGAGGAATGAGAAGAGAATCCACCGTTATCCAGAGTGATGTTACTGACCGATGGGGCTTTGTGAGTCTCATTTTTGGAGAGAGGTTTAGCACGTCCTCATTGCAGGAGGCAGTAAATCCTGTGGGGATTGAGTATTATATTGTTGTTCTTGAGTGGAAGTTGAATGAAGAATGGGGAGAGTCTGTGTGGATGTTTGATTTTTTTTTTTTTTTTTTTTGAGATGGAGTCTCGCTCTGTTGCTAGGCTGGAATGCAGTGGTGCCATCTTGGCTTACTGCAACCTCTGCCTCCTGGGTTCAAGCGATTCTTGTGCCTCAGCCTCCTGAGTAGCTGGGATTACAGGCATGCGCCACCACACCCAGCTAATTTTTGTATTCTTTGTAGAGACGAGGTTTCACCACGTTGGCCAGGCTGGTCTTGAACTCCTGACCTCGTGATCCACCCGCCTTGGGCTCCCAAAGTGCTGGGATCACAGGCGTGAGCCCACACCCAGCCTGTGTGAATGGTTGATTAGCCAAGGGGATGGATGGTGCCAGACAGTGTTCATGGTCTCTAAGTTCCACCTTTGCCCTGTCTTGGCCCTGGATGACTAAGCTTTCTTTTTACCTTGATGAAAAAAGATGTGCAAATTCTTAATACTTTTTTTTATTGCAAAATAAGTAAAACCATGCCTTATATTCTACACATTATACTCCTGATTTAATGTTCTTTGGGCATTTTAAATACATTTTTCCCTCTGGGAAATTGGGGTGGGGGGCATGTGCCCTGGGTGCCCCCTGAGGTCCATATATAGGTTTATTTTATTTTATTTTCTAGAGATGGGGTCTCGCTATATTGCCCAGGCTTGTCTTGAACTCCTGGCCTGGAGCAATTCTCCCGCCTTGGCCTCCCAAAGCACTGGGATTATAAATATGAGTCACTACACCTGGCCCTTGCACAGGTTAATGAGAACAAAGGGTTGTACACATGCCCTGTAACCTGTAAAGGGCTGAGCCTAAATGAGCTGGGTTGATGTTAAGGTCAGAGCCCTGGAAAGTCAGTCTGGAAGCCAGCCCCAGACCCAGCAACTTGAGACAGGCAGTCAACTCTTGCTTGCTCTTGTGAAGAACTGAGACTGAAACCTCACATCTCTACCCTTCTGGCTCCAGCACTTGGCAATGAGAACTAGATGGACAGCACAGGTTTAGAAATGAAAAGCAACTGTTCCTCCTGGATGCTTTATTGGGGCTTTTGGTGGTTTCTATGCATGAGCGGCAGTGACACCAAGACCCTTTCCCAACATGCAAAAGGCACAGGAAAGTGAGACCCGACTGGGGTGGGTGGCATGGATGCAGAGACTTCCCCGCTCTCCCCGGCTCCATGGCACCGTGTAGTACAGGGACAGCCCCGGGAGTGACAGGAAGGGGGGGATATTGAAGGAGATGGCTTGGACAGAGGCTAGGAGGGGGACCTAGGTTTGTCCACCTCCAGATCCGCCCCTGCACTTGGGCTGGACTGACCTTCTGAGAGAGGGTCAACATGGCTTTTACTGAAAGTCCCACCTCACAGGGTAGAAAAACTCAAGGTAGGAAGAGGATGATGGCTGCTGCCTTCAGAGATTTCTACTAAGGCCAAACCCAACACATGGACCAAATCAGAAGGACAATGAGAGGGTGTGCTCATGGTATCCGTCCCCACTGCAGCCTGGTTTTTGGGTGCCACTGCCTTGGCTCAAGCTAGTCCATGTCCAGGAGAAGCGTGAAGCCCCTTCTGATCTTCAGGGACCTCCCATGGGGTCTCCGGTTATCCAGCCCCATTCAGAGGTACCGGTTAGAGGAGTTGAGTCTTGATGTCGGCTTTGTCCTGTGGAAGAGTTCCCTGGGCAAGAGGGAAGGGGAGGTGAGGGGTCAGGCCCTCTGAGTCCCCAGCACCTCCCAGAATCTGGGCCCTGGTGGACGAAACATCCTGGGACTCACCTCAGATCCTAACCAGTCTCCACAGTTCCATCTTGAGACCTTGAATCGATAGAAAAGGCATTCGTGTTTTCTGTTTTTTGTTTTTTCTCTCTCTCTCTCGCTTCCTCTCTCTCTTTTAGTAGAGCCGTGGCCTTGAGTCACAGCATTGGCAACGTCTACTTCTAAACTACGGAATGTTTTCACACTGACGGTATTATTACTCAGAACGAAGGGCGGGGAGGGCTGTCCAAGTGTTCATGAGACAGTGAGTTACTGAGAGCTCACGGGGAATCACACAGCACAGAGACACCGACAGTCAGACACCAAGCCCCAGGCCTGGCCCTAGATGTATTTTTTCTTGAGGTACCAGTAGGCAAAGTAGCCCATCCCACCCAGGGAGCCCATGAGGAAGGACGCCCCGAAGAAGGATGGGGGTTTCCTCTTGACCAGCCGGAAAGCATTGGGGATGACGGCCGACAGCAGGGTGGTGTGGATGTCACCCAGGACTTTCCGGAAGGCAAAGCGTCTCTGGACCCTCTCAAAGAAGGACTGCAGGTTGGGCCGGCTGCCATCTTCCCAGTATTTCTTGGACAGTCCCAGGAACTTGAGGCGGTGCAGGGTGGCTCCCAGGAGGACATCAGCGAGGGTGAAGGCACAGCCACAGAGCCACAGCTCGCATTTCTGCCCTAGAGTGGAAGAAAGAGGAGGCAAGGGGATCAGCCTCCCCTAACACACACACTTGCTTCTCTCCATGAGCTCCACTGGCTTCTGCATGCCTGCCCCAGTATTTTCTGAGGGTTACTCATTCCTGTACAACTTCAGTGATTTTTGCCATATCCTCATGCTACTTCTATTATTATTTTTTTGTTTAAATCGACTGTTTTTCTTTTTTTTTATTCTTTTGTTTTCTTATCCTCATTTTACAGCTGATACATCAGCTGACTTTTAAAGTGCAAATACGTGGCCAGGCATGGTGGTTCACACCTGTAATCCCAGCACTTTGGGAGGCCAAGGTGAGCAGATCATTTGAGGTCAGGAGTTCAAGACCAGCCTGGCCACTATGGTGAAACCCCATCTCTACTAAAAATATAAAAATTAGCTGGGTGTGGTGGTGCACACCTGTAATCCCAGCTACTGAGGAGGCTAAGGCAGGAGAATTGCCTCAACCTGGGAGATGGAGGCTGCAGTGAGCCAAGACAGTGCCACTGCACTCTAGCCTAGGTGACAGAGTGAGACTCTGTCTCAAATAAATAAATAAATAAAGTGCAAATATGTGTCATGAAACTCCAGACACATATACAACTACTCCTTTGACAGTTCCACTTGGTGTCTGCTCTGCATTTCAAACTCAAAATGGAATTCCCCCCAGAGCCACCATGCTCATCCCCATCTCAGTAATGGAACCTCCACCCTTGCAGTTGCTCCGCCCAAAAGCCTCGGAACCACCATTAATTCTCTTTCTTTCTTTTTCTTTTTTTTTTTTTTTTTTGAGATGGAGTCTCACTCTGTTGCCCAGGCTGGAGTGCAGTGGCACAATCTAAGCTCACTGCAACTTCTACCTCCCAGGTTCAAGCAATTCTCCCGCTTCAGCCTCCCTAATAGCTGGGATTACAGGTGTGCACCACCATGCTTGGCTAATTTTTGTATTTTTAGTAGAAACAGGGTTTCACAATGTTGGCCAGGCTGGTCTTGAACTCCTGACCTCAGGTGATCCGCCCACCTCGGTCTCCCAAAGTGCTGGGATTACAGGCATAAGCCACTGCGCCCGGCCCCACCATGAATTCTTTTTCACCCCCACATACAATTTGTCAGCAATTTCCATCAGCATTGTCTTCAGATAACTTTGGATATCTTCCAGAATCTGATACTGCCTCTACTTGTACCGTCCTTGTCCAAACAACCATTATCTTCTAAGTTATCACAATGTCCTTTTAAAAGGTTTCCCTGTTTCTGCCCTTGTCCCCTAGAGTCTATTCTTAGCACAGCAGCCAAAGTGGTCATGTTAAAGTTTAAATGTCGGAGAATGTCACTTCTCCCTTCTCAGAATCCTCTAATGATGATGCACTGTTGTGGCCAGAGTAAAAGCGGAAACCCTCCCAAGCCCTGTAAGGCCCTGTGTGATCCAGCCCCCAGGTACCTTTCAGACCTCAGAGTCTGCTTCTCTCCCGCTTCCTCACTCTTCTCCAGCCACATTGGACTCCTGCAACTCCTCACATCAGGGACATTCCTACCACAGGGCCTTTGCCCTCGCTGTTCCCCCTGCCTCAATCTTCTCCTGCACAGCCTCAGAGCTCATTCCTCTGCCTCCTTCACATCTTTGCTCACATGCCATTTTCTCCTGGGCTTCCCAGACTGCCAATTTAAAACGGAAGTTTTGGCTGGGCGCCGTGGCTCACGCCTGTAATCCCAGCACTTTGGGAGGCCGGGGTGGCTCTACTAAAAATACAAAAATTAGCCAGGCATGGTGGCGGTTACCTGTAATCCCAGCTTCTCAGGAGGCTGAGGCACGAGAATTGCTTGAACCCGGGAGGCGGAAGTTGCAGTGAGCCAAGATTGTGCCACTGCACTCCACCCTGGGCAACAAGAGCGAAACCCCATCTCGAAATAAATAAATAAATAAATAAAAATTAAAAAAATAAAATGGAAGTTTTAAATGGAAATTATAAATTGGTGGTCTGTGAAGCCCAGGAGAAGCTGGCATGTGAGCAAAGATGCAAAGGAGGTGGAGGAAGACCTTACCCAGCAGTCACTCTCCCCTCTCCTGCTTTGTTTTCCTCCATAGAACACAGCGCCACATTGCACCATCTACTTGACATTCTCATTTTGTTTATTGTCTGCTGTCCTCTACTAGAGTGGAAACGCCACGAGGGCAGGGATTTTGGTCTGTCTTGTCTGTGGCTACATCCTCTGCATCTAGAACTGTGCCTGGCATACAATAGGTGCTCAATAAATCTTTACTGAATGATTGATGAATGAAAAAATAAACTGTATCATTAACAGTAGTATTAAATGATTCACTATAAACTATCTGCAATGGTAAAAGTAAACATAAC
Source organism: Homo sapiens (assembly GCF_000001405.40). NCBI lineage: Eukaryota > Metazoa > Chordata > Mammalia > Primates > Hominidae > Homo > Homo sapiens. Next base: position 44,276,589 of record NC_000020.11, on the reverse strand, counting down.
AAAAACAAAACAAATGCAATTAAATTCCAGCTGGATAATACTGCCCGTCAAAGTATCTGCTCCCAAGACTGGCTTCTTTCTTTCTTCCCTCCCTCCCTGCTTGCTTGCTTTCTGCCTTTCTTTTTCTTTCTTTCTTTCTTTCTTTCTTTCTTTCTTTCTTTCTTTCTTTCTTTCTTTTTCTTTTTTCTTTCCCTTTCTTTTCTTTTCCTTCCTTCCTTCCTTCCTTCCTTCCTTTCCTTCTTTCTTTCTTTCTTTTTGACAAAGTCTCGCTCTGTCACCCAGGCTGCAGTGCAGTGGTGCAATCTTGGCTCACTGCAACCTCCACCTCCAGGGTTCAAACAATTCTTCTGCCTCAGCATTCCAAGTAGCTGGGACTACAGGTATGCACCATCATGCCTGGCTATTATTTTTTTTTTTTTTTGGTATTTTTACTAGAGATGGGGTTTTGCCACGTTGGCCAGGCTGGTCTTGAAATCCTGACCTTAGATGATCCGCCTGCCTCGGCATCCCAAAGTGCTGGGATTACAGGTGTGAGCCACCACACCTGGCCTCATTTTGATTTTAAGAAAGGGGCAGATGTTAAACACATATTATAAAGGGGTTAAGCACTAACATCTTACTAATACTCTTTCTTTGATGTAATCAAAAGAGGATAACTCACACAACGTGGTTTTACATTATTTATCACCATGTTTTTGTGTCATCTAAATTTAGCTTGACTATTGCATTTGGGATTAAGAAAGAAAAAATTAGCCTGCATTTTTAGAAAACACTTGTTTGTGCAATATTTTCTCCTAGTTGTTTTGACCTGAAATTCTGGAGCATCTTTGGTCTCTTACATCTCCTCTTTGCTCAAAAATCTTTAATTCTCCCCCACTGACTACACCTTAATGTCCAAGTTCCTGTGCCTAGACGTTAAGCCCTTTCAAGAGTGAGTTTAGCTTTAATATGTCTATAATCTTGACTCCTCATGAATTGCCCATTGGTCCACTGTCTTCCCCAACAAGCTGCCACTTCAGCCTCCGGGCCTTTGTCTCTGCTGTACCCCATGCCCGGAATGCTCTCCCCTCTCCCTTCCCTTCCTGTGATGGCTGCTTTCCTGGGAGGCTTGCCCCCGCACCTTTGAACAGGTTGTTCCTTTCAGTTCAGGAATTCCATGAGTCCAGTGCTCCCTACCGTCAAAACCTGAGCCCCCTCCTTCTGCTCTACATCTTCTTGGTCACGGATTCATTCATTTAGCAAGTGGTTACCTGGCAGTATGTGCTGGGCATGAAGACACGACACAATACAATGTCTCCCCTCAAGAGGCTCATAGTCACAGGGAAAGGGGTAAAGTGTAATGAAGGCTCTCATCAGAAGGTTATCCTTGAATAGGTAATCTTCAAGGCACCTGATGAGGCTGGGTGCAGTGGCTCACATCTCTCTCCCTTACTTTAGGAGGCTAAGGCAGGAGGATTGCTTGAGCACAGGAGTTTGAGACCAGCCTGGGCAACATGGCGAGACCCTCCTCTCTACAGAAAAATTTAAAAATAGCTGAATCGGTAGCATGTGCGCCTGTGGTCCCAGCTACTAGGGAGGCTGAGGCAGGAGGATGGCTCGAGCCCGGAAGGTCGAGGTTGCAGTGAGCCTTTTTCACACCACCGCACTCCAGCCTGGGTGACAGAGAGACCCTGTCTCAAAAACTAACAAACAAACAAACAAACAAAGAAGACACCTGATGGGCCCCCGAGGGGAGATAATGAGTTGGGAGTTAGTGATGCAGGTTCCAGGCTCAGAGAAGCACCATCAATGTGGAGGTGGTATTTAAAGCCAGGAGAGTGGACAGTATCAGTGTAGCCAGACTTGGAAATAGGGCAAGGGACTGAACCCGGGGTCCCTCTGCAAACTTTAAATATTGACACCAAGAGAAACCAGCAAAGATGATAAGAAGGAGCCGCCTTTCAGGTAGGAGAAGAACCAGGAGAGTGTGGTGTCCAGCAAGTCAACTTAGGACAGGGTTCCGAAGAGGAGACAGTGCTCAGCTGTGTTCACATGCTGTGTTGAGGTCAAATAGGAGGCCTGAGAACTGGTGACTGCGTTTACCGACTGGCGACCCTGGCAAGAGCAGCTGGAGTAGAATGCTGACTTAAAAGCTGGTTTGGAGGGAGTTCAAAGAGAAAGGGAGGAGAGGAATTGGAGATGGTGAACAAAGATCATTCTGCCACAGAATTTTGCTAGAATGGGGAGGATGGGCCAGTAGTGAGAGACAAGTCAAGAGCATTTTCATAAGTTGGGAGGAATAAAATAGCATGTGTTTGTGGATGATGCCACAGAGAAGGGAAAGATTCTATGGGGAAGAGTGGATAGAATTACGGATGTGGTGTTCTTACAGGGATGAGAGTGGATGGGATCTGGTGCACTAGGGAAGGGATTGGTTTTAAAGGACAATCCCTTCCATCCTTGGACAAGGACAAGAACAGTCCATCCCTTGGTAACAAGAGGGCATATATACTACCGTATTTCATCAAATCTAAGTTACTATTAAATATAAGACACTTATCCAAAAGTAAGAAAGGAGAATTAAACTATTGACTGGAATAAACATTCCAGTTTCAGAGATGCTAAGATGTGGTCTAACAAAGATGCATCTTAGAATTGATGATATACAGTGGGTGGGTCGTTGTGGGGATCAGAGCTGTGAAGATCTCTTTCTAATGCTTTGATTTTCTCAGTGATATATTGCCATTACTTTTAATGGCCAAAACCACAATTATTTTTGCACTAACCTAAAGTGATCAGTTCTGAGTGAGGATGTGGGGGAGGTGGCTGGAGGGCGGAGGAGGAAGAAGGCATAAAGGAGTCATCTAGAGAGTGAAGGGGGGAGGCTTGGGGCAGCATTGAGGTCACCTAAGGCTTGCAGTCATGAATACAAAGTGAGTCCTGCCAGCATCCTGTGTGTTTCTCCAGCCACATATAGCTTCACAGGTGAAGGCGCTGAGTAGGTGGAGAGCTGGGTTCAACAAGGTTTGAGGTTTTGCAAAGCAAGTATGGAGGGCCAGGGAGTTGAATGTGCAGGCACGAAAGTTCTCCTAATGATGAACCAGGGAATCACCACTAGGTACGGAGGGAGGTGCGATTGTGATGGGAGTGACGGACAGTGAAAGGATCAAGTGACGTAAGTCCCCAGCTGCAGACTGCATGATACCAGCAAGGGAGTGTGGGTAGACAGATCAGAGAACAGGCCCAGGGACTAGGTTTAGATACTGGGCAACATGGAGAAACCAGCAAGGGACATGAGAAGAAGCAGCCCAAGAGATAGGAGGCGAACCAGGACAGTGTGGTATAATTCCCTGGATCTTCCAACAACTCTATAAAGGTGATGTTATTATCCCCACTTTACAGATGAGGCAATCGAGGCACAGAGAGGTTAAGTAACTTAGTGAAACCTCAGCTAATATGTGTCAGAGCAGAGCCTAGATTTGAACTTAGGCCATCTGGTTCCAGATTCTGTGGTTGTAACCACTCTATTAAGCTACTTATTTCCACATGCAAATGAGCATAGACACAGCAGGTATCTCCACGTCAACTCAGGCCGCTTTCAGTACATGAGTTCTTTACTCAGGTCTGTGTGCAGATCTCTTCATGCGTCTGTATCCCGCATAGACTGCATGTTTGCCCTGTGTCTGCCTGCACAAATCCATGCAGCCGATTGTTTATATGCATGTGGATATTCACTCTCCTGGGCATCTGTGTCCACGTGGTGTGGGATTACCACACATGTGAGTGCAGTTTAAGCCCAGGCGAATCTGGATGTTTGCCTCAGACATGTTCACTATTATGTTCATGCCTATGTTTATGTTTGTAGGCAAATGCTGATGGCCTTCTATGCATGTCCGTGTTTGTGTGTGCGCCTGGGCAGCAATCTGGTATCTGATCCCTTCCCTGTTCTCCTCTCTTCTCCTCTACTTGTGTGTTCCCTTTGCAAACCCCAGGCCTGGATGAGCCCCTTCTGCACTTCTCTGGGTCTGCCAGCTGGAGGCGATCTCACAATGAGGCCAACTGGTTACACTTTAATGTCAGGACCGCAAAGCCCAGGAGGGCACTCCGTGCTGCCCAGGGTCCTATTATATTTCTTGAGTGCTTCCTGCTCCCTGTGGAGACAATTGCATCTTTTCATCCTCTCTTCTCACCCTTCTCACATCCTTTCCCCAGCTCCCTCTCAGCCAATGACATCACCTCATGGTTCGTTCAGAAGATAGCAGCTTTCAGAGATGAAAGCCCACACTCCCCACCTCAATGCTGCAAAACCGCTCCATACTGCTGATGCGGACCAATGCAGGGCGTGTCCTAACCCCACGGCCAAGCCCTCCATGTGCCCTCTGCACCTGCTCCATGCCACGTCTCCACATCTCTTCAGGTTGCCTTTCTAGGTGCTCCTCCCCCTTCTCCATGTTGTTCTGCACCCCAGGAAACTCACTTGCTGGCTCCACCCCCCGGGGCTCATGCCCTCTGGCTTCGGAAAGTTAGGCAAGTAGGAAGCAGGGGCGGGAGAGGAGGGAGAGCAACAGTGATGTTGGACTGACTTCCCTCAGCTCCTCTCTGCGAGTCATCACGGCTGGCAGTGACCACCTCTGTCCAGGTTCCTGAATCTGCTCTCATGACCCTGTGATCTCAAGACTTCAGGCCTGGGGTACTCCTCTCTGCCTTGGGATGTCCCTGCATCCTGCCTGTGGCTTGGTAAAGAGTCCCTTTATTGAACCGTCTTCCATTTCCCCTGTTTGAAGATGTCCTCTGTTTTCTACGGGGCCCCTGCCTGAACCACGCCCCTCCTGTCTTCGTGGCCTCTGCATCGCTGTCCTGAACCCCCGATTCCCCCTTTCTACTGCACTGTTTCCACCAGCATGAGAACACATTTGTACATCTCCTGTCCAAAAACAATTCCTCCTGTCACCCCACATCCTTCTTCAGCCACCACCACCTTCTTTGTTCACCTCTACCCTTCTCAAAAGAGGTATCTACACTCACCGCCTTCATTCCTCTCCTCCCATGCACTCTTCAGTCCATTCCAATCTGACTTTTGCCCCAGGTTGCAGTGAAATGCTTCTGGCGAGGTCACCGCTGACATCCATGGTAGAAAGCCGAGGGCACACTTTCTTATCCTGGCTTGCTCAAGCTCCCAGCAGCACTGACACCATTCTGTCTCCTTAAAACCCAATCCTCCCACGGTTCCTCCTAACATGTGGGTCTTCCTACTTCACTGGCCACTCCTCAGTGGGCTTTGCTGACTCCTCTGCGCTGATACCCGCTTAGTGTGGGAGAACCTCTGCATAGATGTGGTAGTTACGTTTTTATTATTATCATTATTTGAGACAGGTTCTCACTCTGTCTCCCAGAAGACGACTCACTGCAGCCTCAACCTCCTAGGCTCAAGCAATCCTCCTGCCTCAGCCTCCTGAGTAGCTGGGTCTACAGGCATGTACTACTACATCCAGCTAATTTTTGTGCTTTCTTGTAGAGACAGAGTCTCACCATGTTGCCCAGACTGGTCTCGAACTCCTGGGGCTCAAGTGATTCTCCTGCCTCAGCCTCCCAACTAGCTGGAATTACAAGTGCACGTGACCTTGCCTGGTTCAGCTGCGACAGTTTTAAAGTACACCTACAAATCACTTGATATACTCCTCCCTTCAGCGGAGCCCAATTCTCCTCCCCTTGAATAGCAGCTGTATTTCATGACTTCTAATGAATGATGGGGCAGAGTGACTTCCAGCAGTAGATCATAAAAGACATTGTGGCTTCTGCGTCTTCTCTTTCTCTGGAATAACTTGCTCAGGGAAAGCCAGCAGCCATGCTGTAAAGAAACCCAAGCAGCCTATTGAGAGGCCCACATGGTAAGGAACTAAAGTCTCCTGCCGACAGCCAGCAGGGGATAGAGGCCTCTAGCTAAGAACCACATGAATAAGGCAGCTTGGAAGTGGATCCTCCGGCCCCAGTCAAGCCTTCAAATCATTGCAGCCCCAGCTGACAGCTTGAAGGCAACCTGCATCAAGCAACCCTGACTCAGAGCTGTCCAGCTCAGCTGCTCCAGAACTCCAGATCCACAGAAAATGTGTGACATAATAAATGATTTTAAAATTTAAGACAGGCCGGGCGCGGTGGCTCACGCCTGTAATCCCAGCACTTTGGGAGGCCGAGGCGGGTGGATCACGAGGTCAGGAGATCGAGACCATCCCGGCTAAAACGGTGAAACCCCGTCTCTACTAAAAATACAAAAAATTAGCCGGGCGTAGTGGCGGGCGCCTGTAGTCCCAGCTACTTGGGAGGCTGAGGCAGGAGAATGGCATGAACCCGGGAGGCGGAGCTTGCAGTGAGCCGAGATCCCGCCACTGCACTCCAGCCTGGGCGACAGAGCGAGACTCCGTCTCAAAAAAAAAAAAAAAAAAAAAAAATTTAAGACACTGAGGTTGACAGCAGTTTCTTATGCCACACAGATAACTAATACAGCAGGTCCTGATTCCTCTTTTTGTCTCTCTCTGCTCTCTTCCTCGATGAAAACATCCAATTCTATAGCTTTAAACACCATGTATTGGCTGAGAACTCCTGAATCTCCAAATTCTGACCTCTCCTTTGAGAGTCAGTCTGGAATATCTAATGGCTTCTGTGACATTCTCTCTTGGGTGTCACAAACTCACTGTCTCCCAAACGCCCAGCCTGGAGTGCAGTGGCACAATCTTGGCTCACTGCAACCTCCGCCTCCCAGGTTCAAGCCATTCGCCTGCCTCAGCCTTCCAAATAGCTGGGATTACAGGCACGTGCCACCACACCCGGCTAATTCTTTGTATTTTTAGTAGAGACAGGGTTTCACTGTGTTAGCCAGGATGGTCTTGATCTCCTGACCTCGTGATTCACCTGTCTTGGCCTCCCAAAGTGCTGGGATTACAGGTGTGAGCCACTGTGCCCAGCCCAGGAATTACTTTTGATTCTCTTTACCTCACTCCCAACCCTCATGTAAATTCCTGCTCATTTTATCTTCAAAATACCTCTCAAGCCCATTCACACCTCACCATATCCACTGCAACCATCTCAGTCCACGCCAACATCATCTCTCACCTGAGCTGCTGCACCGGCCTCCCCTCTGTCTCCCTTGAAATCCATTTTCACGCAGCAGTTGGAATTCTCTCAAATATAAAACCGGAACAACTCAGCCCCATGGAGACTGCAAACAGGGCCATGAGTTCCTCCCATTCCTGTACACATGCCACTTTGCAATGTGTGCATCTTGATGGCTTTGCTGCTCCTGCCATCTAAGACTCATAGTTTTTTTTTTCTAAGACTGCAAACTCCGTGAGAGCAAGAATGACATCTGGATTTTGCTCATTAATTTATCCCTAGGACCTAGCATCTAGGAGATGTTCAATAAATATTTGAAAAAATGAATGAAAAAGAATGGTGATAATAATAATTTTTAGAACATTTCATCTTGAGCTGGGCACTGTGCAAAGTAATCAACATTTACTGTCTTAAATTTGCTGGCCGCAAATGCAGGAATGAGGTCAGCCGCTCCCCATGTGTGAGAGGCAAGCCGTCCCAGCTGAGCCCAGCCCATACTGCCAAGCCACATATCATGAACAAATAAAAGGCCCTTCTTTTATGTCACTCAGATTTGCAATGGTTTGTTATACAGCAGAAACTAACTGATACAATACCCTCCTCAAAGCCCTCCAGGGACTTCCCATTGTACTTAGTATAAAATCCAAACTTGTAAATGTAGGCTCTGAGGCCCGTGATCTCACCTCACCCGCTCCAGCTCTCCCCTCATTCCCACCACTTTCCCGAGGACTCCCCACACAGCAGACCATTCCTGAAGAGTTCCCAGTTCTCTCCCACTCCATGGCATCCCTCAGTCTGGGTCATATCTGCCCTGATTCTTCTCCAGGCTCCTTCTCATCCTTCAGGTCTCACTTTGAATATCACCTTCTCAGGGAAACTTTATCCACTTTATCCTGCTCATTTACTCTCAATCTTAACACTTATCGCTGTGTGCAATTCTGTGTTTACTTATGGGATTATTTGACTAATGTCTTTTTCCTCTGTAAGACTGCAAACTCCATGAAACCAAGAATGAGGTCTGAGTTTTACTCATTAGTTTATCCCTAGGACCTACCATCTAGTAGGTGTTCAATAAATATTTGAATACATGAATGAAAGAGAATGGTAATAATGATTATTTTTAGAACATTTTACCTTGAGCCAGGCACTGTGCAAAATACTCAACATTTACTATCTTAACAAATCTTCCACCAGCAACCCTGCTATGAGTTTGATTCTATTACTATCAACATTTTGCAGATGAGCTCAGAGAGATGAAGTGAGTTCCACAAGGTCACAGAGCTAGGAGGTGGTTGATCAGGAATCTGCATCAAAGCCATCTGGCTCTATGCAAGGGGTCTCAACTGTGACATTAAAATCCCTTCCAACACTGGGCTCTGCCCACGAGGGAAGAAATGGAAGGCATAAAAGTGTTTAACCCAGTCAGGTTCAGGGAACCTGGATGAGCAACCGAGGCCATGTGGGCCCAGCCAGTCAGACCTTTAAAATCCATAACCACTTCCCTGGGGCTTCTGCTACCTCCCCCAGCCCCAGAGGGATGCAAGGACTGTCGACACCTCTCCATCTTGAGCAACCCCACTTATCTCACCATGGGACAGTGCAATGCTGTCTCCTCTCAGAAGACCTCAGGACAGCGGTCAGCAGTAGGGTCCCAGCCTAGGAATCCCACAAGGAATGCATGTCTGAGGCTATTCTCCAGAACCATCCACCCTAGCCTCCATCCAGTTCAGACCCTGGGTCTCTCTGGATCACAATGTATATGAACACTTCTGTACTGTGTGCCGGGCACTGTGCTAAGCCCCTTACATGCATTTGCTCATTGATCCTCGCAGCAGCCCTGGGACGTAGGCACTCATGTTATCACCCCCTGCCTTTTTTTTTTTTTTTCTCTTTGAGACAGAGTCTTGCTCTGGTGCCTAGGCTGGAGTGCAGTGGTACAATCTCAGCTCACTGCAACCTCTGCCTCCTGGGTTCAAGTGATTCTCCTGCCTCAGCCTCCCACATAACTGGGATTACAGGTGCCCACCACCATGCCCAGCTAATTTTTTGTATTTTTAGTAGAGATAGGGTTTCACCATGTTGGCCAGGCTGGTCTCGAACTCCTGACCTCAAGTGATCCACCTGCCTCAGCCTCCCAAAGTGTTGGGGTTACAGGCGTGAGCCACTGTGCCCAACCTATCACCCTTTTATAGAACAGGAAAGAGCCCAGAGCCAGTGCTTCCTCCTCTGTTAAACAGGATCCTCATCTGTTAAACAGGATCGCTGATATTACCCACCTCCTGGGGTTGTTATGGGGATTAAGTGAGTTGAAATCTGTGAAACACCTAGAACAGGGCCTGACACACAGTAAGCTCTATTAAATATATAGATTTTTCTGGGCTGGACTGTGACCCTCACAAACTTCACATGTTGAAGCCTTAAGCTCTAGAGCAAGCTTGTCCAACCTGCAGCCCGCGGGCCACATGCAGCCCAGGATGGCTTTGAATGTGGCCCAAAACTAATTCATAAACTTCCTTAAAACATTCTGAGAATTTTTTGCGATGTTTTTTAAGCTCATCAGTTATCGTCAGTGTTAGCATATTTTATGTGTGGCCCAGGACAGTTACTCTTCTTCCAATGTGGCCCAAGGAAGCCAAAAGATTGGACACTCCTAAAATCTCAGAATGTGACTGTATTTGGAAACAGGGCTTTTAAAGAGATAATTACCTTAAAATGAAGAGCTTAAGGTGGGTCCTCATTCAATCAGACTAAAGTATTTATAGGAGGAAATTTGGACTCAAAGACACCAGGCATGTGCAGCACAGGGGAAGGGCCATGTAAGGACACGGCAAGAAGGCAGCCACTTACAAGCCAAGGAGAGAGGCCTCGAGAGAAACTCACCCCACAGGCACCTTGATCTGAGATGTCTAGCCTCCAGCTCTGTGTGACAATAGGTTTCTGCTGTTTAAGCCCCTCAGTCTGTAGTATTTTGTTATGGAAGTCCTAAGAAACTAATGCATAAGTGAATAACATATACTTGATGTCCAAGGTCACCCACCGAGAGCATGGCAGAGCTGGGACTCTGTCCCCCAAAGGCCCATCTCTGAACTACCAAGCCTTTTGGCCCCTCAGAGCCATTAACTCTGCAACAGCTCCCCTTAGCTACCGTTAGGATAGAAACAGGAAAGTTCCTTTTTTTTTTTTGGTTGGGGGGCAGGGGATGGAGTCTCTCTCTGTCCCCCAGGCTGGAGTGCAGTGGCGCAATCTGAGTTCACTGCAACCTCTGCCTCCCAGGTTCAAGTGATTCTCCTGCCTCAGCCTCTCGAGTAGCTGGGATTACAGGAACCCAGCACCCCGCCCAGCTAGTTTTTGTATTTTTAGTAGAGACAGGGTTTTGCCATGTTGTTAGGCTGGTCTCGAACTCCTGACCTCAGGTGATCCACCCGCCTCGGCCTCCCAAAGTGCTGGGATTACAGGCGTGAGCCATTGTGCCCAGCCAAAAGTTCCCCTTTGAGGTGCGTTATTTTTTTTACTCACTTAGTCATACCAGGCTTTGTTTCCAGAAATGATTTAAGGCAGCTGGCTTCAGTATGCATGATGATGTCTCTGTTCGGGACATAAGGTCTTGTGCTTGTGGCATCAGTTGTGAGATGCTGGAAACAACACTGGACCCATCGAGAGGGAACAAGTTCTGGCCCTAACCATGACATCTATGAGCTGCCTGACCTTGAGCAACTCACTTCATCTCTCTGAGCCTCAGTTTTCTCATCTGGAGAATGTGTGTCCCTTTAGCTGCCATATGTATTAAACTAGTAATGGGACAGGCAGTGTGCTGAGTATATTGAATTTTCACAAGAGTCCAGCAAGACAAGGTTAAGTTGTATTATTACCATCCCATCTTATAGATGAGGAAACTGAGGCTTCAATAGGGAAAGCAACTTGTCCAAGGTTACATATTTGAGGCAGCAAAGCTGGAACTCTATTTCAAGTTTTTCTTACTCTAACCCCATCTGTTTAGACCCTGGGCTCTACGGCCTTCCCATACACATAGCCATGCATGTGCAGGAGGCTGTTGCAAATGCACCATAAATTTGCATTGTTCAGGAGACAAGACTCATCACAGGTCTTAAACGGAGCAAGATGGGAAGCTCAGAATGAGATTTGAAGAAGGGCTGTGGCAAAGATGGTGTGCAACAGGCAAAATGGAGTGGAGTGGTGTAGGAAGGGTGCTCCAGGAGGGAGGGGCTGTGGGAGCAAAAGCATGGAGGTAGAATGAAGCTGGCATGTCCAAGTTTAGAGGCCCAGCTGGGAGCAGGAAGAGTCAAGGTCAACGAGAGTCTGGGTGAGCTTGGATGTCTGGCTGGAGCACGAAGGAGCTATAATGCATTCTTGGGCAGGGCAAGTGGGATGGTGTGGTGGGTAGTGGCCATCAAGTTGTGTAAGGGAGGTGATGGGGGAGCAACCGAGTATTCAGTATGCATGATGATGTCTCTGTTCGGGACATAAGGTCTTGTGCTTGTGGTATCAGTTGTGACATGCTGGAAACAACACTGGACCCATCGAGAGGGAACAAGTTCTGGCCCTAACCATGACATCTATGAGCTGCCTCTTAACATCATCTTCACCTACCTTTATTAAACACCTACTGTGTGCTAAGCCCTGATCTAAGCACTCTACGTGTATTATTTCACACAATGTCTCAACAGCTCTTTGAGGCAGGTCCTACTATTATCCCCATTTTATAGATGGGAAACTGAATTTCAGAGAGGGGAGAACCTGACCACATTTACTAAGCTAGGAAGTGGCCAAGTTATGACTTGAACCTTAGTCTGACTCCATAGCCCATCCTCTTAACCACCTGGGAGGTCCTCTGAGACTTTTGCGGAAAAAAGAGGCTGAGACTGGGCAGGGGAAGAGTAGGCTGGGTGGGCTGCAGCCCCCACCTCCCCCAGGGCTGGCACCCACCCTCGTTCTCCAGCTTCCTCTTCTCCAGCTCCGCCTCAATCTGGTCCAGCACCATGGCCAGTTCCCCGAGGATCTTCTTCAGGTAGCTCACATCATCATGCTCCAAGATCTTGGCCTGGGGGCAGGACAGGGCCAAGAGAAGCTGAGTTGGCCTCAATAGAGCCAGGATGTTCAGGGATGGAAGGAGCTTTGCTGAACTTCTTCTGCAAACCCAGCCTCCAAATGCCCCCCAAGTGTATAGGATGCCCCCCCGTTATGAAGCACCCTCATCTGGTGCCTACAACAGTCCTGTGAGCTTGGCTGTCCTGCCTAGATCCCTAGTACATTCTTACACCCAGATGCTGGGAGGGCTGGCTGCTAGTGGCTCACAGCTGCCCCTTCTCTCAGCCAATAAGGAGCTGCATTGCCCACAAATACCTGGGAGGTTACCGGCCCGCACCCCTCCCTCCAACAATCTGTAGCCAATGTCCCACTGATATGAGGGGATAAAAGGCTGGCCCCTTACTTCAAGGTTGATCACCTTTGTGGTGCCATTTGTGCTCCAGAGCTTCCTGTGGAATCAATTGAGGCTTAGCAGCTTCCTCTTCCTTATCCCTCCCATCCCTCTGGGGTCCCCCTCAGAGCAATCCTTCAATACCTCCTTTCCCAAGAACCCCTGTTCAGTGCTCTGCATTTATTTTTATTTATTTATATATTTATTATAATTATTATTATTTGAGACAGAGTCTCACTCTGTTGCCCAGGCTAGAGTGTAGTGGCCCGATCTCAGCTCACTGCAACCTCCGCCTCCCAGGTTCAGGCAATTTCCTTGCCTCAGCCTCCCGAGTAACTGGGACTACAGGCATCCGCCATGATGCCCGGCTAATTTTTGTATTTTTAGTAGAGATGGGGTTTCACCATGTTGGCCAGGCTGGTCTCAAACTCCTGACCTCAAGTGATCCACTTGCCTTGGCCTCCCAAAGTGCTGGGATTACAGGAGTGAGCCACCATGCCTGGCCAATGCTCTGCTTTTAAAGACACAACCTAACACATGAGGAAACTGAGGCCCGAGGGCAGCAGTGGCTTACCCCAGGTCTAACAGCTAGTAAATGGCAGGGGACAGGATTGGAAAAGCAAGCCAGGGGCTTTTCCATTTCATATCATCAGCTGATCTTCTACTTAGTTTCTCCTATTGTTCATTTCCGTGGAAGAGCTCGTAGGGAAGGGGACTCAGCAGGCCGGGAGGTACTCACCATGAGCTTCTTTTGTTTAGAAAGGTAGGGCTCGGAGAGCTGGGGCTCCTCTTCATGGTCCAGTTTCATGAGGTCCGTGGTGGCATTGGCTAAATGTCCTGGGGAGATAATAGGAAAGGTCCCATCCCTCTGATACCTTGGTTGCTCCCCCATCACCTGCCTTACACAACTTGAAGTAGGCCCCATCCAAACACTGGTCAGAAGAGTAATACTGTCGACAGCCAACACTTAGGGAGCACTGCAGGCTGTGCCGTAGTGATGGATGAGATGCCATCCTGCCCTGAGCTCAGGCTGGTGGGAGAGATAGGCACATAAAGAAATCTCAGCCAATGGCTCACCCCTGTAATCCTAACACTTTGGGAGGCTGAGGTGAGAGGATCACTTGAGCCCAGGAGTTCAAGACCAGCTTGGGCAAATAGCAAGAACCCATCTTAAAAAAAAAAAGTTAGCCAGGTGTAGTGGTGCACACCATAGTCCCAGCTACTCAGGAGGTTGAGGCAGGGGGATCGCTTGAGCCTGGGAGGTCGAGGCTGCAGTGAGCTATGATAGCACCACTGCACTCCAGCCTGGGCAACAGAGTGAGACCCTTACTCTAAAAAAATACAAAAATAAATAAATAATACACATCAGCAATATTATAAAATACACAGTTAAAAAAAATAAAAATAAACTCTATGGTACAGCATGAGTAAACTGTAGGGAAGAGTGAACACAAGGCATAGGGACCCAGGGGCTGCCTGCCTGGGGCACAAGGGGCTGAGAGACCTCACGGAGGAGGAGACTGTACCCTTGAGGACGAGTAGTAGATGCCAGAAACCGATAGACCCAACCCTAGACCTGGTCATCTTCCCTGCCTCACTGCTTCTCCCCCTGCATTCTTCCCAAATTGCAGCATCCCCTCCCCAACACAAAGCCCAGCCAGATTCCTGGATTTGCCCTCAGCTCCTCCCACTACCTCACCCCACATCAAGTCATTCCCAGGTCCTGTTGATTCTTCCTCCTCCATCTTTCTCATATTTTTTCACATTTAACCTCCTCCATTTAACTGACTCTCTCTTAGTTCAGACCCCATTAATGTCTCACCTAGATGGTTTCACCCACCCTCTGTCACCTCCCCTCTCTCCCTTACAGGCCCTTCTCCCCACCCCTACCAGAGATATCTTCTTCACACACTTGACCATGCCACTCTGTTTAAAACCCATCCCTGGCTCCTCACTGCCCTCGGATAACATCCTAGCTCCTCAACTTGCCTTCAAAGAGCCTTCAGGATCCACTTGCCCTCCCTCTCACCTACTCCATCTTTCACTGAGTTTTCCCAACTGTTCCTGTCCCAATATGTACATTTCAGCCACTGTACATGCTTGCTGTTCCCTGAATGTGCCAGACCACTCCACACCTCCAGGCTTCTGCTCATACTACTACTTCTTCCTAAAATAGCCTTATCCTCCTTTCCTGAAAGCTTCCTTCTAGATTCAGCTAAAGATTTCCTCCTCCAGGAAGCCCTTCCTGATCCTGTAGGAGGTCTGCCCGCTCAATGTCTTTGTTCCCCAGTTTACGCCCTACAGACTTCTGCCAGGGAACGCAAACACGCTAATCAGAGCTGCCATTCACAACTCCATTAACCTTGCTGTCTATATGAAAAGAGCCCTCCTGGGCTTGAGTCCACAACCTGCCTGCTTGCTGTACATGGAGATTTTGGTGCTAACGTAGTTATCACTGAATGTGTATGTCTCCCTCTAACACTTGAGCTTCTGGAGAGCAGTGGCTATGTCAGATTCATCTTTGTTCCCTTAAAACTCAACACAGGCCTGGCACAGAGCAGGAGCTCAGTGAGTGTTGAATGAATGAATGAATGAAATGAGTGAGTGACTTAGGTTGTTTAGCTTCTGTCATCTGAGATTTCACCACCTACTGCCCCATCTCCTGTCCTGACACAAATCCCAGTAAACGCACTCCCAGATCATTCAGCTTCAGGGCTATATTAAGTCTCATTGATGTTTTATGAATGTGAAGGTCAAGGACAGCATCTTTCTTGCGTGTCACCCAGCGCTGCCCATGTGGTGGCTTCAGACTCCAGGAGGGCAGGCCACCCCAAGAGAAGACTTGAGACTGATTAAGGGGTCGCTGCAGGCTGGCTTCTACTCCTTCTGCACTCTGGGACCTCCCTCCTCTCATCCCCCAGCTGGGCTGGAGCCCTGAGATCCTCTCTGCCTCCTCAGAGAAAGATGGGGAGAGAGGGGGTGGGCTGGGTCTGCTCTGGACTCCCAGTGCCTTCTAGGCACCTTCAAATGGCTCAGGGCAAGATTGAGGGAGAGTGCCCCTAATTCCCAGAAGCCCTTGGGGACTGCCTCCAGCCCTTGGCCAGGACCCTGCCTACCAACAGCCAGGGCCTACCCCGTTCATTCTTCCCTCAGAGGAGAGATCTTCGTAAAATGCAGATCTGACCACGTCACTTCCCATCACCGTTTCTCCACTGCTCTTTGGACAAAATCCAAATTCTGCCAGACCCTCCTCCCCAGACACACACCACGACCATTTCCACCCCACCTTGGGCTACACTTGCACCACACTGAGCTTCCTCCATTCCCCAAAAACAATACACCCTGTCCTACTCCAGAATGTGAAATAATTCTCCCTCTTTCTCCCCTTCTACCTGCTACACATCCTCGGTCGCTGCTGCATTTTGGAAGGCTTCTGTGGCCCCGGAGGCTGGGGTGGACATCGTGTATGCCCAGAACCTCCCTGATCTCCTGCTCATAACACTCATGGGCACCAGATTAAACGTTTTTAAACGAATTTATTTTTGAGCAGGATATACATGTATATTGTTGAAATTCAAACAAGATTGAAGAATGTACTATAAAAGTAAATCTCTGTCCTCTGCAGCTGCAGTCTCTTAGTTCTGCTCCCCAAAGACACAAACTATTGGCAGCTTCTGTGTATCCTTCCAGAAATACTCCTTGCAGTGCAAGCACCTGTGTGTCCATTTAACCTCATTCTGAGTACTAATGAGAGCACACTAGATGTTGTTTTTTTTTTTTTGCCCTTCACTTTTTTCTACTCACTAATATATCTTAGGAAGCATTCCATACACCTATTAATTTTTAAAAACATCTGCACAGTATTCCGTTGTATGGAAGTACCCATAACTTATTTACCCAGTTCCCAATTCATGACAGCTGGGTAATTTCCAGCGATATTCTTGCTCTTGCCAACTGTGCTGCAGTGAATACCTTTGTTCATACTTCTTGGTGCATATGTTCAAGTGTAACTGCAGGGTAATCTCCAAGATGTGGGCTTTCTCATGTTTGACATAGAGTACCAGGCCGCCCTCCTGAGAGCGCATTCAAACTCACTTAGTTCTGCACTGTAATTGGCTGGTGACTTGTCTTTCCTTCCATGGAACTTGACCCTGGGATGGCAGAAGCTGTGTCTATTCCTGTTTGTCCCCAGTCCCCTGCCCAGGGCCTCATAAATGTTGTTGAGGGGGCTGTTGCTGGGAGCCGGATGTACAGGTAAATCCTGAGTCTTGGCCACATATGGTGGCTCATGCCTATAATCCCAGCGCTTTGAGAGGCTGAGGCAGGCAGATCACCTGAGGTCAGGAGTTCAAGACCAGCCTGGGCAATATGGCAAAACCTCATCTCTACCAAAAATACAAAAAATTAGCAAGGCATGGCAGCATGTGCCTGGGGTCCCAGCTACTTGGGAGGCTGAGGTGGGAGAATCGCTTGAGACTGGGCAGAGGAGGTTGCAGTGAGTCAAGATTGCGCCACTACACTCCAGCCTGGATGACAGAGGGAGACCCTGTCTCACAAAAAAAAAAAAAAAAAAATTCTGAGTCTTGTTCAATGACAATGGTTCTCAAGGGACAGGGTTGAGTTCTACAACCTAACACCGCCCCAACCCTGCCTTTGAACATTAGCCACATTCCTTTGAGGGGGACGACATGACCATTCACTGAGCACCTATTATCTACTAAGAATCTTCAGGTGTCTTTTGGCTGTAGGACCCCATGGTGTTTGTTCAAAGCCTGGATCGTAGTCTGTAAACAGCTGCTGAGGGATTATCTGATTTAATCCAACACCCATTCACTGGGTGTCAGATACAAAAGGATGAAGTAGGCTGTGAGCATGTCCAGGCTGGCCATTAGGACAGGACATGCTCATGGGTAACCTTCAATCTGAGACCTCACTGGGGGCCTTGCCACATCTGGGTAGTCTTCCTTGGTAATCCTAACCCTGAGGTCACTCAGAGCCCTTGGCCACGAAGCACAGCCCTGACTGTCTAAGGCTGAAACTCGTGCGGGGAGAACAAACCTTGTGGGGACAGACAGCCCCATAGTCTGTGTATGGGGGGGGCAGGACAAGAGTAGGGGACAGGGGAGGGGGATGGGAGCGAGACTGGCAGAGAGGGAGAGAGACATATTCTGTTAGAAACTGGGTGAATGAGATGGAAGGCCGGGAAGTCGGGGGTGAAGGGGATGGCAAGCAAGAGGAACAGAGAGAAAGAGCAAGAGAGAGAGAGAGAGACCAGCAGAGTGAGAAACCAACCCCGAGCACTCAGAGAGAGGCGGGGACAAATGGAGAATGCAAGAGGGAGAGAAGGAGGAGGAAGGGGAGGACAGAGAGAGGCCCAGGAGAGGGAGGACATCCTTTGGAAGAAAGGAGCGGCGCAAAGGGGGAAAGCAGAGGGGCTGTCTCGCCGCCCTGGCACTCACTGCGGATCTCGGCCGTGGCGTACTTGGGGATCATGGAGTCGGTGGTGAGCTCGGGATGCAGGATGCAGCCATGCGTGTAGGCATCCATGGGCAGTGCGTCCAGCAGCTCCCGGTACTGCAGCACCCGTGCGTGCTGCAGGCTGCCCACCTCGGGCATCAGGGCCACCACGTGCTCTGTGGGCACCGCCAGGGGCTGGGCAGGGAAGCCAGAGGGGCACCTGCCCCGGCCACCTGCCCCCGGCATCCCTGAGCCCCAAGATGTCTCTGCCCAGAGGCCCTGGGCACCCCCATGCTCGGGCTTGGCTGCTGGCGGACAGGGGATTCTAGTGGTGGCCCGGCCATCTCTCCTCACTGGGCTCTGCCAAGCTGTCCCCGAGGGTTAGCTCCTCTCAGCTCCAGACTTGCTGCCAGGCGGGGTCCTAGACCCAGTGTTGCGGGATTCAAGAGAAGCTGCAACCTGGGTGCTCAATGCTTGGGTCCCCTTGACTTTTAAATGTTGGCAACCAACTCACATTCTTTTAAAACAGTGCATGTCTGGGCCCTGATGCCCTCCCAGTGGGTGTCTGAGCCTATGCAATGGGCAGTAAGTTCCTGAGCCTGAGGAGGGCCTACGAGGGGAGAGGACGGGGTCTCTGCGAGGTTCTGGGGTACCTGGGCCCTCCTCTGCCTGCGGGGTTTTGGGGTGTCTGGGCTCTCCCCTGTCCATGGGGTTCTGGGGTATCTGGGCCCTCCCCTGTCTCAGGGTTCTGGGGTGTCTGGGCCTTCCCCTGTCTCAGGGTTCTGGGGCGTCTGGGAACATGTCTTCAGGTTCCTATGGGGTCCTAGGGAATCTATGTTCCAGAGGGAGCTGGGCCCTGTCCTTGCCCTGTAACCCCTGGGAGATCTGGACCCTGTCTGTGGGGACCTAGAGGGTGGTCTGGGGCCACTCATGCTGAAGGGGCCATGCCTGTGACTCTAGAGCTCGGGGGAAAGGGCTATAGCCCCACTGCTCCTGGTGGGGGGGTGTCTGGGTCATGCCCTTACAGTACCAGGGGAGGGGAGGTCTCTGTATGGATCAGTAGCTATGCCTGTGGCTCTGGGGCTCTGGGGGCATCTGAACCCTGCCTGTGGCTCTGTGGCTCCTTTTTGGGGAGACTGGGCCTTGCCCATGGCTCCAGTGAATTTCCCAGACTTCCCAAAGTTCTGGGACCCCGTCTGAGCCTGTGGGGACCCCTGAGGATCTGTGGTATGGAGTGGGCCCCTGGGTGGGGAGGCAGCCGTACCTCCTGTGAAGGTGCGCTCCACATAGTCAATGATCTGGTCATAGTCACTGATGATGTTGTCGCGGTGGATGATGACGGGCACCTCCTCGCCCAGGTTGAGCCGCATGAACCAGGGCTCCTTGTGCTCGCTCTGTGGCAGGCTCACGTCCCGCTCCTCGCACACCAGGCCCTTCTCGGCGATCACCAGCCGCACCTGCAGGCGCCAGGGTCAGAGCGGGGAAGGCGGGCGGACACAGGGGACACTCTGCCCAGGTGGGGCGGGGGTGTGCGGGGAGGGAGGTCAGAGGTCACACACAGGAGGGGACACGATTGCTTTCAGCCCATTCTTGGGCACCTGGGTTTGGGGGGATATCTCCCAGGGGCATGTGCCTGGTGGAGGGAGGAGCGCAGTTCTGCTTGGGGGACAAAGGGCAGTGCTGCCTGGTGGCTAAGGGGCTGGATTTGACAGCTGGACACATCTGGGATAGGATTCCTGGCTGTGTGAGTGTGGGCAGTCCTTAAACTTTCTGGGCCTCAGTTTTCTTATTTTAAAAATGATAGTATTAACAGTACCAACCCAGTGTCTGGGACAAATTATTGGCACTCAATTTGTGATCGTCGTTATCACAGTTGAGCACTCAGCCTGGCCCCTAGGAGTAGATCTGGCCAGGAAATTCACAGAAACTTTTTTTTTTCCCCTTTTTTTTAAGACAGAGTCTTGCTCTATTGCCCAGGCTGGAGTGCAGTGGCGCAATCTCAGCTCTCTGCAACCTCTGCCTCCTGGACTCAAGCGATTCTCCTGCCTCAGCCTCCCGACTACAGGCTGTCACCACTACACCCAGCTAATTTTTGTATTTTTAGTAGAGACAGGGTTTTGCCATGTTGGTCAGGCTGGTCTTCAACTCCTGACCTCAGGTGCTCTGGCCACCTCAGCCTCCCAAACTGCTGGGATTACAGATGTTAGCCACCGTGCCTGGTCAGAAACTCTTATTATTATCATAATCAACAGCTAAATTTCTCAAATTATTTGGGGTACTAAGTGAGGGGAAAAGTAACTTGCCAACATTAGTCGAGCCCTTTATTTCCCCCAAACACCTCATCTGGTTGCCTGGTTGGAAACTCACAACAGCCCCTAGAGGAGGGTAGAACAGTATCTCCCCATTTTTCTTGATGAGAAAACTAAAGCCCAGAGATGGCAAGTAATCTACCCAAAGTCACACAGCAATTCAGCAGCAGACTTAAAACTGGAAGCAAGGTTCTTGACTCCCAAACCAGTGCTCTCTGCCCTGAGGGCTCCTTCCAGGGAGTTCTGGGCCTGCCCCTTCCTGAGTCTTTCTTTATGTTTCTAAGGGCTCCCAGACACACATTTGAGCTGGTAGAAGCTGCCAGAGAGCCTTGAGGCTGGGGCATGCTCCTGACCCAGCCCAATATTTCTAAGTTAGAAGATGGTTAGAGATCACCTAGTCCTATTGCCCCCTGCCTGTGGACTGAGACTCAGAAGGAAGGATGGGCTTGTCCAAGATCCCCTGGCAAGATGGCAAGTGGCCCCATTCTTATGCTTCCCTCCCCACCTTCCACTCTGGTCCAGGGGAGAGGGAGGGTATCCCCAAAAGAGGAAAGGCCCATTCCCCTTGAGCATCAATGTCTCCACCCACAGCTGAGATGGTGGCTCCTGGGACAAGTTAAGCATCCAGAAGAGGCAATGCAGCGTCATGGGCAGAACCTGAACGGTGTTGTTTCAAATCCCAGCTTTACACTTATTTGCTGGATGACTTGGCTTTACAAGTAGCTTTACTTTTTTTTTTTTTTTTTTTTTTTTTTTTTTGAGACAGAGTCTCGCTCTGTTGCTCAGGCTGGAGTGCAGTGGTGCGATCTCGGCTCACTGCAACCTCCGCCTCCTGGGTTCAAGCGATTCTCCTACCTCAGCCTCCCGAGTAGCTGGGATTACAGGAGCATGCCACCACACTTGGCTAATTTTTGTATTTTTAGTAGAGATGGGGTTTCACCATATTGGCTAGGCTGGTCTTGAACTCCTGACCTCAAGCGATCCACCTGTCTTGACCTCCCAAAGTGCTGAGATTATAGGTGTGAGCCACCATGCCTGGGCAGCTTTACTTCTTTGTGCCTCAGTTTCCCCTCTTATCCAGTGGGAGTCCTATAGTAATTGCCTCGGAGGCCCGCTGTGAGGATGAAATTCCTTAGTCCCTGTGGAATGGTGCCTGGAACACAGTAGGGGTAATGTGTCTTAGCTGCTGGTATGAGGGCAGGTTTTGGAGGCAGACAGACTTTGACTTGGAAGCCTAGCTCTACTGCTTATTTGCTGTGTGACCTTGAACAAGTCACTTGCTCTCTCTGATTTCTAGCTTCCGTGAAGTGAGGAATGCAAGTGTGAGGTTGAAATGGGCTGTTGTGGAGACAGCCCCAGCACAGAAGGTTAATACATGAGTTCTAGCATCACTTATTACACACACACACCACACACACACCCTGGTGTGTCCTAGAGTACTTCATGCCCCACCCTCACAGTGAACATAAACACCTCCTCCTGTTTGGTGGATCATGGGAAGGGAAGGGTAACTTGCCCTGAAACACCCAACATTCATTCACAGACTTATTTGCTCCATTAGCCAAGAGCAGGTCCTATAGGTGGGGCGCATGGTGCAGGTAGAGACCCTGGGCTAGGAGGCAGGGACTCAAGTCCTCATCTTGGATCTGCCATAGCAATGCTGTGTGACCTTAGAGCTATCACTGCCCCTTTCTGAGCCTCCTTTTTCTCATCAGCAAAACAAGGGGGCTGGATTCAGTGTTCACAGAGTGCCCCGCAGCCCTGCTGCAAGCTGACACTACTACATTCACAACCTTGCAGGAGGCAGGAGACAGGGCTGGCTCTGCTTCCCTCCTCGGCAGTGGGAGGGAGCTTCTCGTTCTGTCTGAGAGAGGGGGAAAAACTGTTGCAGAGAGTGAGCAGCCTGGGGGCAGCATCTGTTTGGGTCTGAGTGTGAGTGCGTGTGTATGAGTGAGCAAATGTGTTTGCGTGTCTGCGTGTGTGTGAGTGTGGGTGTGCATGGAAGAGTGTATGAGTAAGTGTGAGTATTCAAGGACTGTGTGAGTGTGGATGTGAGAGTGCACATGTGTGTACATGTGAGTGTGTGCCATGTGTGTTCCCGGTCAGTGTGAGTGTGCATGCGTGGGAGCAGGTATGCATGTGTATATTTGAGCTCATGGGCGGCCTGTGCCCTGGAGAAGCCCAGAGTAGTGGAGACTGGAGTTTGGCTGGAGCAGAAAGCCCCCTTCTCTTGTCTTTACCTGGCCCTCCATCCTCCAGGCCAAGCTGGGACCTCTGAATGGGTGGAAACAGAGTCCAAACCAGGCCTTTGCCCTTGGTAGGGCCAGACAGTTGGCCTTCCATCTTGGCAGGGCACCTGCCTCCAGGGGCCGCTCCCATGCTCTACCCTGGGTCTCCCATGAAAGTATCAGGGCTGCTATTTGGGGAGGGGACTATATCTTTAGAGGCATGATAATCCTGCTTGGAGCTGCTTTGGGGTCACCCTGGCAGGCGGCCAAGGAGACTTTCACCTTTAGCTGAGCTACAGGCCAGAGCCATGTGTCACCCTGTGGAGGAAGGGGACCCAGAGAGGAAGCCAAGCCTAAGGGAAGGGCATTCAGCTACCAAGGCCATCTGCCATCTCTGCCCCCTGGAGGCTGGACCAGACCTAGGTGGTCACCACTTAGTGTGATCAGACATCAACCATCTCTAGGTAAACGAACTTCCCTGTTGGTGCCTGAAAATCACCCACAGTGCCGCATTGTCATGGGTCAGGCACTGCCTCTCCTCACCCAGGCCCTTGTTTATGTGATGGGCTGGGTTGTTGTCTCTGCCTAGTCATTTAGTTGCGGTGTGACTTTGTATAAAACACTTAGCATCTCTGACCTCAGTTTATTTCAAATTCTTTTTTTAAAAAAATTAGTAGGCCTTATTTTTAGAGCAGTTTTAGATTTACAGAATCAAATGGCTTTTTAACATAACACCTTACAGCTTGCAAATCCATCACTTTTCACCACTTGTTTATTGAGTGCCTACTATGTGCCAGGTCTTGTTGGAAACTTAGCAGTGAACAAAACAATGATCCCTGCCCTCAGGGAACTGACATGTCCGTGGGGGCAGGCAGATGGTAAGCAATTTGGTCTGTCAAAAGACGGTGAGTGCGTCCAAAAAAAGAGAAAATAGAGCAGGGAAGGGGAATCGGGGTACCATGGTGTCAGGGATAAAGGTAGCAATTTTAATTAAGGTGGTCTATTAGGGCAGGCCTCTCGAGAAGGTGGCCCTTGAGCAAAGGCTTGAAAGAAGTGAGGAAGTGGTCCACACAGGGACCTGGGGAAGAGAGCTTCAGTCAGAGGGAACAGCCAGTGCTAAGGCTCTAAGCATGTTGGACATACTCAAAAGATAGCAAGGAAGCCAGTGTGTCTGGAGCAGAGCAGTCAGGAATAGACGAGGAGGGTAGGAGCAGAAAGGGTTGTGCATAGGATTTTTTTTTTTTTTTTTTGAGACAGGGTCTCACTCAGTTGTCCAGGCTGGAGTTCAATGGTGCAATCTCAGCTCACCGCAACCTCCATCTCCTGGATTCAATCGATTTTCCTGCCTCAGCCTCCCAAGTAGCTGGGACTACAGGCATGCACCACCATGCCTAGCTAACTTTTGTTTTTTGTTTGTTTGTTTGTTTGTTTTGAGCTTGAGTTTCGCTCTTGTTACCCAAGCTGGAGTGCAGTGGTGCAATCTCGGCTGACTGCAACCTCCGCCTCCCAGGTTCAAGCGATTCTCTTGTCTCAGCCTCCCGAGTAGCTGGGATCACAGGTGCACACCACCACGCCCAGCTAATTTTTGTATTTTTAGTAGAGACGGGATTTCACCATGTTGGTCAGGCTGGTCTCAACCTCCTAACTTCAGGTGATCCGCCTGCCTTGGCCTCCCAAAGTGCTGGGATTACAGGCGCGAGCCACCACGCCCAGCCTGTATTTTTAGGAGAGACAGGGTTTCACCTGTTGGCCAGACTGGTCTCAAACTCCTGACCTCAGGTGATCCACCCACCTTGGCCTCCCACAGTGCTGGGATTACAGGTGTGAGCCACCACGCCTGGCCGGGTTGTGCACAGGATCTTTTAATCCACACTCCCAGGCCAAGGGGTCCATGAATTAATTCAGGGGCTCCTTGAACTAGGATGGGAAAATTACATGTTTATTTTCAGTAATCTCAAACTGACAGTTAGCATTTTCTTCAATTATGAATGTAGGCGATAAAGTAGGGTAGCGTTTAGCAGTGCCTGCAATATTGTCACCACTAGGAATCAGATATTTTCATCACTTCACAGTTGTTGCAGTTGTCTCAAAATATCATGCGCACTCATCACGACTCCAACATGACAGTTGTTATGAGACCGGCCACCAGACCGTGTTATATAAGGGGTTAATAAAGAAACATAAATATTATTATATAACGCCGTACTTCAATACGATTGGTTTTCGTTCTAATCTAAAAATCCTATACATTTTATTTTATTCAATTAAAAACATTATTCTGAGAAGGGCCCATAAGCTTCCCCCAACTTAGGTCTTGACTCAAGCAAGGTTAGGACCCTGCAGGAGGGCCTGAGGCCATTGAGAGGACTCTGGAGTTTTCCTGAGGGACCTGGGGAGCCACTGCAGGCTTCTGAGCAGAGAAGCAGGGAGATGCATCTCGTTGCTGCCCCCATCAGCTTTCCTCTCTGGGGCTCCTCTTAGGTGAAGGGAGGCGGTACACGGTCAAGTGCAGCATGGACAAGTTGGAGGGTCAGCCCTAAGAGTTTGAAAGGCAAGGGCAGGGTGGGAAAGAGAACTCATCCTTCACCCCCTTGCTTCTCTCCTGCCATGCCTGGGTGTCTGAACTGGCCTCTGGCAGGCCCCAGACTTGGGTCTCTTGCCCCTGGGATCTGAAGGCTGGGCCAGGGGCCCTCCAGAGGTACATCCAAGACAGGGCAGACCCTGAGAGGAGGCAGTAAGGGAACCATGAACCAGGCTTGCTGCAGGGAGCCAGAGACGACCCTCAGAGACTCACTCTGGTGGAAATAACAGCAGTAACAACAGCCAACTCTTATTATCACCTCCTCTGTGCCAGGCACTATTGTAGAGCTTTACATGCATTAGATCTTAATCCCTATGAATTCCAATGAAATTGGTACTAGTACCTCCCAGTACCCTCACTTTTAAGAAAAGGAAGCAGGCACAGAGATTGTAAGTAACTTGCCCAGTCACACAGCTAGGAAGTAGCAGTCTTGGTTTTTGAAAAGGGGCAGTTGTGAGGACAGATGGATGCCCCAAAGTCAACGGGCACCGAGAGGTAGGGCAGTTCTTCCTGCCTGGTGAAGGAGGAGGGAGGCACGTTGTATCAAACATCTGGTTCATTTCCCTGCTGAGAAAACTGAGGACCAGAGAGGGTCAGGTCACACAGCCAGTTAGTGGGACTGGCAGCACTAGAACCTTGGTCTCCTGACTCTATGCTTTTTTGCCCCTCCTGGCCTCATTCTTCCCCACAAAGGAGGAGGAGGCTGGGGGCAGGAACAGCCTCAGAAGCATCCTAACATTGACCTTAGGCATTTAGAGCCTCCTTCAAACCCTGTGGCCCCAAGCAATGACCTATGATAGTGCTTGAAAGCTCACTCTTAACAGGCAATTGTTTAAGGCATTGTGCTAAGTGTGTGAACATGCATGATATCACTCAATCTCCTCAACCCTCTCCCCCAAATATATGAGAAAGCTGACTTAGACAGGCAAAGAAGACACTTGTACAAAGTCACATAGCTGGGAATGGCAGAGTTGGGGTTTGACCGCATGTCTGGCTGATTCCAAAATCCATGCCTTTATAACAGCACCCAGCACTTAACTGAGCACTTTCTATGTGCCACGTGCTATTCTAGGTGATTGACATGGATACATTTGCTGAATCCTTACAACGACCCTGTTGGGGAGGCACCATTAATATTCTCAATTTACAGGTGTGGATATAACTGGGGCATGAGAGGTTAAGCAGCTTGCACGGGATTACCCAGCTGGTCAGTGGTAGAGCTGAGATGGAAGCCCAGGCAGTCTGGTCATAGAGCCTGGGCCTGGACCCACACACTGTCCTGTTGCCCTCTGGGTCTGGAATGATCTCCAAATGCCCAATGGAGCCACCATCACTCCTAGAGGTGGACTATTTTTTTCCATTCATATTTCATGTGCCATTAAAGACAGGCTATTTAGATGCTTGACAATGGGGGACTGCCCTCTTTATATAATTAAGGCCCTTCAGGATTGGAGAGAAGGAAGAAAACTCATCTGCTAAGCTCCTACTACATGCCAGGAAGTTAACATATGCCTATGTCTTCTAAAGGAATTCTGCAGGGTAGGATGTAAAATCCTCTTTTCCAGATAGGGACATTGAGGCACAGAGAGGTAAAGTGACTTGTCCAAGGTCACTCAGCCAGTAAGTAGCCAAGACGAGAATAGAACCCAGGACTATATGACTGCAGAGCCCATGCCCTTTCTGCCAAGCTACACTGCTTCTAGAATCCACCATGGGCCCCTGGGTAGGGGGAAGGCCCTGGTATGGGAGACAGAAGGATGCCCAGGTTAGCTTGGCCAGAGACTTGGTCAAAAGTGGGGCTGCAGCAGATGGTCTCATCCTGACTCAGGGGCCACCTCAGCCCTGAGCTCACGCTACATAGGAAATATTTCATGAGGCAAAGAACAGGAGGCTCCCTCATGATATGGTTGTGGGAGATGCCACCTCCCTGCCCCCTGTCTGGTCCCAGCCGCTGGGGCCCACTTCCTGAGGTTCTAGCGGGGAGGAAGTTCTAGACTCTGAAGGGCAGTCTGATTCATCTCCAAAGCCCCCATCCCCAGGCTCCTTGAATGAGGCCTGGCACGTGCAAGCATGTGCAGAATTTGTGGATGACTCCAGTATGACCTTGATTAACTCTGGCCCCTCCTTTACCTAGTGCCTTAATAACATCATAACGGCCGCTCCTGGTGGCTCACACCTGTAATACTAGCACTTTGGGAGGCCAAAGTGAGTGGATCACTTGAGATCAGGAGTTTGAGACAAGTCTGGCAAACATGGTGAAACCCTGTCTCTACCAAAAATATAAAAAAATTAGCCGGGTGTGGTGGCATATGCCTGTAGTCCCAGCTACTCAGGAGGCTGAGACAGGAGAATCACTTGAACCCAGGAGGCGGAAGTTGCAGTGAGCCAAAATCATGCCACTGCCCTCCAGCCTGGGCAACAGAGCAAGACTCTGTCTCAAAAAAAAAAAAAAATCATAACACTCATTATCAACAGAGTCTTGACCTCTCGCCAGGCACTGCCATCATCAGTACTTTTGTGCATCATATCACATTTCACTCTCATAATAGCCCTCTGAGGAAGTTACTGCATTCACCCCATTTTACAGATTATAAAGCTGAGGCTTTGGACAGGCAAAGGGACCTGTCCACAGCTCCACAGTGAGTCAGTGGGCAATATGATTGGTGGACCAGCTTCATCAGCATCACCTGGTCGCTTGTTGGAAAGGCAGCATCTTGGACCCCATTCCAGACCCACTGAATCAGGATCCTTGGGGTAGAATCCAGCAGTCTGGGTTTTAACCAGGATCATCCAGGGACTCTAATGCACGCTCAAGTTTGAGTAGTCCCAGTCTATAACACTAAGTTCCTAAGTTATATCCCTTCTTCAACAACCATATCAGCAACCCTGAGAAGGGGTTGGGATTGGAAGTGGCTATTGTTGTATCACTATCCCGCTTTCCAGATGATGAAATGAGCCTGGACCAAGACTCAAATCTAAGTCTTTGAGTTCCAAGGCCCTTTCTCTTCATGGATTCTGTTTTTCCATCTGGAAAATGAACGAATGGAACAAAAGGATCTTCCAGGAAGAAGAGGAGTCAGAAGGTCAGGCAGTGGTGCCGCTTAGGCCCCTGCAGGACCTGCCTCTGGGCCCTGGCCATGGTGCTGAATCCGTGGCCCAGAGACGGGACAACCGCCCAGGGTGGGAGATTGCGCCCCTAGAGGCGCCCCTGTCTGAGGGGTGCAGTTCACAGCCTTACCCCCAGGAAGCGGGAACCCTGAGAATCCAGTTGGATTTCCAACTGCCCCTCAGGTCCCCTAGGTCCTAGAAGCATTTTAGGGGCTGGGGCCACTCTGTGCCTTTAAGAGCAAAACAGACCTGATGGGCTGAGCCGAGCTGGTGTGAGGGGATGGTTTAACTCCTTCCTTCTCAGCTCAAGACACGGAGTGGGGGGTGGGCGACGACTGGGGACAGACCCTCCAAGCCCTAGCCAGAAGGCGGCCCGCAGACAGAGGGGCAGAGGAGCTGTGACCTGGGGGCCTGCAGTGTCCGGGACGGCAGCGTGCAGGGAGCGACTGAGAGGGGGCTACCGAGGCTGGACCCCAAGTAGCGCTTCTTCTCCCTCCCCGCAGCAGCAGCACCTCCCACCCCACCAAGCCGCCTTCCCAGCAGTGCCCATTCCCTTCCCCTCGCCTTTGTCTCTTTTCTCAGCCCCCCCAACCCGCCCCGCACCCCAACAGACCGGCTGTTTCTGGGAGGGAAAGAGGCAGAATGGATGCTCCTAAAATTGAGAACTGTGCTCCTGGGGCCCAGACAGGGCCTGTCGCTTCCCAGGTGAGCAGTCCTGGAAGGAACCCTTGCGTCCCCCGACCTCCGGGACCCCCAAACCCCAGGTTCCCCCCTCCAGTCTTTCGCCGCCCTCAGATCCCTCAAGCCCTGGGGCTCCCCTCCCCAAGCTTCCTGGCCACCGGCGCAGGCGGCTCCCGGCCCGGCTCTACCTTCTGCGAGCTGAAGGACTGGGTCCAGTGGTACAGAACCAGGCTCTCCCTGGGCCAATGGGCGGGGCTGGCCGCCTCGGGAGCGTCGGGGGCCTCCGCTGGCTTGGCCGCATCGCTCTCCAGCGCGGAGATGGGCCACCAGCTGCAGTTGGTGGGGGTCAGATTGTTGGGGGTCGCCATGACAGCCCGGAATCAGAGGCAGGAAAGAAGGAGGCTCCGGCGCGGCGGCTCTCTCTCGCCCAGCATCACATGGCCTCGCCGAGCCTGCCCCTCTCCTCCCTCCCTCCCCGCTCCGTGAATGTCATTACTCACCGGGCAGTTGGGGGAGGGGGCGAGGGGATCCCGGGAGCTCCTTTCTCCTCCTCCCCCTGGCCCGCGCCAGAAAAGCCGCCAGCCCTCAGTGTCAGGCTCCCTGCAAGGGTGGAAGGAGCCCGAGGAAGTGGGTCGTGCCCCCCAAACAGCTCAGTGTATTGGGCCAGGCACCTGCCAAAGATTCCACCCTCATCAACGCTTTCCTGCCTCTCAGTCTTCTAAGGGGCAAATACTTCTTAACTGGGATTCTAGAGAGCTATTCCTTTAGAAATTAGTGTCTGGAAATTACTTGTCTCGCTTTGAAGCTGTTATCTTCTAACTTTTCCCCTGAAGGGCCTCGAAGGGCAGAGGGAACAGACTATGATTTATTTAACAGACACTTACATAGCACTTACTGTATGCCCAGGCACTGTTCTAAGAGCTTTACAACTATCAGCCCATTTAGCTCTCACAATAGTCCTATTAGCTTCATTTTACAGAGAAGGAAACTGAGGCACAGAGAGGCTAAGTGACCTTGCCCAAGGTCATCGAGCTGGTAGGTGGTGGAGCTGATGTGAACACAGGCAGTCTGGCTCCAGAGTCTGTGCTCCTAGCCATAAGGTCATGATAATATGGTAAGAATATAAACAATGGCACAGCAACCATTTATCAACCTGAGCCCCTTACATGCATCATCTCATTTCATCTGCACAATAATCATTTTTCACGGATGAGGAAGGCGAGGCTCAGAAATGTCAAGTCATTTGTTCAAGGTTGCATCTTCTACCAAGGCACAACCAGATGAGCCCAAAGAAAGCCCATAATGCCTTTGCTGTCACAAAGTCTGCCCTAAACATACATAAGAACTTCAGCAAAGTTCCTTAATACACCTATACTTCCGTTACTATAAATACTGTGTTTTAATTTATTTACCATTGAGGAAATACAGAAGCAGACCCTGGGACAACAGATGCAAATAGATGTACTAGGAAGATAAGCTCAGTCCTCCCTCTCACCCCCGACCGCCCACCCCCATCCATCATGCTGCTAAGGACTCCTGGGTACCTCATCCCCCAGGCTGTAAGCCTGGCTCATAAGGAACCGGTGAACCTCCTTCTACCAGATAACAGATGCTCTGTGGTCCCTGGGTTTCCCTTTTTGCCTTGGCTGCCACAAAGCCTGTAGCTACATTTTCTATCAAGTCTCAGTTGCTACATTAGCCTCCCTGGTTCAGCATACTTTTTTTGTCACTCTTGTGAAATTTTTGATGTTGTTCACTGTTCAATTTTGCAAAAAAGGGCATGGTATGTCTTGAAGGAAAATTCAATCCTGTATGCTCCCAGGGTCACAATCTGGTAGGTTTAACAAGTGCCATAGGTGATTCTCATGAGATGCAAGGTTGGTGATACTGTTTGCATCTGTGTCTCCACCAAATTTCATGTTGAAATGTAGTCCCCAGTGCTGGAGGTGGGGCCTGGTAGGAGGTGATTGGATCATGGGGGTGGACCCCTCTTGGCTTGGTGCTGTCCTTGCAATAGTCAGTGAGTTCTTGTGAGATCTGGTTGTTTAAAAGTATGTGGTCAGGAACAGATTAAGAAAGCAAAAATAAATAAATAAATAAATAAGTATGTGGCACATCTTCCCCTACTCTGTCTTGCTTCCTTTCTCACCATGTGATATGCCAGCTTCCCCTTTGCCTTCCACCGTGATTGGAAGCTTTCTGAGGCCTCACCAGAAGCCAAGCAGGTGCCAGTGCCATGCTTCCTGTACAGCCTGCAGAACCACGAGCCAATTAAACCTCTTTTCTTTATAAATTACCCAGTTAAACCTCTTTTCTTTATAAATTACCCAGTCTCGGGTATTTCTTTATCACAATGTGAGAATGGTCTAACACAGCTGGGAAACACTGAGCTAGAGGAAAGATCCCTGGATTGGAGGCAGTAAGATAGGGCTCCTGGCTGTGTGACTTCTCACAGGTCACTTACCCTCCCTGAGATTCGGCTCATCATCTGTGAAATAGAGATAATGATAACTGCATGAGGCAGAGATGGATCACTGTCACCCAGAGATCTGTGTTCTCAGTCCATAGGACACAGTAGTTGCTGGAAAGTGGCTGCCACTCACCAGGGACTGCTCCACTTTGCATTGAGGTGAGGTGACAACATGACTGACTTGTGGCCAATGAATGTGGGCAGAAGTGAGGAATGCTGCTGCCCATAAAATCCCCATGATTCTTCACTCTCTCTTCCCATCCGCCTATTGAATATCAATGCCTGGAGGAACTTGAAAGCCCCAAGGGAAGGTTGATAAAACTCCTTGTTCCTCCCCACACCTGCTGCCAGCTGGACTTTATATGAGTGAAAAATAAACTTCTATTGTGTGAAGCCACTGAGGTTTGTATCTGTTATAGCAGCAAGTGCTATGTTACTGAACATACTGCCTCCGGGAGTGTGGCAAAAATTAAATGCGCTAATGCAGAAGTTGCAAACTGACAATGTGTTGGCTTGGACCCACCCTGCAGATATGTTCTGTTATGCCTGACCCAGTGTTATTTTATTGACAAATTTTAAAATGAGCAATTTCACACAAATATCTGGATTTCCAGGTTCAAGAAAACCCAGAATAGCTGGCACCCGGGTTTGCATGCCAGCAGTTGGACCAGGAGTGCCCATCCTGTTGGATGGAAATTTGATGGCGGTGGAAAATCTGGCCCCTATCAGTGACTTGAAACTGGTGGCATTTAGGGAGCCTGACTCACAGCAGTCATGCTCAGATGTGTGTTCGTTCCCTCAACTAATATTAATTGTGGACCCACTGTGTGCCAGGTGCGTTGCTAGGCACCAGAGATACAGCAATAAGACAGACAGACAGACACTGGCCTGCTCTTCGGCTTGTTCACTTAGCAAGACATCTTGGAAAGAGTTTCCTATCAGCACAACACGTCTACCCTATACTTTGTAGGACTCTGTACTACATGAATAGACCACAAAAAATTTACTTAACAACTTCTATTGATGGACATATATGTTGTTTCTCATCTTTTATAATAAAGATAAAGCTGCAGTGAATATCCTTATTTATATATATTTGCCCATATTTCTATATACTCTGTATGCTAAATTCCTAGAAGCGGAATTGCTGGATGGAAGGGCATGGCTTTGCCAAACATCACTTCAAAGAGGTTGTACCAAAGTGCCCATTTCCCTACACCCTTGCCAACGCAGCCTATTTTAAAACTTTTTCTTTGTGAATCTATGGGTAGAAAATGGTATGTCTTTAGTTTGCTTTTATTTTTTTCTTCTTATTACAAAACAATTTCAAACATATGAAAGTAACTCAATGAACATCCATATATCTATCACCTAGATATAAGTATTGTGAAAATCTTGCCATATGTGTTTAATTGGGGAGTGAAGTATTTTGAAATAAATTACAGGCATCATGATATTTCTCCAACTAAATACATCAGTAGTAGATATTTATAAAGTATCAACATAATTTGTATCTAACATAGGTCATTTTCTTACATAAAATACAATTTTCATATTAAGAAATTAGCAATATGAAGGCCAGGCATGGTGGCTCATGCCTGTAATCCCAGCACATTGGGAGGCCGAGGCAGGTGTATCACTTGAGTCCAAGAGTTTGAGGCCACCCTGGGTGACATGGTGAAGCCCCATCTCTACAAAAAATACAAAAATTAGCCAGGCGTGGTAGCATGTGCCTGTAGTCCCAGCTACTCAGGAGGTTGAGGCGGGGGGAATCGTTTGAGCCTGGGAGATGGACGTTGTAGTGAGCTGAGATCATACCACTGCACTCCAGCCTGGGCAACAGAGTGAGACCCTGTCTCAAAAAATATATTTATATTCAAATTTCTCCAGTTTTGCCAGAAATGTCTTTACAGGTAGTTTCAACCAGGATCCAATCAAGGACCATGTAATGGATTTTGTTCCTGCAGTCTTAAGTCTATTTTAATCTAATATGGTCCTCACTCTTTTTTTTTTTTTTTTTGACTCCCAATGGCATTGACTCATGAAGAGACTGGGCCAGTTGTTTTGGACAATGTTCCTCTCTGGGATCTGTCACGTTGCTTCACTGTGGTGTCCTTTAACTTCCTGTACTCTCTCCTATATTTCCCCAAAACTAGTATTTAGATCCAATGGATGGATTAGATTTAGGTGGAACATTCTGGGGATGAGAAAGTAATTATATTTCACGAGTGGTGCTATATGCTCCATTTCACCTTACCTGGTGTCTAACTGTCCTACTACTAATAATGCCAAGCTTGATCATGGGGTTCAGGTGGTGACCACTCCTCTCTAGGTAAATATTCATTTCTCCTCTTCTGACCAGCACCTTGTGGGTGTCCAGTTCCTCATTCATTGATGGTCTTTGACTGAATCAGTTACTATCGTTAGAAAATGGTGATTTTCTAATTTTGTCCTTTTGTTTGCATTTGTCAGCTGGCATTCTTTATGTGAATTTCATTAATTATGAGTGAAGTTCACCATTCCTTTAACTGTTTAAAAACCAGGCTGGGTGTGGTGGCTCACACCTGTAATCCCAGCACTTCTGGAGGCCGAGGTGGGTGGATTCTTTGAGTCCAGGAGTTCAAGACCAGCCTGGGAAACATGGCAAAACCCCGTTTCTAGTAAAAATACAAAATATTAGCCGGGTGTTGTGTCATGCACCTGTAGTCCCAGCTACTCGGGAGGCTGAGATGGGAGGATTGCAGTGAGCTGAGATCGCGCTACTGCACTCCAGCTTGGACAACTGGAGTAAGACCCTGTCTCAAAACAAACAAACAAATAAAAGCCAATTTAACTTCTTTCCTAGTGAATCATCTGTGTTTCCATAGGGACCTGGACAGTGATAGGACTGTGTGATACGTGCTGTGACTGGGATGGGAAAGGGGTGTGGTAGAGCCAGAAGGGGACATCTGGATCCCCCGTCTAAGCACTGGTGATGCCAGGGAAGGCTTTTCAGAGGCAATGGCTTTCAGTATGGGTTCCTGCCAAGCAGACCCTGAGACAAGTATTCAAGGGCACATCATTAACTTTGGAGAAAAAGGACATCCTGGGAGGCAAGTGGGGAAGACAGGAAAGACAGCCAAAGAAGGTGTATTGCCAATCAAGTTACTACTGTGGGTGACCAGGGCTTAATTCCAAAGGAAAATTCTGAGAGCCGCATGAAGTTCCTCAGCATTACCCTGCCCAAGGAGGGAGAGAGCTGGGGTATTTATACACCAGGTCCTGTCAGTCTTTGTTTGAGGGCTGCTTCTTGAGAGAAGTTTTAATTCCCTGGCACTTCAGGCCTGCCCTGCAGTTGGCAGAGTGGGTCCCAGTGGCACAGAAAGCCCTCGGGCAATAAACATGGGTGTTGCCAGCTAGGGGTCAGCTGATGTGCATTGAGTGGGAAGAGTGGGGCATACAGGCAGTCATCATCAGCATCTGCTCAGGGACTTGAAGCAGAGGCTTGTGGGATGAGGGGGACATAGCCAGCTGGGGAGAAGAAGGTGGAAAGGATGCATGCTCCAGGTAGAGACACAGGCCCAGAGGTGGGACAAGAGTAGAGTGCTTGACCGGCTGATGCCCACTCATCTGCTGGGGGCAAAGTGGAGACATGAGGCTGAATGGTACTGTCAGGCCACTTAGGCCACCTGCAGGAGTCATCACATTGTGCCGAGGGCACTGGGGAGTCCCTGAAGAGTGTTTTGTTTTGTTTTGTTTTTTGTTTTGTTTTTGTTTTGTTTTTGAGATGGAGTCTCGCTCTGTCGCCCAGGCTGGAGTGCAATGGTGCCATCTCGGTTCACTGCAACCTCCACCTCCTGGGTTCAAGCAATGCTCCTGCCTCAACCTACGAATAGCTGGGATTACAGGCATGCTCCACCATGCCTGGCTAATTTTGTATTTTTAGTAGAGATGGGGTTTCACCATGTTGGCCAGGCTGGTCTTGAACTCCTGACCTCAGGTGATCCACCTGTCTCGGCCTCCCAAAGTGCTGGGATTACAGGTGTCAGCCACCATGCCCGGCCCCCTAGAGAGTTTTAAGTGGTGAAATTATTGTCCAGTTTGGGTGTCAGAAATCCGAAAAGGCCTGAAGTATGTATTCCTCACAGGGTGGGACTACTCCTCCCCTCCTTCTGTAAGTAATGGACTCAGCCACCAAGTGGTTGCCATTGAATGTGAACCCAGGGCACAATGAGATGGGGTGCCTGAGGAACATCTCACCCAGAGCTATACTGGCAGACTGTATACTAAAAATGTCTGATTACACATATGATCATATGTTATCATGACATAAAACAGCCAGGAGGATGTTCCATGTGCTCAATACCTCGCTAAGCACCACACTGTCATTATCTCAATAAGGTGGATACTGTTATCACCTTGATGTGGGGATGGATGGTTCAGTTGGCCCATTCTGGGATTTCCCAGCCAGTGTCTCTCCTCCCTGAACATGGCTAGGACACATGGCTGACTTCTGGCTCTCTGGGGCCGCCTTTCCAAGTTTTTTTACTGACTGTCTCTGTCTCCTGTCTTTCTCCAGGCAGGGTTTAATACAAAGATCTCAGGGGTGTTTAGTGACTCACAGTCAATCCTCCAGTGGTGTCTTATCTCACACAGAGGAAAGCTGAAGTCCTAATGACTTAAAGGTGCTGCCCGATCTGGCCCCGTCTGGTCCTGATCTGGCCCCGTCTGGTCCCCATCACACCTCCCCATCTCTTTCTGCCCTCCCTTGCCTGCTGCCCCAGCCCATTGGCCTCCTGACTCTTCCCTAGAGGCAGAGGGTGCCGCCCCGAACTTTGCTGAGGGTCTCTTCACTTGCTGTTCCCACTGCCTGCCATGCTCTTCTTCTTTTTTTTTTCCCCAAGCTCTCTCCCTCACCACCTTCATATCTCTGCTCATGTGAATGCCACCTTAGGATTAGCTAAACCTTTCCTGACTGCCCATGTAAAAGAGGTAGCTACTCTGACCCAGCACTCCTTTATATGACTTTGTTTTTCTCCATAGCACTTACCAACAGGGGGTCTGCATGCAGGGTTTTTTTGTTTGTTTTTTTGTTTGTTTGTTTTGAGATGGAGCTTCACTCTTGTCACCCAGGCTGGAGCGCAATGGCTTGATATCGGCTCACTGCAACCTCCGCCTCCCAGGATCAAACGATTCTCCTGCCTCAGCCTCCCAAATAGCTGGGATTACAGGTGTGCGCCACCTCCCCTGGCTAATTTTGTATTTTCAGTAAAGATGGGGTTTCCCCATGTTGGTCAGGCTGGTCGCAAACTCCTGACCTCAAGGGATCCACCTGCCTCAGCCTCACAAAGTGCTGGAATTACAAATGTGAGCCACCACACCTGGCCTGCCATGCAGTTATTATTTATCTCTCTGATAGGGATATAAGCTCCATAAGAGTAAGGACTTGGTAATGTTCACCTCTGCCTTCAGCTCCCGGCCCAGAGCCTGACACAGAGTAGGTGTCCAGTATTAAATAAACAAGTCAATCAATGAATGCCCCCTGGCCTGCGCCTGGTGATGACCTCTGCTCAGCCTGACGGAAGTTTGCTGTGACCCTAAAGTCTCCGTTCCACACTTTTACACAGTCTCTCAATTCTCTTTTCCAGAACACTAATTGCATTCACTGGGTGTCATTTTAATTCCGAGAGGTGACATTATTTCCAAGGTCTTGAAGGGCACTGCTGCTCCCCATCATTTTCCCTTCCGCCCCAAAACACTTCAAATCCTGCTTGGACTAAAAGAGTAGGGGAAGGGCTGACAGATTTGATACACAAAGCTTAAAAAATTTTGTACCACAAAAATTATAAAATAAAGTTAAAGGATAAGCAATAGACTGGGAGAAATATTCACAATTTACATAAAAATATGTATTAGTCCATTTCCATACTGCTATGAAGAAATACCTGAGACTGGATAATTTACAAAGAAAAAGAGGTTTAATGGCTGAGGAGGCCTCACAATCACAGTGGAAGGTGAAGGAGGAGCAAGGACATGTCTTACATGTACTCTCTTGGCAGCAGGCAAGAGAGTGTGTGCAGGGGAACTGCCCTTTATAAAACCATCAGATCTCATGAGCCTTATTCATTATCATGAGAACAGCACATGAAAACCCGCCCCCATGATTCAATGACCTCCCACCAGGTTCCTCCCACAACATGTAGGGATTATGGGAGCTACAATTCAAGAAGAGAGTTGGGTGGGGACACAGCCAAACCATATCAAGGCATAATATTCATCATATATAAAGAGCTCCTACAAATCAATAAGTAGTAATGAAAATTAGAAACAAGCAATTCATACTAAAATCTGCAGTGGACACTGTGGTTATCTGTCCAACATCTATTCTACATACATCTACCTCCCCTCACCCCACCCCATCATGTTGCTGCCTTGCTGCCAAGGGAGTGGGGTGGAGCTTACCTTGACTCCTGTCCCAGTGGTCAAAGCCAATCAGGTTGATCCCATCCTCCCTTGTTCCAGTGATTGTTTCTAATACGTGAGCCAGTCAGCCCAGAGCATTTCGCTGGTGGTCCTGTTAATGCAAAGCTCAGGTTTTTGTGCAGTGCTTGTGGGATGTGTCTGCTCTTTTTTTTTTTTTTTTTTTTTTTTTTTGAGACAGAGTCTCACTCTGTTGCCCAGGTTAGAGTGCAGAGGTGTGATCTTGACTCACTGCAACCTCCGCCTCCTGGGTTCAAGTGTTTCTCCTGCCTCAGTCTCCAAGTGTCTGGGATTACAGGCATGCACCACCACACCTGGCTAACTTTTGTATTTTTAGTAGAGACGGTGTTACACCATGTTGGCCAGGCTGGTTTTGAACTCCTGACCTCAGGTGATCTGCCCACCTTGGCCTCCCAAAGTGCTGGGATTACAGGCATGAGCCACTGCGCCGGGCCATGGGATGTGGCTGCTAGACATCAGCCAGGAAGCCTGTAGCCTCCACTGTTCCCGGCAGCCATTCTTGAGGGGAACCAGACTTGAATGAAGCGGACACCAAGTGACAGGGTACTGAGGTGGAAGCAAATGGCCTCTGGATGAAATAACTGAGTTGCTATCTTAAGTAACCCTACCGCTCCAGCCTACTAAACTTGCCAATTATGAAAGTCAATAATTCCCTGACTGCAATTTTAAAGTCCAACGTTATAAAATCAAAAGTTTTCTCTCTCTATCCCAACTACAAGTTACAAGTTTAAGACAAGCTCATGGCCGGGCGTGGTGGCTCACGCCTGTAATCCCAGCACTTTGGGAGGCCAAGGCGGGCGGATCACGAGGTCAGGAGATCGAGACCATCCTGGCTAACACAGTGAAACCCCGTATCTACTAAAAAACACAAAAAAATTAGCCGGGCGTGGTGGCGGGCGCCTGTAGTCCCAGCTGCGCGGGAGGCTGAGGCAGGAGAATGGCGTGAACCCGGGAGGCGGAGCTTGCAGTGAGCCGAGATCGCGCCACTGCACTCCAGCCTGGGCGACAGAGCGAGACTCCGTCTCAAAAAAAAAAAAAAAAAAAAAAAAAGACAAACTCATTTAGTGACAACATCTGCACTGAACTGATATGAGACTATGATCTTTATTTATCTCTCTCTAAAGAAACATTAATGTATTTGATTATGAGGTGCTGCCCCAGCCCCCACTGGGAATTTCACATAATATATAGTATAGTACTACATTACCTTTCTAAAATCTCACAAAAGCCAAATTCAAAAATTCATTCCAGATAACAGATTGTGGATTTGCCTAGCCTCTCAGGAAGAAAATTTGGTGAAATTTAACAAAAATCTGTCAAATATACTTACCTTTTACGAATTTATCATATAGAAACCATTGGCTAGGTATACAAGGTTCTACAGATTTATAATAATCATAATAACAGTCATGAGGGTTTCCATGTGTCAGACAGTGTGCTAAGCACTTTATAGACGTTATTGTAATTGAGATAGATATTGTTATCATCCTTATAATATACATCGGGAAACTGACACTCATCTGGATATGAATATTAGTAGCCTAAAGTCAAGAGCTAATGAACACTAAGTCCATAGAAAATGGACTTTGAAGTGTCCAGACAATAGGGGATTTGATTTAAAAATTAGAGTATATCTATAACATGGTTGGATGAATTGATTGATTGAGACAGGGTCTCACTCTGTTGCCCAGGCTGGAGTGCAGTGATGCAATCATGGCTCACTACAGCCTCGACCTCCACGAGCTCAGGTGATCCTCCCACTTCAGCCTCCTGAGTAGCTGGGACAACAGTCTTGTGCCACCATGCCCAGCTAACTTTTGTACTTTTCATAGAGATGGGGTTTCATCATGTTGCCCAGGCTGGTCTTGAACTCCTGAGCTCAAGCAATCTGCCCATCTAGGTGTCCCAAATTGTTGAGATTATAGGTGTGAGTCATCATGCCTGGCCATGGAATAATTTATATCCACTAAATATAAGGAAGGATTTCATGATACGTTTAAATTTTAAGAACAGGTATTGATTATGTAAGGTGTTTTAAAAATTCTATTTAGCTTAGGTTATTACAATCTTTAAAATGTAAAGAGGAAAAAAAAGGGTTACCAAAAAAGTATGTACAATTCAATTTTTTAAGACATATAAATTGTAGAAGGGCAGTCAATAAAAGTCTAATAGTAGTCATGTGGTTATATTGAGATTGGAGACAAGGGTAAGAAGAGATCATGAGTGGGCTTTTTTGTTGTTGTTTATTTTTCTTTCTTTTTTTTTTTTTGAATGGAGTCTTATTCTGTCACCCAGCCTGGAGTACAGTGGCACAATCTCGGCTCACTGCAACCTCCACCTCCTGGGTTCAAGCAATTCTCCTGCCTCAGTCTCCCAAGTAGCTGGGATTACAAGCACGTGTCACCACACCTGGCTAATTTTTGTATTTTTAGTAGAGACAGAGTTTCACCATGTTGGCCAGGCTGGTCTTGAACTCCTGACCTCAAATGACCCACCCTCCTTGGCCTCCCAAAGTGCTGGGATTACAGGCATGAGCCACTGCACCTGGCCTGTTGTTTATTTTTCTTAATTGGAGTTTCTGATTTTCCTTCTGTTATGGACTTAATTGTGCATCCGAAAATTGATATGATGAAGTAATCCCTAATGTGGTTATATATGAAAATAGGGCCTTTGAGGACACAATAAAGGTTAGATTAGGTCATAAGGGCAAAGCCCTAATTCAACAAGACTCTTGTTCTTCTAAGAGGAAGAGACACAGGAGTGCTCACA
Organism: Homo sapiens; assembly: GCF_000001405.40. Taxonomy (NCBI): domain Eukaryota; kingdom Metazoa; phylum Chordata; class Mammalia; order Primates; family Hominidae; genus Homo; species Homo sapiens. The sequence goes on along the minus strand of NC_000020.11, from coordinate 44,235,983 downwards.
GAAGAAAGGCCCTGTGAGGACACAGTGAGACGGTTGCCGTCTGCAAGTCAGCAAGGGAGGCCTCAACAGAAACCAACCCTGCTGGCACCTTGATCTTGGACTTGCAGCTTCCACAACTATGAGAAAATGAGTTTCTGATTTTTTTTTTTTTTTGGTCTACTTCTTTCATTTAGTTTCTGATGTGTAAGCCACCTGGGGTGTGATATTTTGTTATGGCAGCCCAAGCTGACTAATATACCTATTGTAGACATGCATTATTCCATATATTTTTTTAATTTTTTAAATCAAAGTTGTTTAGGAAAAAAAAAAAGATATTGCTTGATTTCCCCGTGACCACTGAGGGCAAGCCAATCCTGGTCCTCACACTGCAGGAAAAGGGAAGGGAATTCACATCGTCTGAGTGTCCTTCTGAGCTAGACCTGTTACCAAAATCTCATGGAAAGGGCATTAATGTCCACATTTGACAGATGGAAACAGCAACTCAGAAAACAGTAAATGCTGACCAGGGCTGTGGCTCACACCTGTAATCCCAGCACTTTGGGAGGCCGAGGCGGGCGAATCACCGGAGGTCAGGAGGTCGAGGCCAGCCTGACCAACATGGTGAAACCCCGTCTCTACTAAAAATACAAAAATTAGCTGGGCATGGTTGTGGGTGCCTGTAATCCCAGCTACTTGGGAGGCTGAGGCAGAAGAATTGCTTGAACCTGGGAGGCAGAGGTTGCAGTGAGCTGAGATTGTGCCATCGCACTCCAGCCTGGGTGACAAGAGAGAAACTGCATCTCAAAAAAAAGAAAGAGCGAGAGATAGAGAGAGAGAGAGAAAAGTGAGCAAGAAAGAAAGAGAGAGAGAAAAGTGAGCAAGAAAAAAAGAGAGAGAGAAAGAAAGAAAACAAGAAATGCCTGGCCCCAAATCCCCAGCTAGGAAGCAAGCATAGCTGGCGTTGGGACCCAGGTCTATCTGACCCCCAAATCCAGTTGAGCTTGTCCCATCTCTTACCTCTGCCTCCATGTAGCGGATGCTGAAATGGCCACAGATATGGGTAGGGTCGGGGTGGGGAACATCTTTCAGCCCGTAAGGAGTACCCAGAAGATTTTGCTTCCAAATTCTGGGCAAGAATGGCTTTCCTGAGAGCAAGAAGTCACTTGAATTTTGCTGTGAAAAATCTTAACAGCTAACGCGTAACTTCTACATCTATTGCATCAGGGTTCACTGACTCGAGAAGCTGTAGGCATATGGGAGAAGTGTCATGAATGTGAGGCAAGCCAGGCATAAAGCAATGCTGTGTGGTGGAGACTGTGGCAAACTGGGGAGCACAAGTTCCGCTCAACAGGACAGCCGCTCCTCGTCCAGCCACTGGAATGCAAACCCAGGTGCCAGCGATTCTGGGTTTTCACGAACCTGGAAATCCAGAGGTTTGTGTGAATTTGCTCATTTAAAAATGTATTAATAAATTCGACTGGGTGCAGTGGCTCCCGCCTGTAATCCCAGCACTTTGGGAGACCAAGGCAGGTGGATCACCTGAGGTCAGGAGTTCGAGACAAGCCTGGCCAATATGACGAAGCCCCATCTCTTAATACAAAATTAGCTGGGCATGGTGCTGTGCGGCTGTAATCCCAGCTACTTGGGAGGCTGAGGCAGGAGAATCGCTTTAACCTGGGAGGCAGAGGTTGCAGTGAGCCAAGATGGCGCCACTGCACTCCAGCCTGGGCAACAGAGCAAGACTCCATCTCATAAAAAATAAAAATAAAAATTTATTGATAAATTTATATAAAAAAGAACACTGGGGCAGGCATAACAGAACATATCTACAGGGTGGATCCAAGCCCACACCTTGTCTGTTTGCAACCTCTGCATTAGAGCATTTAATTTTTGCCACACTCCCAGAGGCAGTATGTTTGGTAACATAGCACTCATTACTTTAACAGATACAAGTCACAGTAGCTAAACACATGGACGTTTATTTTTCACTCATATAAAGTCCAGTTGGCAGCGGTGTGGGGAGGAACAAAGAGTTCTATCAACTTTCCCTTGGGGCTTTGAAGCTACCCCAGGCATTGATATCCAATGGGCAGATGGGCAGAGAGAGTGGCGGATCATGGGGGTTTTATGGGCAGCAGCATTCCTCACTTCTGCCCACATTCATTGGCCACAACTCAGTCATGTGGTCGCCCCACCTCAATGCAAAGTGGAGCTGGGAAATGCAGTCCCTGGTGAGTGGCAGCCTCTTTCCAACACCTACTGCGTCCTATGGACTGAGAACACAGGTCTCTGGGGGCAGAGATCCATCTCTGCCTCACGCAGTTATTATCATCATCTCTATTTTACAGATGAAGACATGAATCTCAGAGAGGGTAAGTGACCTGTGAGAAGTCACACAGCCAGGAGCCCTGTCTTACTGACTCCAATCCAGGGATCTTTCCTCCATCTGTGTTTCTCAACCTTGCATCTCATGAGAATCACCTATGGCACTTGTTAAACATACAGGTTCCTGGTCCTCACCCCAGACTTTGAATCTGAATGTTCAGCGGAAGAATGTGGTAATCCTAGATGGTTCTTATATTAGGCTCTACACTGGTGGCTGAACCTTAGCACCATCTGGGTAGCTTTGTGAAACAAGAATCTCTTGGCCCTGACACCTAGCAATTCTGATTCAGTTGGTCTGGGGCAGGAGCCCTGACATGGACATTTTATAAAGCTCCCAGGTGATCCTGAAAACCACTGCTTCTGCTCCAAACCAAACTGGGCTGGTCATCAGTCTCACCCAGTAGAGATTTCAAGCTGAAGCAGTGAAAGAGAAGGTGGCGGGGAGTGGAGGGGTGTCAATCACTGATTTTTTACCCTGTGTGCACATTAGAACTAACTAAGGCCTTTTATAAAGTAGCAATGCCAGGAATCCAGCCCTAGAGATTCTGATTTAATTGGTTTATGGTATGGCCTGGGAATCCACATTTATTTATTTATTTATTTATTTATTATTTATTTTTAAGATGGAGTCTCACTCTGTTGCCAAGACTGGAGTGCAGTGGCATGATCTTAGCTCACTGCAACCTCTGCCTCTCGGGTTTAAGTGATTCTCCTGCCTCAGCCTTCCCGAGTAGCTGGGCTTATGCCTGCCACAACAACCAGTTAATTTTTGTATTTTTAGTAGAGACAGGGTTTCACCATGTTAGCCAGGTTGGTCTCAAACTCCTGACCTCAAGTGATCCACCCGCCTTGGCTTCCCAAAGTGTTGGGACTACAGGCGAGAGCCTGTAATAAAATAAATAAATAATAAATATAAATATAAATATAAATAAAATATAAATAAAAAATATATATAAATAAAAATAAATAGGTGCACAGCCTATTTATTTATAAAATAAATTTATAAAAATAAATTTATTTAAAAAATATAAATATAAAAAATATATAAATATAAATAAATAATTAGGCGCCCAGCCTATTTACTTATTTTTGAGACAGAGTCTTGCTGTGTCGCCAGGCTGGAGTGCAGTGGCATGATCTTGGTTCTCTGCAACCTCTGCCTCCTGGGTTCAAGCGATTCTCCTCTCTCAGGCTCCCATGTAGATGGGACTACAGGCACCCACCACCACGCCCAGCTAATTTTTGTATTTTTAGTAGAGATAGGGTTTCACCGTGTTGGCCAGGCTAGTCTTGAACTCCTGACCTCAGGTCATTTGCCCGCCTCAGCCTCCCAAAGTGCTGGGATTATAGGCATGACCCACCGTGCCCAGCCGCTTTCCCTATTTTTAAAGCTCTCATAGAGGACTGTGATCCTCCCCTCTGCCCCAGGGTCTTGCTACTCAAAGCATAGTCTAAAGCATCAGCACAGCACTGGGAGCTTGTAAGAAATGCAGAGTCTCAGGCCCTACCCTAAGCCCACAGTTTAGCAGACTTCCAGGAGATTGGCATGCACTTTAATTGTGAGAAGCTCTGCTGTAAGGCACACAGGCTCCTTTTGGGAGGACAGCCGATTAGGTCCTCCAATCAGGGCTGGCCCATCTTCTCGTCCTTCCCCACCCAGCTCTTGAAGCTGCGAAAGTTTTTTCAGTGTCATCAGCATAGCTGGCCCCCAAGTGTCTGGCCCTTGCTGCCCCCTGCTGTGGCCATCTGCTCATGAATACCCTGTCAGAAGGTCTGGGCATGTGCAGTTTGGTGAATCAGCAGGGGTTTGCAGGCCCTTCCTGCCAGGGAAGGGCATCACAGACCCTCGGCATCCACTCAAGGAGCAGACTATGGGATTGCATGCTTCACCCAAGGAAGATCTAAAGGTCTTTAGATCTGCAGGTTGGAGAAAATGACAGACTTGTTCTGTGAGGTTCTGGGACCAATCAGAGGAAGTTATAGGGAGCGCTGTTGCAGTTCAATATAAGGAAAAGGTTCAAACAAGCAGGAAGGGGCTGAGGCAGAGGGCAGTGAACATCCTGTTTCTGAAAAGAACATGCAGGGGTTGAATGACCTTCTTTCAGGGAGAACCTGTGGGTTGGGTGTGAGCTTGGAGGGGGCCTCCACTCAGGGCTGGAACATGCAGCCTCCCCAAAGGCAGGGAGGCCGGGTCATGGCGCGAGAAGAGCATGGGGAGCGAGATGATTCAGGATTCCTCTGTGTCTCTCCCTGCCAACGTTGATTCATCAAACCGCGCCTATGCCCAGACCTCCTGACAGTTTCCATAATGAGAGAGCTGTGGCCAAGGTCATGGGGCATGAAGGCAGTTTGGTTAAACACAAACTGTCTGAGTGTGAAATAACTTCCATGTTGGTCTCTGCTAGTTTGTAAGCTCAGTAAGGTCAGTGGCGGCTACCTGTTGAGTCTGCAGCACCTGGCAGAGGGTCCGGCAGATAATATTCATAGCATCTGCCCAATAAATATTTGTTGACTTCAATATAATTGGTTGAAAATATTAGTCCCTTGTTTGTTTTTATTTTGAGACAGTCTCATTCTGTTGCCCGGGCTGGAGTGCAGCGGCGTGATCTCAGTTGACTGCAACCTCTGCCTCCTGGGTTCAAGTGATTCTCCCGCCTCAACCTCCCAAGTAGCTGGGACTACAGGTGCATGCCACCATACCTGACTTTTTGTATTTTTAGTAGAGACAGGGTTTCACCATGTTGGCCAGGCTGGTCTCGAACTCCTGACCTCAAGTGATCTGCCTGCCTCAGCCTCCCAAAGTGCTGGGATTACAGGCGTGAGCCACCACTCCCGGCCCCTTGTGTTTTTTTTTTTTTTTTTTGAGACAGAGTTTCTCTCTTGTCACCCAGGCTGGAGTGCAATGCCGGGATCTCGGCTCACTGTAACCTTTGCCTCCTAGGTTCAAGCAACTCTCCTGCCATAGCCTCCCCAGTAGCTGGGATTACAGGCGTCCGCCACACCTGCCACATTTTTATATTTTTAATAGAGACAGGGTTTCACCGTGTTGGCCAGGCTGGTCTCGAACTCCTGACTTCAGGTGATCCGCCCACCTCAGCCTCCCGAAGTGCTGGGATTACAGGCATGAGCCACTGCACCCGGCCCCTTGCGTGTTTCTTATTGATAATTTTTATCACTGTAGGATAATTTGACATCCTTTCGTGCCCTTTTGAGCACTTTTGTCAGCTGTTCAAATTTTATGGTTTTTTTTTCCTTGATTTCTCTTTATGCTCTAATTCTTCTTCACCCAACTTATATGTGCACTGCACTCGTTGTAACAGCAACACAACTAGAATATCCTAAAGGGCCCACAAAAGACGGTTTGTTAAATTAAGCTCAGTATATTAGTAAGGGACAACAGCAAATTGCAAAATAGCCTGTGTGGTCAGATCTCATTAAAGGTATTTTTGATATGTATGCAAAGAAAATACTTAAAACACTGGTTCTTGTTTCAATGAGTCAAGAACCTCTCTGTGAATTGAATGAGAGGTAGAAACTTGAACCCAAACACACAACTTTAGTGAATTCAGGGGCTCCCTTCCCCAAAAGCAGGCTACTAATCCGGGTTAAGAATCACATATTGACCAAGTGTTGTGACTCACGCCTGTAATTCCAGCACCTTGGGAGGCCGAGGCCGGCAGATCACTTGAGGTCAGGAGTTCGAGACCAACCTGGCCAACATGGTGACACTCCATTTCTACTAAAAATACAAAAAATTAGCCGGATATGGTCGGGGGCTCCTGTAATCCCAGCTACCCAGGAGGCTGAGGCAGGAGAATTGCTTGAACAGGAGAGGCGGCGGTTGTAGTGAGCCCAGATTTCACCACAGCACTCCAGCCTAGGTGACAGAGTGAGACTACATTTCAATAAAACAAAAGGAAAAGAACCACGTATCTAGAAGGCTTCCACCAGGATGCCACGGCCTTTGGGTGGGTGGAATCATGGGTGTTCTTTAGGAGCTACTTTTTGCTTGGCTGTATTTCTTTTTTTTCCTTCCTATTCTGAGCATTGGTTACTTTTGAATAAGAGACAGGAGCTGGACTTACTCTAAACTCTACTTTAAATCTCTAGTTCATTTTAGCCAGCTTTCTCTAATTGGCAGTGTTTTTGAGGAAACTTCAGATTGAAAAAGGGTGAATGCTTCCAATAACCAGTTAATGAGGAAGCTGAGGCCCAAGAGGTCCAGTGATTTATCTGCCCAGGATGGGCAGCAGGGCAGGCTGAGAACTCAGGCCCATCTCCTTATGTCCTCTCCTCCCCTCCCGATTACTGCCATCTCTCCACGTCAGCAATGCTCAGGTGTCTCCGGCATTCATGGCCTCACAGCTTGGACACTCCATGCCCCTGACATGACTGGTGTGGATTCTAGAGAGTGGAGACGTTAGACCACGCAACCTCCACATACACCTTTGCTTTACTGGAAAACCACACTGGGCTGCAGATCAAACACACAGAACTGCTGGCAGAAGTCCTGTGCCCGGCACCAGGGCCAGGAGCTGTCTGCCCACTCTGAACGTCGGCTATTGGAGGAGCCCACTCCACACGATTCACAAGGGCTGCAGGCAAGTCTACGCTACTTCTACCACGTGGGAAATTTTCTTGGGAATATCCAAGTGATACCAACAAGTTCCCCGTGGACACTTCGTCCAGGCTGACTCTGGCTGACTCTGCACCAAGTGGAAGGAGTGCGGTACTGCTCCAGGAGTCCTTGCCATGCCGGGTGGGGGGGTGGGGGGTGGGAGTGGGTGAGACTGGGCTCCACTCCATTTCCACTCTGACGGGACATAGTGGAGATGAGGAGGGAATGTGAGCCCCACCAGAGCCTATGCCAGCAGCTCCAGCTCCAGCTCCGCAGCAGCACCAGGGGGCTTGGCTCAGCTCTGACAGCCCTGGAATTTCACTGGGCAAATAGATCTCAGGTTTCAAAGCTGGGAAATGAACGTGGGCATGAAATGTGCCCCTGGGCAGATGAGTCCATGGTGTATGTGCTGGGTTTCCCAGGGTCAGCCGCAAGGTACATTTTGTTTTGGAGGTCTGCTCAGTGGTAACGAGTCTCTCTGGGCCAAGGTGATTCTTGGAGATGGCCCCTGGGCCTGGGTGTCAACCAGGTGAAAATGGTTTGGAAGAGCAATAGAGGAATTCTGATGGCCAGAGGATGGGAGACTGGAACCTGAAGCACGGATGGATTCTCAAGGCCCGCACTGAGGACTTCCTTCTATACCTCATCAAGGAAAAACACACAGGCACGTACACAATTAAGTCTTAGGAACACACTGCAACATCAGTCAACAGTTAATGGTCCAAGAGGTAGAGACCTTTAAAAAAACCCCTTGATGGCGCCGAGTGCAGTGACTCACTCCTGTAATCCCAGCACTTTGGGAGGCTGAGGTGGGTGGATCACGAGGTCAGGAGTTCGAGACCAGCCTGGCCAACATGGTGAAACCCCATCTCTACTAAAAATACAAAAATTAGCCGGTCGTGGTGGTGGGTGCCTGTAGTCCCAGTTACTCAGAAGGCTGAGGCAGGAGAGTTGCTTGAACCCGGGAGGTAGATGTTGCAGTGAACCGAGATTGCGCCATTGCACCCCAGCATGAGCAACAGAGGGATACTCCGTCTCAAAAATAAATAAATAAATAAAAAATCCTTAATGGCCTTTCAAAAGAATTATAGAAATCATACATGTTCATTATATCAAATTCAAGTAATATATAAAGGAAGAAATAAAGATATCTCTATTATCCTGAAAAGGTATAGAATAAATTATCATTTTGCAAACTACCAGATTGGCAAGATTGGAAAGAATGACACTGTCCCCCACTGGCAATCTTGGTGGAGGCCAGGGTTTCTCATCCTTGGAACTATTGACATAACTCTTTGTTGTGGGGGACTCTCCTGTTTATTGTAAGGTGTCAAGCAGCATCCCTGCCTTCTGTCCACTAGATATCAGTAGCATCTCCGTCACCATCCCCCAAGTTGTGACAGCCAAAAATATCTCCAGGCATTGCCAAATGTCCCCTCAGGGGCAGAACCTCAGAGGAAGAAGCATCTCTGGCTGAGAACTACCGTAGGCCAATGGGTGCCCCAAACACCACTGGTGGGAGTGGAATCCAGGAATTCTGCCTGTTCATCAAATATTACAATCTGTGTTACCAGCAACTTCACTTCAAAATACATTTACAAGAGGACAAACTTGTTTGACAAGCATTTTAATGCAGCACCATTGGTAATATTTTAAACATTGGTAATAACCAGGCCAGGTGTGGTGGCTCACACCTGTAATCCCAGCACTTTGGGAGGCTGAAACAGGTGGATCACCTGAAGTCAGGGGTTTGAGACCAGCCTGGCCAACATGTTGAAAACCCATCTCTACTAAAAATACAAAAATTAGCCAGGTATGGTGGCGCATGCCTGTAATCCCAGCTACTCGGGAGGCTGAGGCAGGAGAATCACTTGAACCCAGGAGGCGGAAGTTGCAGTGAGTCGAGATCGCACCACTGCACTCCAGCCTGGGAGACAGTGAGACTCTGTCTCTAAATAAATAAATAAATAAATAAAATAATAAAAATTGGTAATAACCCAAATTAAATAATACATTAAATATACATACCTGTAAAATGCCCAGACATTGAAAAGAGACATTGAAAAGAGTTTCTGTGTCTGTCTTTTTTTTTTTTTTTTCTAAGACGGAATTTCACTCTTGTTGCCCAGGCTGGAATGCAATGGTGAGATCTTGGCTCACTGCAACCTCCGCCTCCCGGATTCAAGTGATTCTCCTGCCTCAGCCTCCTGAGTAGCTGGGATTACAGGCACGTGCCACCATGCCCGGCTAATTTTTGTATTTTTAGTAGAGACGGGATTTCACCATGTTGGCCAGGCTGGTCTCGAACTCCTGACCTCAGGTGATCCACCCGCCTCGGCCTCCCAAAGTGCTGGGATTACAGGTGTGAGCCACCGCGCCTGGCCATGTCTTTCTTTCTAGAATAGAAAAGTAGCTCTGATGTAGCAAGGTCTTAAAATCATGAGGAGGATAAATCAAGATGCAGTATAGGGGACATTTTTATAAAATTTAAAGAACAAACTGTACAAACAAGTGCACGTGTACATGTACTGAAAAAGTATACACAGAGAAATATGCATGGGTTTAGTTTATTTAAAGCCTGGAAGGAGGTGTACTAAACCACAAACAGCAGGCAGCTGTCTCTCTGCAGAGTAGAATGGAGGGGCGTGGGGGAGCACATGACAATTTTCGTTTCTACTTTAAGTATGTCAGCCCCATCCCATTAATGGATATATTATACTCAAAGGAAAAGAAATCGTTCTACCACAAAGACACACGCACCCACATGTTCACTGCAGTGCTATTCACAATAGCACAGACATGGAATCAACCCAGGTGTGGATCAACAGTGGATGTGATAAAGAAAATATGGTACATATACACCGTGGAATATTAGGCAGCCATATAAGAGAATGAAATCGTGTCTTTTGTAACAACGTGGATGTAGCTGGAGGCCATTATCCTAAGTGGATTAACATAGAAACAGAAAACAAAATCATACACCACATTCTTTTTATTTTTTTATTTTTATTTTTTTGAGATGGAGTCTCACTCTGTCACCCAGGCTGGAGTGCAGTGGTACAATCTCAGCTCACTGCAACCTCCACCTCCCCGGTTCAGGCGATTCTCCTGTCTCAGCCTCCCGAGTAGCTAGGACTACAGGTGCCCACCACCACACCCGGCCAATTTTTTATGTTTTTAGTAGAGACAGGGTTTCACTTTGTTAGCCAAGATGGTCTCGATCTCTTGACCTCATGATCCACCCACCTCGGCCTCCCAAAGTGCTGGGCATGTTCTTACTTCTAAGTGGGAGCTAAACATTGAGTACACATGGTCATAAAAATGGGAACAGCAGACACTGGGGAACACAAGAATGGAGAGGGATGGGAGTAAGGGTTGAAAAAACCACTTATCGGGCACTATGCTCACCACTGGGGTGACTAATTCATTCGTACTCCCAAACCTCAGCAGCCCACACTGTACCTATGTAACAAACCTGCACATGTACCCCAATTCTAAAATAAAGGTTAAAAAAGAAAAAGATATTTCAGCATCACTTGTTTCATCTTACAAGGGCATTGTAAAATAATAAAGATAAAAGTTAAGAGATAGGAAAAGAAAAAAAAGGGAAAAAGAAAAAAACCCTCATTGGAGTCCTGTTCTGCCCACCCCTGGAGTTACTAAGTAAGCCCAACTTAAGGGGTCCCTTGAGCTCCAGACTGTAAAGCCCCCAAGGCAGCATCATCCACACCACCTTATCAGATCCTCAAAGCAATTCTTCTAAGTTGGTAGACCGGGGTAGTTATTTCCATTCTGCAAATGGGGAAACTGAGACTCAGAAAGTACAGTGACTTGCCCAAGGGCCCACAAGAAGTGGTGGCCCTGGAGGGATGAGAGGGAACCCAGTTCTCTGGAGTCCCAGGCCGCTGTTCCTTCTGCTGCAACTCCCCAAGTAACAGGAACAGGTGCAGCAATGGGCATTTACAATCAAGGGCCAAACATGCAACCCTGTTCAAGCTCGTGCCTCAACTCCTTCAATTCCTCGTCAGCTTTTATTCCTTCAAAGCTGGTATTCATCTTTCTGAAGTAATTTCCATCCTTCTGGCTCTTCTTTTCTGAAGGCAGCACGCTTTAGAAAGAGCAGGGCTTGACATCTGACTGTCACTCACGAGCTCAAGTGGCTTCGCCTCTCTGGGGCTCATCTGCAAAATGGAGATAAACACAGTAACTCCCAGAATCATTCTGAGGATCAAGGCAGTCATGTGTGAATGCATTTTGTAAAATACAGAGCACTGGGGAATACTGATTTTACTTTAACAAAATAAAACTCTAGCTCTCTTTCTGGGAGGTTAGGATACCAGCAGTAGGGTAACTTAAAGGGAGAGTACACCGAACAGGAATCTCAAGTTGAAACAGGCACAAGTATTGGCAATGTAAGTTGGGAAGGCCACACACAGATTTCAGATAATGGGTCAGTCCAGCTAAGCTCGTACCTTTAATAGACTTCTTTAAAATATATTACTGGGCTTTGGGACTGTGCTGTCACCAGGGAGCGAGGCCACATGCTAAACATCTTAAAGCAGGGGCGACAGAGAAACAGAGAAACCAGTGAATTGGCTAGGCACGGTGGCTCACACCTGTAATCCCAACACTTTCAGAGGCCACGGTGGGTGGATCACTTGAGGTCAGGAGTTTGATACCAGCCTGGCCAATATGGTGAAACCCTGTCTCTACAAAAAATACAAAAAAGATTAGCTGGACGTGGTGGTGTGAGCTTGTAATTCCAGCTACTCGGGGCGCTGAGGCAGGAGACTCGCTTGAACCCTGGAGGCGGGGATTGCAGTGAGCCGAGATGGTGCCACTGCACTCCAGTTTGGGTGACACAGCAAGACTCCGTCTCAAAAAAAAAAAAAAAAATTTCCAGCACTGAAAATTATATTTCCACCCGCAGGAGAACAGACCAGGCAGGAAACAGGGTGAATATGTCCACTCAGGGTTTATGGGACTGTTAGCTAATTTAAGAACATTGTAACAGGCAGCATAGGTAGAAGCACCTTGAGCATGGGACCAACCCCCACCAACCCAAGGACATGTAGTAAAACCTGCCTTGTAAAGAAATAGCAACAAAGGTGGACTTTGAAAAAGCTCACCTCGCTACCTGAAAGGGTGTGGTGAGGATGGCCCTAATACACACACTGCTGAGAGTAACGGTTGAGAACTTTCCTTTGAAGCAATTTATTAGTGTGTTGCCGGAGACTTTAAACGGTTTATACCTTCCCACCCAGGAGTTCCAGGTGTAAAATTCTAAGAAAATAATCAGACAAGGATTTTTGGTTTAGAGTTTTTTATTACAACAAACACCCACACACACCCCTAATTGTCCAGAAACGGGTGGATGGTTAACTACAGAATAAGTTATGAATATATTTAAATGATGGACTATTATACAGTCATTAAAATAATGTTTTGAGGAATAGTTTGTGACATAAAAACGCTAATAGTAAATTGAAGGAAAGCAGGATATAACACGTATGCCCAGTGTATGAGGCTGTTTGTGCACTGATACAAATAAATGCCTGAGTCTGTCTTTATAAAGAAAACAAGTTTAATTTGTTCTTGGTTCTGCAAGCTGTATAGGAAGTGGGGTGCTGGCATCTGCTTCTGGTGAGGCCATAGGGAATTTACAGTCATGGTGGAAGGCAAAGGGGAGCCTGTGTGTCACATAGCAAGAGCAGGAACAAGAGAGAGGGGAGGTGCCGCACACCTTTAAACAATCAGATCTCCCATTAGCTCACTCATCACCACAGGATGGCGCTAAGCCAAGCATGAGGAATATGCCCCCATGATCCAAACACCTCCCACCAGGCCCCACCTCCAACACTGGAGATTACAGTTCGACATGAGATTTGGAGGGGACAAACATCCAAGCCAGTTCACACAGTGTACCAGCAATTAAAATGCACACACTTAAAATACTAATGATAATAGTAGCAGTGGCTAATGTTGTTGGATGCTATATTAGTCTGTTTTGCGATGCTATAAAGGAATAGCTGAGACTGGGTAATGTATACAGAAAAGAAGTTTGCTTGGGTCACAGTTCTGCATGGCACCAGCATCTGCCTGGCTTCTAGTGAGTGTCTCAGGCTGCTTCCACTCATGGCAGGAGGTGAAGCGGAGCCGGCCTGCACAGATAACACGGCCAGAGAGGGAAGCAAGAGGGAGGAGGCAGGAGGTACCAGGCTCTAACAAATGGGCCTGGGGTGAACTCATTACCATGGGAGGGCACCATGCCATTCCTGAGGGATCCACCCCCATGACCCAAACACCTCCCATCAGGCCCCACCTCCAACACTGGGGGTCACAGTTTGACCTGAGATTTGGAGGGGACAAATATCTAAGCCATATCAGATGCTATGAGCCGGGCAGTGTTCTACCACATTAGTCATTTCATCCTCTCCTAGCCCTCTAAGGGAAGTCCTACGATTACTATCATCATCCCCATTTTTCAGAGGAGTAAACTGGGCACAGGGGCTTGGGCAGTGTGCCCAAGGCCACACAGAGGGGTGGGCATCTGAGGCAGGGCTTCTCAGAGGCAGTGTGGCTCCTAGGCGCTCCGCAACACCTTTACCAAATGCTGCCAGGGGACATCCTCAAGGACAGGGGCCAAGTCGAATGCTTCTGAGGCAAAGGCCAAGCCCCTCAACTGAGTATCCCAAAGACAAGACCGCCTTCAGCTTGCAATCAGAAAGACCTGGGCTCAAATCCGGCATAGATCCTTCTGACCTGTGTGAAAGCAGCAAGCTATTTTCCTCTCTGAGCCTCAGTTTCCTCATCTGTAAAATGGGGATAAATAATAGTACCTGCCTCCCAGGGCTAACCAGGAGATAAAAATGATAAGGTGCCTGAGTCTTTATATTTTCTAAATTTTCTATAAAGGTATATTTTTCTTTTGTTAAAATTATTTTTTATTAAAAAATAATATATTAACACATTAAAATATTTCCAAAGTTTGGGGGGGTATTAAATAACCCAGGAGCCAGACGGATGGGAGGAGATGAATCACATTCGATTTGATTCAATTAAACTGGAAGGGACTGGGGAAAGGCCAGGAGACCAGGCTTAGGGGGAAAGATAACCTGCTCAATTAGAAACACATCATGTTTCACCAGGTGTCAGAGGGACATCCACATAGGCGACTGAATAGGAAGACTGTGGACACAGAGGTGTGGCATCGAGGAGACACATGGGCTGCAGATATGAATGTGGTATCAGCAGCAGGCAGATGTGACCTGAAGCTATGGAAGACATTTACTGTTTCTGCCTGCCCTTTCCCTCTACCCCTTTTATGGGTGACAGCAGCCCACTTTTCCCTTTGGAGAAGTACCCCACCCCTTTCCACACAGTCTTGGTGAGACAATCAAAGTGTCCTGCCACCCAAGCAGTGGGCACATCTGCCAAGACAGGTGTAAAGGAGGATATTTCTTGAGATGAAACCAAATGCACTTCTGTTGTGGCTAATTCCTAATTCCTAGTTAGCCTGCAGCTCCCTCCAGCCACTGAATCAATGGGAGCCATTGCCTGGCTCTGTTTTAAATTAGATTTCTTGAGTCTGTGGACATTAGTGTTAAAATGTGACTTCGTTGAGGCAGAAACAGTTTTCCTAACTTTCAAAATATTCCCTTTACAGAGCAAGAGGACAACCTGGGGATGAGAGGATAGAGATTTTCTATAGGCCATAGTGTGGAGATGACACAGTATAAGGTTCAGACAAGTTCCTGTACAGCAAGCAGGGCAAAAGCCTTCTGGTGCTGCCAAGGAAAAAAAAAAAGCAGGACAAGAGTTCAGGTGCAAGTGTCTACCCTCCTCGAAGGAAAACTCCTATGTAGGACTAAGAAGCATCTGGACAGGTTTGGGGGACAGTAGGATCCCACTTTCCCAAGCACAGCCCAGGGAGAGATGCCCCCCACTGACCACGTGACAGCACTAAGCTGGCACCGAAGCTGTGGTAACAGCAGCCCGTTGTCCCCTTGACCTGTGGGTGCCATGTAGGTGGTAATCCAGATGTGTCCACATGTCCCAGTGATGTGCTAAGTGGACTGAGGGACAAAGAGAGGCCAGGTGACAAGCTGCGAGGGTTGTGGCACATGAGGACCTCATGGCTACAGACAGGCAATTTTCTAAGCAGGTCCGTGTACTGCTCAGGAACTAAATCAGGTTCACCCCATTTTGGTAGGTTCCACCATAATCCGTAATGCCCGGGGACAAATTCCGAGCGACCACGTGGGAGTGAAGACCAGCAACAGGCAGGGAATGGCATCTGAGCCATAAAGCTTACCCACTGCCCCCTTATACCCAGATGCCACGCCGGGAGGATGGGAGCACACAGGAGAGAGGAGGATCCTGAACACTGAATATCTGTGCAAAACAGAGCGCTGTAAACCAGAAGAGAAGGAAATATCCCCTCAAGTTGGGAGAATGGAAGTTTGAGATGAAAATGAGATTAGATGAAAATACAGGGCTGGGTGTGGTGGCTCGTGCCTGTAATCCTAGCACTTTGGGAGGTCCAGGCGGGCAGATCACTTGAGGTCAGGGTTCGAGACCAGCCTGGCCAACATAGTAAAACACCCGTCTCTGCTAAAAATGCAAAAATTAGCCAGGAATGGTGGCGCATGCCTGCGGTCCCGGTTACTCGGGAGGCTGAGGCAGGAGGATAGCTTGAACCTGGGAGGTGGAAGTTACAGTGAGCCGAGATCGTGCCACTGCACTCCAGCCTGGGCGACAGAGCGAGACGCCATCTCAAAAAAAAAAAAAGAAAAGAAAAAGAAAAAATACAAAGGAAGTTACAGTTTTTGCCCCTGTGAGTAGGAGTGGGTCAAATATGACCCTGCCATGAAAGCCAATCAGTTTCTTTCCTGGGAATTTGAATCTTGTACGGAGAGATGTATCAGGAACAAAGATGTGTGGAACTGAATCGCCTGAGGCAATGCTCAGAGATTCCTGGCACCTGGGAAGGGCTCGGTCTGGCTCCCAGGCTGATAAGGCCTAGCTGTTTAGCTTTTCCTTTTGTTGAGTGAGCTTTCTGACATTCTTCTAGTGGATTCCTTTTTCACTCGAGCAAGTCAGATTTGTTTTCCATATTCTCCAACCCGGCATCATCCTGGAAGTGAATGTGAGATGAGAAGACAGCCAAGGCATGGCCCCTGAGGGTCAGCAGACCGGCAAGAAAAGAGGAGCCTGCAGAGGAGATAGAAAAGGTGAGGCTGAGAGGGTGCCCCTGTGAGCAGTGGCCACAGGGACTGAAAGGAGAGCGAGTGGAGGAGGCGGCTGTGTTCAGCGTCAGGCAGGGCTCAAAACTCAAGCAACATGAGAATGAGACTAGGGCCACTGTATTCAGCAACAAGGAGGTTATCCATGACCTTGGCAAGGAACGTTTTGGTGAGATAGAAGTCTGGTTGCAGTAGATTGAAGAAAGGGTGGTGAGACAGAGACACAGAGACACACACACACACACACACACACACACACAGAGAGAGAAGGGGGGTGGGTGGAGAGGGGAAGAAGTACAGCCACTGAGAGAGAGAGAGAGACAGAGAGAGACCGACCCAGAGAGAGAGAGAAGGGGGGTGGGTGGAGAGGGGAAGAAGTAGAGCCACTGGCTAAGGCTCCAACAGGGAGAAAAGGACAGGAGCTCTGTGGGGAACCTGGGTAGAAGGGGGCTTTGTGGGTTTGGGGTTTGCTTTTTTTGTTTTTGGTTTTACTATGACAGAAGACATGATGTGTGTTTGCATATACAGAAGAAAGTGAGTTTCCTGAGAAGGGAGGAGAGCTGGGATTGGTTTTAGCTAGGAGGAGGGAAAGGAGAAAGGATGGCTATAGAGACAGGCAAAGATAAGGGATGGAGAGCAAGATTTCATATCTATTGGTTTCTGAAAACACAGATATACTTTTCTGGTGAAAACTTCTCTTCTCCCCCTCAGGCAGAGTTAGATGCTCATGAATACATAAGCTGAAAATGAAATACTTTGAAAAATGATAGCTAGCTGAGTGTCAACACTTGAGGGGCAAGATTGGTTTTGAGCATATGGAGGGTAAAGAAAGAATTCTTGAGAGTTAGGCTGAGCCAGGAAACTGCAATACACTTTCCTGAACTGTGTTCAAATGTGGAGTAAGCTGAAGACTCTCACCAAGACACAGCTCAGTTCAAACTGAAAAACCAAACCCACCTATTCTTTAATTGGGCAGATATAATAATTTATGAATTCCTAAAGGCTTAGCTCAGCAGCTTTAGAGCAGGAACTCTAAACTTTGTTTTGTTTTGCACAGGTTATACACTGACATGATTCAAAAATCAGAACACAAGGTATACACTCAGAAGCCCGGCCCCTCCTGCTGGCCCCCAACCACTTCCTGAAACACTTCTTAGTTACTTGTCTAGCTTATCAGTTTTTCTTTATGAAGATAGAAGCAATACAAACATATATTCTTAGCTGTACGTCGTGCTTTTTTTCACCTATATCTTAGAGATCTTTCCTCAGCGCACACACAGCTTCCTCAAACTTTTTCCCAGTTATATAGTATTTTGCTTTGTGGATGCACCAGTCCTGTACATACACTTCAGTTGTTTCTGATCTTTTGCTATTGCAGCCAATGTTGCAATGGATCATCTTTTACATAAATTATTACATATAGGTACAAATGTCATCTACAGGGTAGACTCTTAGACTTGTAATTTTGGTAGATATTGCCCAAATCAACAGGGCTGTCAATTTCACAATCCCACTGGTAATGTATTAAAAGTCCTGCTATTTATTCTCCCGACTCCCCCACCTCCAGCCCCATCCACAGGGCATGCTGTCAAGCTTTGGGATTTCTGCCAATCTGACAGGTTAAAAATGGTATCTCCGCATACTTTTTATAAGCACTTCTCTTTGAAGATTGAGATTGAGCATTTTTTCATAAGTTTAAGTGCTATTTGTATTTCTTTTGCTGTGAACCGTCTGCTCATGTCCTTTGCTCACTTTCTCTATTCGGCTGCTGCAGGAGAAGTCCTTAACCAGTGGTCTGTGGCTTTCTCGGAGGAAGGGAGGGAGGGCTGTCTTGTGACTCAGATAAGGTTAAGAATTGTAGGGAAAAAAACCGCTCACCCTAACCTGATACCTATTTTGTGGTATACATAGAGATGTTTAAGTTTTAAAAACTTTTAACTGAAGTTTAGTTATACGCACAGAAAAATGTACATATACCACATTATAGCACACACTCCTATAACCAACATCGGGTCAAAGAACAATATTACCAGCACCCCAAAAGCCCCTCTCAACACTCCCTTCCAATCCTTACCACATGGAGATTCTTTCTTCTGCAGCTTTATTTCTTGATTCTATTCTAAAGGCAAGTGATCCACAAATCCCGGGTCTTCCACAGTTTTGAAGCCACAGTGAAGGGCTTCACCAACGGTAAGGAAAGAGGCCCTGCAGTCCTAGGGCTCCCTCTGCTGGTGATCAGCAGCTACCAGGAAAAGCTGCCCCTCCCCTCCTGGAGCTCTGAGGATTGACTGGAGTCTTGGAAATCAAATTGGTGCAGGCTTAATGGGAATCGGCACACAGGCGCATGGCTGAGGCATCAGAGTCCTCCTTTACCTCCTTTACTCTCCATCCTGTTAACATTTCGGGAAAGCAACTATCAAAACAATAGACCACAGTAGCTTGGGGGCTATGAAGAGAATGACAAGAAAGAGCGGCGAATTCCCGCTTCCCAACCCTTGCCTATTCCCCATCCACAAAAACAGGAGGCTGTTGTGAAAGGTCCTGCTGCTTGAATCAACTGTCAAAGGCATCAACAGTCCCCAGTCATGTTTCCAGAAAGCCAGTAGACAACTGGAATTATTTGCTGAGATGACTGACTGACTGATGGACTCACTGGCTCCTGTGGTAGGTACAGCTCCTATTCTGGTGGACTGCATGCGAAGTCCCATGGGACAACGGGGTCGGGCCATTTAACACACACAGGGGAGCAGGAGTTGAGGGAGGGAAAGTCAACATAATAGGTTTTTCTTGCCCTCCAGAAATTTAGAATCTAGCAGGAGATACAAGAAATGTACGGGTAAAGGGCTGAAAATAAGTTCAGGAGGGACCTGAAGAAGCTCCAGGTGAAATGTTACTGTGGTCGTAGAGACAGGGAGGGGACCTGAGCTGACGAAGTGGACGGGTGGTAGACAGAGGAGCTGGAGGCTCTTCAGTTGTAGGGAGGGGCAAAAAACAGATGCCCAGAGAAGCCAACAGGCCCCCAGTGGACTCTCATGGTAGAAGAAAGTGGGGAGGATCACCACCATTGAGGCAGGTCCTTAGGGCTGTGGCTCCAGGAACTCCATTTTGTCAGGGTACCCAGAGCCAAACAAATTCTGCGGGATGGACTATCTGTTGACTGAAGATCTATAAGCCAGGTGCAGTGTATTCATTTGCAGAAAGGACTATGTCCTTCCCACAACTGGAATGCTTGTGTTTGCCTTCCAGGGCTCCCTTGTTTCTTTCCTCTGATTATCTCCCACCCTCTCCTTAAGGGTCCTGACCTTTCCTGTGGCTTCAATGGCCACCTGTATGCAGACTCCACAGTCTTTATTTCCAGTCCCCACCTCCCATGTGAGCTTCAGAACCATATATCTGCATGCCTGCTAGACACCTCCACGCGGCTGCCCCACGGATCTCTCAGGTTCACTCTGTCCAAACTGAACTAATTTAGAGATATATCAGCACAGAGAGGCAGTGACAGCACAGACTCTACCAAGCTGCCTAGGTTCAAATTCTAGCTCTGCCACTTGTTAGCTGTGTGACCTTGGTGAGTTACTTAACTTCTCTTTGCTTCAGTTTCCTCATCTGGAAGATGAGTGTGATAATGGTAATCTCATAGAATTGTGGTGAGAATTAAAATGAGTCTTCTGATGCATAGGAAGAGCTATGAAAGTATTAGCCCTCATAGGCTGGGCATGGTAGCTCATGCCTGCAGTCCCAGCACTTTGGGAGGCTGAGGCAGGCAGATCACTTGAGGCCAGGAGTCCGAGAGCAGCCTGGCCAACATGGCAAAACGCTGTCTCCACAAACAAACAAACAAACAAAAATTAGCCAGGCATGGTGGCACACGTGGGTGACTAAGGCAGGAGAATCACTTGAATTAGGGAAGCAGAGGTTGCAGTGAGCCAAGATTGCACCACTGCACCCCAGCCTGGGCAACAGAGCAAGACTCTGTCTCAAAAAAAAGAAAAGAAAAGGAAAGAAATAAAAGAAAGTATTAGCTGTTACTATGATTCTCCATTTAAATGTTCTTCCTCTGCTCACTGTCAGCTGGGTTCAACAGAGTTTAATTGAGATGGGCACCAATATCCATTCAGTTGCTCAAACTGGAAAGCAAAGTATCATTGTCAGCTTTCTCTCACTGCCCATCCTGTTCGTAGTCAATCTCTCCCCAAGGCCTGATCTACGCAACTTTCCAATCGGCTCACTTGTTCTCCATACTTAGGGCCACCTGCCCCTTCGATCACCATCATCTCAGGCCTGGATCACCATGCCGGCTCACGCTGAAACCAGTCATCTTTCTAAAATAAATTTGGTCATTTCTTTCCATAGCTCCTACAGTTCTCAGAAGGAGAAACCTCAGGATAAGTCCCTTGCTGCAGCCTTTGGGACCTGATTCCTCCTTTCATCTGCACTTGAAACTTTTATGTTCAAAACCAAACCGTCTCACACTCCCCAAACCTAGTCTTCTTGGATTCCCTTCCTTAGTGAAGGGGGCCACCTACTGGCACGGCTCAGGCCAGACATCTGCTCAGCAGGCTGCCGAGCCCTGCTGGTCTCACCATCCTTCAGCCATGGTTCCCATTCTGGTCTTCCCTCAGATTATTTCGAGTGTCTTCTAACTGGTCTCTCTTACATTCCCCACCCTCCCCATCTACTTTCTAAGAGTCTGCTGGAATGATATAAATTGCTACTAAAAATACAAAAATTAGCAGAGCATGGTGGTGCTCACCTGTAATCCCAGCTACTGAGGAGGCTGAGGCACGAGAATCAGTCGAACCTGGGGGCGGAGGTTACAGTGAGCCAAGATTGTGCCATTTCACTCCAGCCTGGGTGACAGAGCGAGATCTCAAAAAAAAAAAAAAGGTTTCAATAGTTTCTGGCACACAACACTCAATGCCTTCCTTTAACAAGTAATTATTGAGAGCCAACTATGTGCCACATAGAGTTCAGGCCTTGGGGATACACTGTATTTTCATCAATTCTAAGACACCATCATTTTAAAGACTCACCACTTACTGTAGGAACAAGTAAGAAAGAAAAAAATACTACCAATTAAACCAGGACACACTGGCGATTATAAGACACATTCAGATTTTCTAACCGCTATTAATAAATTGTGGGAAAATGTGCATCTTTGATTAAAAAAAATAGTGACTAAAAAAAAGACACAAAGTCCCTGTCCTCGGGTAGCTTCTATTCTAGTGAGGGGACCAAAAAATAACTATACATTGTCAGGTAGTGACAAGTGCTATGATAAAGCAGGGTAAAGGGATACACAGTGAAGGGGGTGCTGGGGAAGCCAAGGAAGACCCCCCTGGGGAGCTGATATGAGCAGAGACTTTGAATGACAAGATGAACTGTGAGTAAACAATGCTCCAGGAGGGGAAATACATACAAAAGACCTGAGAGGGAAATATGCCTGCTGGGTTCAAATATATGCAAAGAAAGAGTGGCTGGAACAGTCCTAGGCCCTGGGCAGCCAATTTCCTCAAACCCAGTGGTATTTTCCAGGTGAAAGCAGGTATCCCTGGTCTAGCTGGGTACATACAGGAGGTGAAGGTGGGGAGGCTAAGGAAAGCAGTGTAACTCAGCGGTCAGCAGGGTGCTATAGTCAGACTGCCTAGATTGGAATCCCCGTTCTACCACTTACAAACTATGTAACCTTGGACAAGTTATCTAACTATTCTGAGCCTAGTTTCCTCAGCTGTAAAACAGACATCATAGAAGTACATTTCACAAATTGGTTATGAAGATTACATGAGCTAACATCTTGTAAATCAAGACAAATAATCATTATCACTATCTTCTATCCCAAAGTCATTTTAATTTAATTTTATTTTTTTTTTTGAGACAAGGTCTTGCTCTGTAGCCCAGGCTGGAGTGCCGTGGCATGATCTCAGCTCACTGCAACCTCCACCTCCTGGGTTCAAGGGCTTCTCATGCCTCAGCCTCCAAGTAGCTAGGATTACAGGTGTGTGCCCACCACTCCCAGCTAATTTTTGTATATTTATTTATTTATTTTTCAGTAGAGATGGGGTTTCACCATGTTAGCCAGGCTGGTCTCGAACTCTTGACTTCAGGTGATCCACCTGCCTCAGCCTCCCAAAGTGTTGGGATTACAGGCGTGAGCCACCACGCCTGGCCTACCCTAAGTCATTTAAAAAAGTATATCGAGGTAAGAAATAAATTAATTTGAGTCTTAAAACATAAGAACAGAATATTTTCCAGATTACCAACTGGTAGGATGGCAGCCACATGGTTAGGCAAATAATTTTCTTTATTACTTTGGACTTGGCTTCTCCAAAGTTATTTTTTAAGAGAAACTATTATCTTCCTATATAAATTGTTCTTGCAGTATAAATTCATGGAATTAAGTCTCTCTTACTAAAGCATGTACAAGACACTTGTAGCAAGAAAGAAGCACTGTTAGAGGAATTTTACATCTACCACAGCTTTTTAATTAAATGGCATTACCATGTGCATTAATACAAAGTTGATTTCTTCAATATAAAGTCCACACACAAATTCAGGTTTTTTTCCCATGGTTAAAAAGACTTGGAATTGCTGGTATAGGACACCGATCTGGCTTTTTGTTCACTCAGATCCATCCCATTTTGTAGCTTTTCTATCTCTTTCCAAGTCATGATGTATCACACCGTGAGCCAGTCCTATGTATAATGACTTAAAACTTCAGGCCACGTCAGGTGTGTGAGTTAACAGGCTTCAGCATTCACAAGAGGTTCCCACCTTCCAAGTACTCCCCGAGTAATGAGTCACATTCTTGGAAAGCATCTAACTCTTTATGATGGAGATGTGCTTACATAAAATGAAATACTGTAACTTTTTAGTTTTTGGTATTTAATATAATTAGGGATGGAAAGCAGGTAAAATGAGAATTCACCAAAACTGTATTGAGCATCTACTAATCCCCAGGAAGTGTGCTAAGCCCTGGGAATTCAATCACGATCCAGACAATTCTTTCCCCTCAAGGATATATGAGATTTTTTTTTTTTTTTTGAGACAGTTTTGCTCTGTTGGCCCAGGCTGGAGTGCAGTGGCGCAATCTCGGCTCACTGCAACCTCCGCCTCCCGGCTTCAGAGATTCTCCTGCCTCAGCCTCCCGGGTAGCTGGGATTATAGGTGCATGCGCCACCATGCCCAGCCAATTTTTCATATTTTTAGTAGAGAAAGGGTTTCGCCATGTTGGCCAGGCTGGTCTCAAACTCCTGACCTCAAGTGATCCACCCGCCTCGGCCTCCCAAAGTGCTGGGATTATAGGCATGAGCTACCGTGCCAGGCCTTCTCAAGGATATATGAGATTTTATCTTAAGTTATATTTTGAAGTGGCAGCTTAAAAAGACATGTTTGGTTTTGATACATTTCACTTGGCAAGGTCTGAGAAAATAAATACATCATATTTCCCGCTTTTTCTTGTCCAAGAGATGTTGAGAAGGGCAGTTTAAATCCTGACTTACTAGCACTGTGAGACAGGACAAAGGCAGCTAGAACAAGTTATCTGATCTCTAACATAATCTAATGCTATCTAACTAGCATCATTAGGTTACAATGAACAGTTTTCTTTCAACCGGTCAGTTACTGAGCCTCTGGTATGAACGACGAGAATTTAAAATGTTTTATCCAGGGCCAACATCATGCTTCATGTTTAACAACGTTATACAATAAATTGTTAGATTTCATTTACAGACATAGGCCAGGCATTCCAAAGCCTGGCTGTAGTTAAGCTGGACACAGTTAAACCATCTTCGGCAGCCTATCTAGTTGACTACAACTAAGGTATTGGGGAATGACGGTGGATGGGGCCAGTTTTGGTTCAGGGAAAAACCCTCACTCTAGGGGTGGGCCACAATCAACGCCATCCAACTCAATTGCGCAAAATCATCTGTTCTCACGAAGCTTTGAGCAGTGCAGACGTGGAGCTGGAGATTGGCAGGCGAGGAGAGGCACAGCTAGATCAGCAGAACCAGTCCTGGTGATGGAGCGGGTGGCAGCTGTTGCACAGATCACCTTTTCCCGCCTACCATCTGAGCAACATTCAGAATCAGAAAAATGTAAAGAATCCTAAAATTCATCTCCTTTGGTGAACTGCCTAAATCTTTTTGCAAAATTTGGTGTGTAGGTGCATTTCTTTGGCAAGAGGATCTACAGTTCTCACCAGATTCTCAAAGGAGTCTACGCCTGAAAACACGAGATTCACCGATAAGGTTCAACTTCCTCACTTACTAGATGGAAAACTGAGAGGCCCAAAGGAGGAAAAGCAGTTGCCTCAAGACAAACAGCAGAGATATCAAAACCGAAGGCATTTCAATTCAATTCTAATTCTGGCTTCACACTATTGACCCTGGCCACGTCCAATACCTCTTCACTTCTCTGCAGGACCTAAAAGATCACCAGGAGGCGAGGGCTGGTGTCCGAGTCCCGGAGAGGTCGCAGGCAGTCCAGATTCTAGCATCACAGAAACTCTGGCCAAGCGCTCAGCCGGGGATTGTCTGCCATAAAGACCCCCGCACCCTGTCCTCGCCCCCGCCCCGTGGAATTCCTCTGCATAGGTGACTCCACGTAGAGGACCGAGCGCAAGGAGATCCCGGGGCGGTGGAGGCAGAGGACTACTGTGAAGAATGACGCCTACTCACTCACCTAACAGAGAGGAGGAAGCAGGCACGCCCCAAAAGCGGGTCGGGAGCAAATCCACGCCACTGGGAGGAGGCAAACCGAAGAATAACAGGAAATTACGTAAGGCGCACGTGCTTCTGAGGGGGGCGGGTGCGGGGCGTTGGAGAGGCGCGGCCGCCGCCCTGCGTCTGCGCAGTCGTCGGCTGCCGCGCTGCCGAGTCACTGGGGTGGGAGGAGCATAAGCAGGGGGAGGGGTGCATGCCGGAGTGCGCAGGCGCAACGCGACTCCCGAGGCGCGGGCCGCCCCCTTGGCTGGTTTGGATCCGGGTCAGTCGGGTGCCGAGATTTGGGAGAGACGCTCTGAACTGACTGCCCCGCATCACCGGAGCGTCCCAGCTGCGAGGAGGTAAGTGCCCTGACGTGACGGGGAGGGGCCGCAGCACTGCGTCTCAGCTTCCACTGCCGGTCTGGCCGCGGGCGGTTTTCCCCGGGCCCGCCCGCCTTGGGTCGCGTCGTCTCCCGACGCCTCCTGCCTGGGCCGGGCCTGGGCCTCTCCGCGCCCCCTTATCTGCCGCGGCCTGTGCCTGCTGGAGCTCCGAGCTCCACGCTCTCTCCCCTTCCCGCCTTCCCGTCCTCCCGCGGTCCCCCGCCCCGTCTCGCTCCTCCGCCGTCTCCCGCCCAGCGGCAGCTTCCCCTTTTCGCCCTCCTTGGCCGCCCTTTGCCCCTTCCAGTCCTTTCTCTCTCGCCTCGGAGCCCCATTCTCTTTGGCTACCTCTTCGGCCCCACTCCTTTCTTCTCCCGCATCCCTTGTGCCTCGCTCCGACTCCAGCCTCTCGTTCTGACCCCAGGAATCTCCCGAGGAGCGCAACTTCACAGCTGGAGACCCCGGGCGGGCAGTGCCCCTGGACAGCTCCCTGCTTGGCGTTGTCCCCACACTCCAAGCCCCGTCCTACCCCTCTGGGTTCTGACTAGGAATTTTCCTCCGTTCATGTTTAACCGCGACAGGCACAGACTCTGGGTGAAAAGAAAGAACTTTGTGCTTTGGCTGCAGCGCTGCGAGTATAAAGGGATGAGTGGGTTGCACGGAGAGGTGTGAATGTGCTTTTTGTCCTGGGGGCCGATTGTTTCCTCCCGGTCTAGTTTGCCTCTTAGAGTTGCTGGGTTTGGTTTTCTTCCCCATACTCTACGCTTTCTGGTGGTCTGGGAGTTTCGAAATCTTTAATGTTGTGATGACAACGCTTACCCGCGCATCCCTTCTTGATCGTTCTTAGGTCTTCTCAGGGGCCTGGAAGTGTAGACCTAGGCTTGGGATTCAAGGAGGTCTTGGTTAAAACGGCAAGATGTAAATAAGATTGTGACGCATCCATTTTGTTGAAAGAAAAAACCAGGAATTTGGCCTTTTGATGGAGGAACTTAGAAGAACTTTGTAATTTTTGTAAGGTTGTGGAAAATCCGAGGCAAAGTTAAATTGCCTGGTGTGATTTGACTTTAACTTCGAATAGGCTTTTTAAAGTTTCATCTCTTTGGAGATTGTTCAACTTCACGAGTTCACTGCAGTGAAAACGCCAAGACTGTCTCCCACAAATTTAATATTAATGAAGAAAGGCAAGCCAATTATATCTGTTGTCCGGAGTTAGTTGTACAGCCCTTTCTTTGAATGGGGATCTGGGGATGCAGAGGAGCATAATGAGCCTTTTATAATTACAAACATGCTCTTCTCTAGCTCTTAAGGTTATGCCTAACGCTCATTTGCTCTTGGCTAAAATAACTGAGAAAAAAAGTGAGTAGTAAAAAAATGCTGGAAGTCTGAAAATGGTTTAGACAGAACTTCATTCCTGAAGTTTTAGTCTGTAGCCAGATTTTAATTCTGGCCTGTTTTGGTTTTTAGATGATAGATCTTTTAGTGTGTCAACAGGAATGTAAAGTTTGTATTAACATCTAGGGTGATCACCTGCCATGCTATTAAGTCAGCATGGTATAATTAAAAGTTACATATGTAGGTTCAGAGCCTCTTAGCACAGTGTTACATTGTAAGCTCTTGGAGGGCAGGAATGAGATTCTAGTCCTTACGGAAATGGAGTTTGGGCTTCTATCCCTAGCATTCATTCTAGTGCCATGCACGTGGTAGGAATTCTGTAAATATTTGTGAAAGAAATGAATTTCTGCCTGTAGGGTTCAGCAGTGTATACTTAAATGTGATGTGTACGTAAATGCTGACTGATTTCCAGAGAGGGCTAAAGAGGACTTGGGGGGCGGTCTGCGGGTTGGGGAGATTGGCTCAGATGATTTATGAACTCGGTAAGAGCTGAACATTGACTAACGGATCATAAGGTAATTGAGGAACATTGTAAGTCAAACTTCAATTTAGTTCTACCAGCAGGAAGGATTTGTTTACAACCTGCAATAGTACTCTTTTAGATGATGTGAAGCTTTGAAAATATTGAAATAAGTGATTGCTCACCTCTCCCCCCAGGTATATAGGAATTGATTGTGTATTTGGGGGATCCTACCCTAAACTGAGAATTAGAGACTAGTGAAGCATGGGATTGTGTGGATAATGTTTCTTCATGTTTATGTACTTAAATAAACCAGCAAAATATACGTCGAGAATGTATCTAAATTATTTTTTTGTCCTAAGAAGTTGAGGTGCAGGCTGGCTGAATTTTTTTTTTTTTTTTTAGTAGCTGAATTCTTTTGAGACTGTTTTCAGTGTTCCCCAGAGAGCTCTGCCTAAAATACCTTAACTTCCGCAAATAAGTAAAGTGAAAAGTCCTGATTCCTTGCCTCTTTATTTTGCGCTGGTACTACAATAATATAATGGTTACTTTATATCAAACATTATGACACCTTGACCTTTGGAATATTAGAGGTCTCACAATAACTTCGGAGCCACCTTGAGAAACGAGCAGATATGAATCAGAGAGGACCCAAGGGCCGTTGGAGAGGCACTGCTCCCTCTGAGAATGCCCAAGAGGGGTGGGGGCGGGGGGGGGCGGGTAAAGGCTTAGAAATAAAGAGGTGAAGTGAACCTTTTGCTTCAAATATTCTCTATTTCTATTTTTTTTGTGGTACTTTTCTTCTGATTCTCTCTGATATGTTCATAGATGCTGGTTTGCTTAATTTGTATTCAAAATTTGGTACTAATAACCCTGAGTGAAAAAATAATTTGGAGACTAGATTCAAGGGTTTATTAACAGACTTCTCTGTTGTGTTTCTTGTTGCTTTGGTTGGTTCTTCATCTACCTTTCTCTGTTTAAATATAAAAATCAGGTGGAAAATATGGAGGACTTTGATTAATCAAACTAGTTAAGAGATCATTTAGTGGTGCGTCTACACAATAGTCATTTCTGTTTTTTTTCTTTACTTTCAACCTTTCTTTAGGCTAAAGAGAAGTTTGTTTGTTTTCTTTTCTTTTTCCACTCATGTGCACAATGAAGTTTTTAGGGGGTTGCAAGTGTATAGTTCATTTATTTTCTTTCTTGTTTAACAATTAATTACACTATTCCAGGCTATGAAGAAAAACACAAATGGAAGTATCAACCTTACTGGTAGAGTGCATTTCTAATTCTGCTTTCACAGTGGTAACGTCTTGTTCTCTAAAACGTGTCTTCCTGTGAACATAGCTGTCTGGGTCAGGACTGCTCTAGAGAAATGCTATCATGTGTCATGAAAGTTATACTTAACTAGGGTTAGGCCAGACAAATACTCAGTGTCATTTTAAAGAATCAGAGTGCTATAATTTTAGCTATTCCCTTTTATTTCTGATGTCATTTTGTTCATAGGTTTCTAGACCAACTGGGGAGATTCCCGTTAAAAAGTATGTATACTGAAACATAGATTTTAGATCATCTAGTTTCCAAAATTGTGTAATAGGATTTTGGCATCAAGTATGTGAACAGTTTATATTCTGTCATAGTACATATCCATTTTTGGTATCATTTCATTTGTTTCCCTTTAAGAAATAAAACCTATAGTCTCCAGTTATCTACACTGAAACTTCCTTTTTGAAATAAAAATTTGCTTTTTTTTTCTAACAGTAATGGTAACAGGTATACTTTTGATCCCACCTGTTTTTACTTTGCTCACTTTATTTTCTTTTTTAGTGTAAACAGGAACATCGATAAGTAGTGTAAAAACTTGCACAATGAAATCCGAAGCCAAGGATGGAGAGGAGGAGAGTCTACAGACTGCTTTCAAAAAATTAAGAGTGGATGCATCAGGGTAATTAAATATGTAATATATTATTTGGAATTATTTGTTTACTTATTTTAAATAGTCCCTTTTCCCTAAAAAGCTCTTCCTCTTTTAATATTTCTCATTATTGAAAGAAGATATAAATGCTAATAGTGCGACATTCTTCCAGATTCTGCACAGTATTGTTTTAGTTTAAAAAGAAAACCCTTTGGTTAAATTTGAAAAGTAGCAGTTCATTTGCCCTCCCAGGTTGGGTGTTTTGGTTTCGTTCACTTTGAGGAGGGCTTCCCCCCCACTTCTTTTTAATCAAAGATTATCAAGCGGTGTCCCACTAGGGATTTTATCATACATCTCAAGGGAATCACAGTATTTTTCACTAAAAGTGGGTTGGCTCAGTGGAAATCTATGAAGACATTGTAGATTTCATGGTCTGTGATTGCTCAGTCTATCACTATGGAAACCTCTATTCAGGAGGGTTCTGTCACTGAGATCAATAACCTTGGACCCTTTGGCCAAACTAATTAGAGCACCTGCATACCAGCTGCTCTCTGAATGTTAGTATTTCACCCTTTGCAAAATGTTCTGTGTAAGACTCTTCTCACACCAATTCTTTCTCCCAGGCCAAAATAAATCAACATTTTTAATGGATATAAGAATTTCTTTTCATAAATGGAAACTAAACACTGGAAGCTCAGAGTAGAACACCCACAAGTAATAATCATCATCATTAAAGTTTATTATTCACTTCCTGTGCCCTCAACACTGGGTTAAGTACTTTGTGCGCATTATTTAATTCTCACTACACCTTAGGACATGGGTACTACTGTCATTTCAGTTTACAGATGAGACTCACACAAATTAAATTACTTGCTAAAAGTCACATTGGTAGGACGTTGCAGAGCCAGGATTTGAACCTAGATAGCCTGTCTCCAGAACCTCTGCTCTTTTTTTTTTTTTTTTTTTTTTTTGAGACGGATTCTGGCCCTGTCGCCCAGGCTGGAGTGCAGTGGCGCAATCTCAGCTCACTGCAAGCTCCGCCTCCCGGGTTCACGCCATTCTCCTGCCTCAGCCTCCCGAGTAGCTGGGACTACAGGCGGCCACAACCACACCTGGCTGATTTTTTGTATTTTTAGTAGAGACGGGGTTTCACTGTGTTAGCCAGGATGGTCTTGATCTCCTGACCTGGTGATCCACCCACCTCGGCCTCCCAAAGTGCTGGGATTACAGGCGAGAGCCACTGCGTCTGGCCCAGAACCTCTGCTCTTAACCATCCTTTATGTGGTACCTTGAAGGCGATAGGAAGAAATGCATGCAGTACCTAGCACAAAGTGAAAACTAGATGTTAGTTGTTGTTACAGCCACCTGCCTATTGCTAGTACTATTTTTGGGCTATCAAATGAGAAGATTTATGCTGATAGATTTGCACAGTAGATGTTATAGGTGCTCATATTTGCTTCCATGTTACTTCAAAAACATATCTTTCCTCCTGATGGTTTTCTAATATGGTCAACTTGCCAGTTCATATCAGTACTTTGATAAATTGTCTTGGGAAACAGAAGCAAAGCAGAGAAGCAGAGAGTTCCAGATTGTGGCTGCAGTGTATCCTTTGTGATTTCTTATATAGGAATAATTTTTTTATATCAGGAAAATACTAGGAATGTGTACCCACAATTATACATACAAATCTCTTAGTGTGTAATTTTGTATAAGTAACTCTTGATACACGGACTTCTTTCCTGATGTTTTAAGAAGTTGAAATGTAAAATAAAGCCAGGCCGGGCATGATGGCTCATGCTTGTAATTCCAGCACTTTGGGAGGCCAAGGTGAGCACATCACTTGAGCTCAGGAGTTTGAGACCAGCCTCGGCAACATGGTGAAACCCGTCTGCAAAAAAACAAAGAATTAGCTAGGCATGGTGGTGCGTGCCTGTAGTCCCAGCTGCTCTGTAGGCTGAGGTAGGAGGATCACTTGAGCCCGGGAGCTGGACGTTGGAGTGAGCTGAGATCATGCCACTGCACTCCGGCCTGCGCAACAGAGCGAGACCCTGTCTCAAAAAAAAAAAAAGTAAAATTAAGCCATTTTGGTATCCCTAAAAATTACTTGGAACATTATTTAAAAATTTTTCAAAATATATGGTCAAAAATTATGTATTTGTAAAACCACATGCTGCATGTTCTCACTTAGAAGTGGGGGCTAAACATTGAACACACGTGGACATGGGAACAATAGACACCGCTGACTACTGGCGTGGGGAGGGCAGGAGCGGAATGTGGGTGGAAAACCTACCTATAGGGTACTGTGTTCACTACCTGGGTCCAGTATACCCATGAACAATCCTGTGTATGTACCACCTGTATCTAAAGTAAAAGCTGAAATGAAAAAAAATTATATATTTGTAGCATGTATTCTGCCTTGAGTAAAATTATATTTGTAGCATATATTCTGCCTTGAGTAAAATTATAAGAAGGGAAGGAGAATATTTGAGAAAATGAAATAAGAGAAGGGGTGAGTCATTAGCATGACTAAGCAGAATAAGACTTGTGTAGTAGTGTATCATACATTCTAGTTGTTTTATATTGTTGCCAGTTTACAAATGGGATATCTGAGGATTGACTCATAAACTAACCAGGCCTTGCCAGGAATTTAGCATGATCCTGTTCAACAGGTTTTCCTTAGTGGTATTTGTCTTATTAGGACAAATCTCTATATATTTATTACAAAACAATATCCTATTTATCTGATTGTAACATAATACATGCTTATTATAGAAAAATTTACAAAAACAAAACAGGATAAAAACAGAAGTAAAAATCACAGTTTACCGTAACCACTGTTAACATCTAGACCACTGGTTCATGATAGCCTATACTTATTTTACATAGTTGAGATCATAATATATGTATAGGTGTTTAACCATGCTGCTTTCTCCTTATAAGCATTCCCCCATATCATTAAAAGTTCTTTGTACACTTAATTTCTAATAATTTCCCAACATTTTGCCATATAGATATGCCATAATTTAGAAATACAGTATTTTTTTTCTATTAGATATTTAGGTTATTCCCAGTTACTTTTTACTTTCAATTATGTTTTGTTGAACATCCTTTCATTTTAGTAGATTAATGTCGCTTTCTAAAGAATTTTTGTCAACACCATAGCATGTATAGTAGGAGGGGTGTGTGTGTGTGTGTGTGTGTGTGTGTGTGTGTGTGAAAAAAGTCTGGAAGGATTTCCACCAATGTTTGATGTTGGTAGTCTCTGGGTTGTGAGGTATGGATGATTCTGTTTTTCTTGCTTTTAGATTTTTTCACGTTCTTTACTGGGAACCCATATTATCTGTATAATTTTAAACCGCAAGGATTTAACTCTGAGTAATATTTCAAGTTCATTTGTTGCAAAAGTTAGAATATTTTTCTAAAAGTTGCATAATATTTGAAAATGTATTCAGTGTTAAGTTAGATGGAGTCTCCTAAACTAAGTTTAGTTCCATGACTCTGGTTTGCCCGCATAAGATAAATGGTCAGTGTCATTAGCATTCTCTGGCCATAAGGCCTGATCTGCCCCAGGGAAACAGCCTGAAAGTCTATTTATATCCTGCTGCTGGGTACACTTACCAGTCATTCTTTGGCTTATGATTTTGCAGCCATGGGCTTTTAGGGATACTCTAGATTTGGTTTTGAAGGAAAATTTACATTAAAAGCTGAGCAATTTTTGAGAAACCCAAACTAGAAAAAAAAATGTATTGATAAAAGTTGTATTTGAGCTAGTGAGAACAATATGTTCTCCTCATTTTACAGTTTTTTGTAGCTGTAAACTTTGTTCTTGTCTTCAGGTCTGTAGCATCTCTGTCTGTTGGAGAAGGCACAGGTGTCAGAGCACCAGTCAGAACAGCAACAGATGATACCAAACCTAAAACCACATGTGCATCTAAAGACAGTTGGCACGGGTAAGAGCTTCTTATTGAGATGATTTTTATTCCAATATTATAATAGTATTGGATTTTCCTTTCTGAGTGTCCAGAAAAGAGTTAGGTTATGATATAGAACCTAAGACCCAATGATTAGATGAGGACCTATTCCTTCTTTTGCTGAATTTGCTGAGACTTTTTTTTGGCCTGGTCCATAGTCAATTTTTACAAATATTCTATGTCTGTTTGAGAAGATTGGGACTTCTCTAATTATTCTTGGGTTCTCTGTCCATTAAGTCAGGCTTTTAAATGTGTTATTGGAACCTTTTTTTCAATTTTTTGGTCAACTTGACTTACAAATAATAGAGATGTATGTTGAAATCTACCCCATGGAAGTGTATTTGTCTATTTTCCCTTTAAATTCTATGTTTTTGCTTTATGTATCTTGAGGTTATTTTGTTGGATTTATATAGCATAGGTTTAGAATGTTTTCTTTCTGGTGAATTGAAACTTTTATTATGTAGTGACATTCTTAATCCCTCATAATGGCTTTTGTCTTAAAGTTTTCTTCTAGTTAGTGTTTCGCTTGTGTGTCTTTTTCTATTCTTTTTTTTTTCTTAAGATGGAATCTTGTTCTTGCTCTGTCACACAGACTGGAGTGCAGTGTCACAATCTCAGCTCACTGCACCCTCCGCCTCCCCGGTTTAAGCAGTTCTGCCTTGGCCTCCCAGGTACCTGGGGTTACGCAGGTGCCCGCCACCATGCCCGGGTAATTTTAGTATTTTTAGTAGAGACAGAATTTCATCATGTTGGCCAAGCTGGTCTCAAACCCCTGACCTCAGGTGATCCACCCACCTCGGCTTCCCAAAGTGCTAGGATTACAGGTGTGAGCCACCACACCCAGCCTACTAGTCTTTCAAGCGTTCTGTGTTCTTGTATTTTAGCTGTGTTTCATATAAATAGCATATGACTAGGTTTTATTTTTTTCTGTTTTATTCAATGTGATCAGTTTGTTTTTAACTGCTGAGTTTAGTGCATTTACATTTATTTGATTATTGGTATCTTCAGAAGTGATTCTGTCATTTTACTTTATTTGTCCTGCTTTTTTCTATTTTTTTCCCACCTTACCTCTCCTCCTTTCCTTTCCAATTGTTTAAACACAATTGTTTTCAAGGATTTTGTTTGTTCTTTTCCTCTAGTGGTTTGGAAATGGCACACTTTGTTTCTATTCTTTCAGTAGTTGTTAGCCTTGATTTTACCATGCATGCTTTTAACAAAGACAAAAATTAATGGTAATTTAGCCCTTCTCCTTAGAAACCCTTTCCTCTGATCTCCTGACTTCCATGATATAGTTGCCCAATATTTTAGTCGTTACTTAATCTCACAGACTAGGTTTTATTATTATTTAAGCAGACAGTGTTTATTTAGATTTTTCTGTTTGCTTATATCTTCTTTCCTCACCATGCTTTCACCTCAGACCTCCCATATACAATCACTTACTTTTTTCCTAAAGTAGTTTCTTTAGTGAAGGTTTATTATTAGTAAATAGGACCTCTGCATTGTATAACTCCATATAAATACATTTGAAAGGGCCCCCGATGTTAAATACCATCAGGTCCTATTGGTAAATAACAATCATCTGTATCCATGGGGGATCAATTCCAGGTCCTCCCCACTCACACGCCCCTCTCAATACCAAAATCTGAGGATGCTTATGTCTGTTAGACAGAATGGTATAGTGTTTGCATACAACCTATGCTCATTCTCCTGTATACTTTAAACCATCTCTAGAGTACTTATAATACCTACCACAATGCTTACACAGCACTTCACTCACACAGACTCAGCATAGTGCTTAGAGCACAGCAAATTCAAGGTTTGCTTTTTGGAACTTGGTGGAAGGGGTATTTTCAGTCTGCTGCTGGTTGAATCCACAAGTGTAGAATCCGTGGATACAGAAGACTGTACTTTGCTTTCATTTATCTGAAAATGTCTTTATTTCTTCCTTGGTTTTGAAAGATAGAGTTGATATAGTTGACATTATATTTCTAGATTGACAGTTATTTTCTCTTAGCACTTAAATTAGGTACAGTTCATTGTCTTCTGGTTTCGTTACATTGGTATTGAAAAGCATACCTTCAATCCAATTGTTATTAATTTGGAAATAATCTTTCTAGTCTCTGGCTGCTTTTAAGATCTTCCTGTTGTCTTTGCTATTCTATAGTTTTGCTACAGAGTGTCTCTTATGTGGATTTCTTTTTATCCTGCTCCAGTGTATTTCCTGTGTTCATAGATTCTCTTATCAATTCAGAAAATTTCTTGGTCATTATGTCTATAAAAATCACTTGTCCTCTGTTCTCTGTATTCGTTTCTTCAGAAATTCCAGACTTACTCTGTCATCTCTCTTAACTTTTACATTTTTTCCAAATCCTTGTCTCTGTACTGCCTTTTAGGTCAGAGGTTGACAAACTTTTTTTGTAAAGCACCGTATGGTAAATTTTTTAGCCGTTGGAGGCCAAGAAGCAAAAATTCAAGGATATTAATAAGTGCTTAAATAAGAGAGAAAACTCCTACTCTACCCTGTTTGCCTGGGGTTGGCCGTCCTGGCTGGTGGACACATTCTGTCTTCAGTTGCTGAGACAGTCGCAGGATAGAGTGACTAGCCTGAAAGGAGAACCTTGTGGAATGGGTGGGTAGCAGGTAGTGCCAGGGTCAGTTCTACTTTCTGTCCCAGTGAGGCTCAGATCTCAGCATGCTCTTTTCTCCTCCAGAGATCCCAGCATTGGTTGGAGTCTTGAACTGAGATTCTGCCTCTCAATGATCAGCAGTTGCCAACAGTAGAGACCCAACATGTAGATGTTAGCTAGTGCGGGCGCTGGACAGTGGTGCAGCTTGTCTACTGGCCAGGAAGGCGGGCAGGGAGAATAGGGACAGGGGAGGATCCCCTAGCCTGGTCTGTGGCTCACAGTGCTAGCCCACTGGAGCAGTGTCCACAAGCTGTACAAAAACAGGCAGGGAGCCAGATCTGACCCACAGGCTGTAATTTGCTGGCCCCTGTTACAAATAATTCAGATTTATTTTCCCGTCAGTCATTCTTTCTTTAGCTGTGTGTACAAGTCCCCTCTTATCCATAGGGGATATGTTCCAAGAACCCCAGTGGACGCCTGAAACTGCAGACAATATCAAACCCATTTGCCATCAGTCAGAGCACGTTTTTGTTCATGTCTTCCACCCACACATTTAATGCCTTTTCCATCTTAACTAAGGACTTACATGCACTGTGGCTGTAACTTTCACATTTGAAGTGCAACAGCAAGTCTATCACAAATTTGTTTTTCCTTCTTCACAATTTTTCACATAGGAGATTCGTTCTTACCGTAGATCTTAGCAACCTCAGTATACGATTTATTTTTTTCCTTTCCTTATTAAGTCAAGAACTTTCACCTTTTTACTTAAAGAAAGCTGTCTTAGTTCATTTTCTGTTGCTGTAACTGAATACCTGAGACTGGGTAATTTTTAAAGAGACTTATTTCTTACATTTCGGGAGGCTGGGAAGTGTAAGAGCATGGCACCAGCATCTAGTGAGTGTATCATTGCTGCATCATAACATGGGGAAGGATATCACGTGGCAAGGGGGCTCGTGAGAAGTAGCCAAACCGGCTTTTATAACAGAGCCGTTCTTGTGATAACTATCCCTGTCCCTCAATAACCCTTTAATTCATTAATCTGTGGATGGATTAATCCATTCTTGAAGGCAGAGTCCTTTTGTGACCCAATCACCCCCAAAGGTCTCAGCACTGATGCATTCGGGACCAAGTTGACAACACATGAACTTTTGGGTGACACATTCTAACCACAGCAGAAGCACTTCGTGGCTTTTCTTGGTATACCCAAACTGCTAGCATCACTACTGTTATACTGTGGGGCCATTGTTAAGTAAAATAAGAGTTACTTGAACACAAGCACTGCAGTACCATGGTAGTTGATCTAATAACCAAGATGGCTACTAAATGACTAATGGGTAGGTAGCATATACAGTGTGGATACCCTGGACGAAGGGATGATTCACATCCCAGGTGGGACGGAGCAGGATGGTGCAAGATTTTGTCATGCCACTCACAGTGGGGCGCAATGTAAAACTTATGAATTGTTTATTTCTGGAATTTTTTATTTAATATTTTCAGACCATGGTTGACTGCAGGTAACTGAAACTGTAGAAAGCGAAACCATGGATAAGATGGGATTACTGTGTTCTGTTTAGCTTTTTAGTGTCTTGTTTGGTTCTTGTCTCTAATTCACTTAGCAGTTTTGAGTATCTTTTCTTTTCATTCAGTTCTTTATTTAATTTTATTTTATTTTATTTATTTATTTATTTATTTTTGAGACGGAGTCTCGCTCTGTTGCCCAGGCTGGAGTACAGTGGCGTGATCTCAGCTCACTGCAAGCTCTGCCTCCCAGATTCACGCCATTCTCCTGCCTCAGCCTCCCAAGTATCTGGGACTACAGGCGCCCACCACCACGCCCGGCTAATTTTTTGTATTTTTAGTAGAGACGGGGTTTCACCGCTTTAGCCAGGATGGTCTCAATCTCCTGACCTCGTGATCCACCTGCCTCGGCCTCCCAAAGTGCTGGGATTACAGGCGTGAGCCACCGCGCCTGGCTATTTAAATATTTTATAAATAGTTATCTTACATAGTGTGTCCAGTAATTCCCAGTATCTGAAAACCTCAGGGGTTGTAAATATTGTTAGTTTTTTGGTTTTGATTGATTGGCTGTTACCAATGATAGAAATGAATCAGAAATCTATTTAATAGTAATGGCATAATGGTCATTTGTAACGTTAGCCTCACAGTGGTTCTGAAGCTGCTATATTCAGGTTTAGGGCACAATATTTAGGCTTCACAGGATCGGTTTCAGTTGTATGTTTGAGGTGCTTCCCTCAGACCCACTGGTCAAAGGCTCCCAAGCTTAGAGTTGGAACAGGGCAGGTGTTCTGTCCCAAATGTTTGGCCCAGGTGATTCAGTTAAAAAATACCATTATCTCACCTCGTTCTATAGCTTGCTAATAAGATGATGTTGAAGTTGTTGAGACACAAAGACTTAGGCAGCATGAAAATGGAGGAAGGTGCATCTCTTGCAGGAAATTTATGAGCTTAGACTCATAAAGCTGAGGGAAGGTAAATTTCCTACTGTCATAAAGAATCTGTTTAGGACAGCTCCATATCCCAACATCTTCTTGTATATTTTTTTTCCTCTTTAGGTCTACAAGGAAGTCTTCACGAGGAGCAGTGAGAACTCAGCGTCGTCGACGTTCTAAGTCTCCTGTCCTTCATCCTCCAAAGTTTATACATTGCAGTACAATAGCGTCTTCTTCCAGCAGTCAACTCAAGCACAAAAGCCAGACTGACTCACCTGATGGCAGCAGTGGGCTGGGAATTTCATCCCCTAAAGAGTTCAGTGCAGGAGAAAGCTCTACTTCTCTCGATGCTAATCACACAGGGGCAGTCGTTGAGCCTTTGAGAACTTCTGTTCCAAGGCTCCCATCAGAGAGTAAGAAGGAAGACTCCTCTGACGCTACCCAAGTCCCCCAAGCAAGTCTCAAAGCCAGTGATCTCTCTGACTTTCAATCAGTTTCCAAGCTAAACCAGGGCAAGCCATGCACATGCATAGGCAAGGAATGCCAGTGTAAGAGATGGCATGATATGGAAGTGTATTCCTTTTCAGGCCTGCAGAGTGTCCCTCCCTTGGCTCCAGAACGAAGATCCACACTTGAGGACTACTCTCAGTCGCTGCACGCCAGAACTCTGTCTGGCTCTCCCCGATCCTGTTCTGAGCAAGCTCGAGTCTTCGTGGATGATGTGACCATTGAGGACCTGTCAGGCTACATGGAGTATTACTTGTATATTCCCAAGAAAATGTCCCACATGGCAGAAATGATGTACACCTGATAGCAAGAAGCTAATTCATATGCTTTAAACCAATGAAGGCTTGTCAAAGAGATTTAGTTAATGGCAGACCTTGTGGCCACTTTGTGTGAGAAGACATCTCTTTCTGCTCACTGTGCTTGCAATAAAAACTTTTCTTGGCATCTCAGTTAATCTTCATTCTTTCAACTTACTCTCTTGAGTTCTTACATACACTTCAAGGCGAGCAGATCAAAGAAAAATCCCCCTTATTTAGAAATGTTCCTGGGGGATGAAGAAACCATAATTACTTGAGACTGGCAGCAGTGGGTATATGGTAAAAGCCTTTGTAAAACAGTGCATTTTTCAGATTTGTTTAAGGTTTGCTAGCCAAGGAAAGTAAAATGTGATTTTGTAACTGCACTAAACATTTGTCATGCTGTAGTTGCCAGCCCAGAATATTAGAAGTTACAAGACTGATTTAAACCGTCTCTGATTTAATGCAAGATATATTGTGTCTATAAAGGTTTCTCTTGTTATTGTTAAGCCAGAGATCTAAGGTTTAGATTCAATTTGAATAAACTAGCTGGCCTGCCCTCTATTGTTTGAGAGAGTTATTAACCATCACTAAATAAGCCCCTGCTGGTGCTATTCATCCTAAGACATGTTACATGCAGTTTCAAGTAAGCAGCTTGGAATGGGCTGCTTCAGTTGGAGGGAGGGGGTGTAATATTTGAAACGAGTGTGTGTCTTCACCATCTCCAGCATTTTAAATATATGGCGGTTTTTTTTTTTTTTTTTTGTTATCAGTTGTAATACAGGTCTCATACCTCAGTTTCAGATGTTATAGATGGTTACCTCTTTGAGCTGCCCTGTCACCCCAGCAACCCTAAAAGAGAATTTTGTACATTCTGTATCCCACAGATTTGGTCAGCCATTTCAAAATTCCCTCCAGTTTGGTAAAAAAAAAATCTGTCTTCGGTTTCAGCTGGATGATGAATCCTTGTTTTTCAGGTGGCTCCAAAAAGAATGTTGCATGTGTTCAGACCATCCTGAGCAGAGCCACCAAATTTAGTGACAGTGTCTAGCCATGTTAGCAATAATGTTAACAGAAGCTTTTGTTTAAATTACAAAATACATTTATACTATTTACTAAAACTGCGCTGGCTGTGGTTGATTCATGATAATGGGATGTGGGCTTCAACAAATAGGTGATTTGTACTTGGGGGAGAGGGGAAGGGTGTTTACTAGAAAAACCCTAAGCTTAAGTAGTAGTGGGAGTCCTCTGCTGGTCATTGGTTTGGTGTGGATTTAGTGACATCTGAAGGCTGTGGTTAAAGCAAGGGAGCAAAATACCTTATCACAGTTCTAGAAGCTGTGACAGATATTTCCTGATAATGGTGACAGAAGGTACACTATTTAGTATATCTAAGGCAGAAATTCTCAAACTTTTTGTAAGCACTTCCTTTACACTGACAAATTCAGGACCCAAAAGGTTTTGTTATAATCTCCAAAAGGATATAAATATTTACCATGTTAGAAATTAAAACTAAGATTTTTTTAAATATTTAAAAACTCATTACAAGCTAACAAAATTTTTGAATGAAAAATAGCTTTTCCAAAACAAAAAATAGAAGAGTGGCATTGTTCTACCTTTTTGCAAATCTTTTTTAATGTTTGGCTTAATTAGAAGACAGATTCTCATATGTTTCTGCATTCAGTCTCTGGGATATCGCATATTGTGTGGTCTCTGGCAAACTTTTGTACACTTGGGAGAATGAATGTGAAAAAGGCAACTACAGGTTGAATATTCCTTATATGAAATGCTTGGGACCAGAAGTGTTTCGGATCTCAGATTTTTTTTAGATTTTGAAAGATTTGCATTACATGCTTATCAGTTCAGCTTCCATAATCCTAAAAGCCAAACTGCTCCAATGAGCATGTCCTTTGCTCCTCATGTCAGTGCTCAAAAAGTTCTGGATTTTGAAGCATTTCAGATTAGGGACCCTCAACCTGTAATGTTTTAGTACCATGTAAATAATTTTGACCTCAGATTTCCTAAAAGGGCCTCAGGGATTCCAGGACCAAAATTTAAGCTTCTGGTTGTAAAGGTACCACCCCGCTTTCACCTCCACAACTAATGTTTTGGCTCACCTTTAAAAAAATTAAAACTGGGCCGGGCACGGTGGCTCACGCCTTTAATCCCAGCACTTTGGGAGGCCGAGGCGGGCGGAACACAAGGTCAGGAGATCGAGACCATCCTGGCTAACGCGGTGAAACCCCGTCTCTACTAAAAATACAAAAAATTAGCCGGGCGTGGTGGCTGGCGCCTGTAGTCCCAGCTGCTCAGAGGCTGAGGCAGGAGAATGGTGTGAACCCAGGAGGCGGAGCTTGCAGTGAGCCAAGATTGCGCCACTGCACTCCAGCCTGGGCAACAGAGCGAGACTCCGTCTCAAAAATAAAATAAAAGCTGTAGAGGAGTGGAGCTATTGTAATTAAGTAGTGAGCTATTCAAGTTCATGTTAAGTGGGCTTAACATGGGCTTAACATGTTCTTTGAATTAAGGCGAGTTCTTAAGCCTTTAAATCCCTTTTAGTTTGTTTTTCAAGCCAGCGCTCTGGTTATTTACTTAGTGCTGTATATTAGTGCAGCAGTCACCAGAGAATGATGATACGTATTCTTTTCATATGAAGGTGTTAGGAGGGTGTAAGTATTGAAAAGCACAAAGTTCCAATGACCTAGTAACTCAAAATCCAACTTGCATGAAAGTTTAGGCATTCCAGATTTGTGGGAATAAGTTGTAAGTTATCTACATCTCAGCAAAATCTTCCTCAAAACATGAATCTTGAAGTTAAAAATTACTCTGCTCAGACCTAATTGGCCCAACTTTAACATTAGGGTCCCTCATTGGGATATTTGACGTTCTTTTGTGAATGTGATGTACCAAACTAATCTCCTTTCTCTGATACATCTAGGAAAATGGATTTGGTTTGTGGATTGAGGGATTAAGTCTCACTCTGATGTTCCAAAAAAGTAACATCCTGATTTCCACATGCCTTTATTTAACAAGTTTTCATTGAACGTTCATTCATTCATTCATTCATTCATTCATTCAATAAATATCAAGTGCTTACAACACACCAGGGACACTGTACTAGATTCTGGGAATGGAACAGTAAGCAGAACAATATCCTTGTCCTCAGTAGAGAGAGGTGATGAACATGTAAGTTGTATGGAGAGAAAAAGAATTAGGAGATAGGAAGGGGTGGGCCAGGGATAGGGTTGCTATTTGGGGTGGGCAGAGAAGATGCTGTGATAAGGTGACATTTGAGCAGAGACCTGAAGGAAGTAAGAGAGTGAGCCATGGGGGCATCTGAGGGAGGGGCATTCTTGGCAGAAGGAACCACAGGGATGTCAATGCAACTTGAGCAGGTGGGGTCAGAGAGAGATGAGTAGGGCCAGATCATGGAGGGCCTGGTAGGCTATTTTAAAGGTGTTGGCTCTTTGGCTCTTACTGTGAGAGATAGGGAGTCATTTGGGGAAGCAGAGGAGAGAGACATGACCAGACTTAACTTTTTTTTTTTTTTGAG